>NC_000003.12:62131212-62434242 GCF_000001405.40 Homo sapiens | reverse complement strand
TATATTGTTTTCAGTTGCTGCAGAATAACAGTTTATAACATTTTGAAACAAAACAAACTGAGATTTAAAGTAAGAGAATATTCCAATATACACAAAAACAATGAATTCAAGTAGATTAAAGATGCTGAATTTTTAAAAGAAGATCAGACTGCTGTGAGACTCAAGTGGAAGCTTAGCCTTCTTGAAAATTATTGCTGACATTCAAAGAAAATATAAAACATGGATATGAAATAATCTCCATATTCCTAAAGCAGCAGCTACAGAGGAAAGCACAAGCTCAAGAAATAACTTGAAGACAGTGATTTAAAGTTGGAGTATCCATAAATCATGCAGATGGCTTTTCCCTCCTTCTCTAGTGATTAATTCAACATCTTCCCCAAAATAAAAACATGCTTTTTGAAATTAGAGATCAGATCATCAAGAGACGCACCTAAGATTTCAAGGTCTAAACAAAAATTAATTTTCTTTCTTCCTTGTACTTCTTGAAGACACAGACTGAGAAGAAAATCGGGATTAAAAGAGATGTGCTTAGGGTGAATTCATCTGCTTAAACCTCACAGGCTCGGAGATGAGTGATTAAAAAGCCATCTCGAACTTGGATGGAATCCACATTGGTAGTAATGCCGCATCCGCACTGGCTTTCTTCAGGCCCCGTGTCATTGGGAACCAGGCCCAGGGAACATTTGACTGGAGATGATACATGGATTATATAGGTCAATTATACACTTAATCTGCCTTCTGGAGGATTAAGTATTTGCAGATTGACTCTGCATTTGGCTTCTCCGTGGCAGTTATCAGATCAGGAAAGGGCCTCTTACCAAACCACCTCGTAAGAACTTAATCAAGCAGTGTGGTCAGCTTCGGAAGGGGCTGCTACTCAGTATTCTTTGCCTCGCACGGATTTTAATTTGCTGTTCCATTTTCAAATCGTGTATTTGTCCAGTTTGTGTGGCAGAACAATAATTGAGTGTGACTAGTTCCCTTGAAAAGGGTAATTTGAAACATGAAACCTTTGCCTGTTAAAATATATTTGCTATATTTATATATGAAACCACAGATACCCTTATTTTAACAACCTTATTAAATTACTAAAGCACCATACATGTGAGCATATATCAATCAAAGTAGGAATCATCCTGCTGGAGGATGAAAGTACCAAATAATAGGCTACAAGGAGGACATGACGCTATATCTGTAAGGTATATCACCAGCTGTCCAGGTAAGGGAAACCACTTCCAAAAATATGAAGTGGGGAGAGGTGCATAGGATTCACTAACACAATAAGTTGCACTTCTAAGGGGCTGATTAAAGAAATTCAAGGCATATGGCATTCTAGACACTGAGACAGTGAGTTATCTCCTCTCTAAGCAATAAGCAGACGTGAGTGCCCTGAATGGGACTTACTGTGCAGTGATCATGGGCCCTGCCTCTGGAACCTTCAGACCTGATCCTTACTAGCTGGGTGACCTTGAACAAGGCATTTAATCTCTAAGAGCCTCAGCTGATTCATCTATATAACAGGGATGATAATCGTGGAGTTATTATGAGGGTGAAATGCCATATGAATCTGCAGCATCGAGCTCTGAGGAAGCATTGGTAAGTGTTAGCCACCACCATCATCATCATCACTATCATCATCATCATCAAAATGGAAATGCTTTTCCCAGCCTTCTTTTTTTCCTTGTTAAGCAAAGTTTCATATTCATGTTAAGGTGCTATGAGTCTCCCCATCACTTTAAGACATTAACCCCAAGCTTGCTTAGAATTGCTTGATGTAGAGCAGCCTGGTACCTTTTTTACTTTTGGTAAAACATCTTCCTGAAACAGGCAAAATAGTGATGGTCAGGAGTGGGGCTTTGAAGTAAGACAGACAGAAGGAGGAAACTTGGTTCTGCCACTTTTGAGCTTTCTAACCTGGGGTCAATTATTTCACTTCCCTAAGCCTCAATTTCCCCATCTGTAAAGAAACTGGCTTCTTACAGTTTTCGTGAGGACTAAATGATATAATGAATGTAGACAGACGTAGTTAAAAATTCAATGAGTCTCTTATCATCATCATCCTTATCATCTCATAGAACTACTTGTTCCTTCAAGTGATTTTGAAATAGCCTAGCTCTACCCCCTCAACAAAACTACACTGCATTGCCAAATAAATCAGAATTAACCTTCGGAACTTCAGGGTTTTGGGGGGTGGGGGCAGAGAGAGGGAGGGAGTAATTAATACCCTTTACTATTAAGATGCAGTATATGTATATTGTAGACATTTAGAAAATATGGCTAACCAAAAAATAAGAAGATTAAAATGTTGTGTTCCCAGCACCCACATATCATTATCAGTGGTGTTTTTTTTAATCTTTTTCTATATAATTATATATATATATAATGTACTCTTTTTCTAAAATGAGTAAGCAAAAAAATTGCTTTTTAAAGTTAATGGTCACTATTTCCCATGCCAGTAAATTTTCCTCTCATACACTGTATTCAAAATTACCCACTTGTCCCCAAAATATTCTTTACAGCTGGTTTGTGCAAACCAGGATTTGATGCAGGGCAAGGTTGTGATGCCCCTTAAATTTATTTTGAACCAGCACTGGCCCTTTTTTCATGATCTTGACTTGTTATAGGGACTGCCGTGCCAATTGTTCTGCAGACTGGAGGAGTTTATTACTATCTAAACATAGAACTGATTTGCTGAGAAAAAAAAAAAAAATCAAGCTGAATTCAACCAAGTAGTTCTTTTAAACATAATTAGTAACTTAGCAGAATTCAACCGGGGTTTTTTATTTAAGCTGTTCTCTGTATGTAAGGAAAACTTCTGAAGCTAGTTTAAAAAAAAAAGATTGAGGGGGGGCTAAACTGTAAAAAACTCACAGAGGCCAGAGTACAAGGTGGCCATGTGAAGACATACAGAGATTTTAACTACTGGAATAAGGCACAGCTATCTGAGCTGGGTGGGTAAATCAGAGGGTCACAGTCCAGCATTTCTTGTGTCACTGTAACTGCTTTGAAGTCTTAGACTGGTGACTTTGACACACACATACCCATACTATTGGGAAGGGTCCTTTGTTAATTCTACCGGGATTTTCCCCGAGGTTATCAATCTGAAATTAAGCCCTCCAAATCAGTCTGAAGCTGAGCTTTTCCATACTCTTTAGATCAAATTTTAATTGAACTGTGACCTCATCTCTATCCTCAATTATGAAGCTAAAGAGCATGTCAGCCAGGCTACTAGGACATCCCTTAGAATCTGTGAGATTATGTGTATTGAAACCAGAAAGCTAATCCAAATGAACTGGGAAAGGCAGTTACAGGAAGAAGAGACAGTTGATTCTTTCATCTATTTTCGAGCCCCAAAGTAAACTCTGGCAATTAAGTCATACCCTAGGCCATGCATTACAGCTGTAGAGTGTCATTTCCCAAAAAGAATACAGAAACTGGAGACAAGTTGGAGGGAAATGAGAAACCCATCACTCACCTTGATTGGTAACATTACCTACTAAATATTGTTACGTAACGGGTATCTATATATATATGATATATATATTTTAAAATAGGGTGTGTGTGTATGTGTATGTATGTATGTAAGATATATACCTTATTAGGGAGTTAAGTTTCCTTGGCAGAGGAAAACCATGTATTCAGTCCCAATCTAAGCTCTGTTTGGATTCTTGGAAGTGAACCTCAGGATACTTCCAAGCTAAAATTAAAAAACAATCCAAGTTCGTTTTCATGACTTATGCCCTCCAGGGCCACTCGAATTCCCAGTGTCTTCATGCTTTCTCTAACTCCCACCATCCAAATCTGCTTTTAACAGTTTTGATAATTCCTCTTCTATTAGGATGAGAGGAGATGAACCGAGTGTTTTGGTGCTTTTCTGATGCCCTATTGCAGTGAATAGTATTCAAATGTCAATCCCCTCTTCCCCCATGGGCTTCACAATTACAAGTAAGTGATAACAATTAATTACTTTGCTTTTGGAGTCTTAGGTATAGAAACACATTTCCATTCCACATGGACTTGGGAATGCTTCACTCCATGCCTGGGTATTTTGAACTTTCAGCAATCCTGCATACAAAAAAAGATAAGGGGCATTAACAGATTTGGATTAATCATGTTAAATGGGTTATTACTATCCAAAAGAAACTGAGGGGTTTTTTGTTGGTATTCTCACAGATTTACATTTCTGTAACATATCTTCAAGTAGTTTTCTAATCTAGCTATTTCCTTCCAAAGCCATTCATAGAAATAGAACTCTCTTACCTTCAGGCAAACCTTACATAAAGCCAGTCTTGAATTTTCTCTGGAGCTTGTAGGCAATGAAGAGTTTTGCTAAGTGTCTTTATCAGAACAGCTTTCTGTGTTCCAGAAGACATTTGGTGAAGACAGTTAATTTGTTTTCCTTTCCAGAGGAGAATGTTCCATTAATCATTCTAAGAAGCCAAGCTGATTGCTCTGTTACGTTAAGGTCACAGTATTCTTGTTAACATGACCCACACAATACTTCTGTGTCTTAGAACAGGGGTTTTTTTTTTTCTTATGGCAGACTTAACGGCATGGAAGCAGTAAGTGACAGACTCAAACACAGTACACATGTACAAGTACGCGTGTGCACACACACACACACACACAAACACACAGAGTAGCCAAAGCACATTTTGTGGAAGAAATATTATCACATTGCATTGCAGGAGACGAGCTGTGTTAAATCCTCAAATACTTCTCATTTATTAAACAAGTAACTATTTCTCTCCCTGCTGGGCTCCAGATAGGCTATCAAAAGATTTCACGATCAATACCTAGATACATAGTTACTGCTCTAATTATTTTAATGAGTGAATTTAAATCTTGCATAGGTTCTTTTTATTCAAAATGTGATCCACAGGCCCTCAGCATCAGCATCATCTGGAAGTTTGTAAGAGATATATAGTCTCAGCCCTAACCCCAGACCAAATGAATCAGAATCTGCATTTTAACAAGAGTCTCTTTGATTCAAGTGCACATAAAAGTTTGGCACATAGTGGGCAAGATCAATTACTTCAAACTTATTTGCCCCAACTCACAATGAGAAAGAAATTTTACATTGCAACCCAGTGTGCGTGTACACACACACGAAACAAAAGTTTATAAAACAATATTTATGTGATGCAGTCTGATAGTTCCTGATATTACCACTGAATTTCAAAAATTTCAGTGGTAACAGGTAAAATGATTCTACTACACACAAATAAGTTTACAATCCTCAGTTTCAAAAATACTTCTAAAGCAAAGTTTCTCGTCTTTGGCACCACTGACATTTTGAGTCAGATAATTCTTTGTTGTAGAGTGCTAGTCTGTGTATTAAAGGATGTTGAGCAGCATCCCTGGTTTCTACTCTAGACACCAGTAGCAGCCACTGTCCTTCTCAAAATGAAGAAAATGTCTCCAGATATGGCCAAATTTCCCCTGGGGGGCAAAATCATCCCCATTTGAGAACCACTGATCTGCACGAACTAGAAAAGAGGTTACCACTAAAAGTATACAGGTAGCCCTTCCTCTCTGGATGTAATACAGCCCCCTGCCACTGCCATCATCACACAAAAACGCGATGAGTATGATGTAGCAACAACAAAGTCGAGCTTAGGAATTGTTAAAATGATTACTCAAGAAGTCCATGTGTCCATCTGGGAGTTAGCTTGGGAGCCTTTGCCAGTCTCTGAAGGAGATTATGTTTGGAGGACTCCATGCAATGATGGGAAAAGCTTGTTAGACATCCAGGACCCTCTTCTCCCCTGACTGTATCCAGAGTAGTCCCACTTAGAGCCAAAAGAAGGAACTGGAACAGCACGTTAGATCAGCAATACAGCTTCCCACTTTGGCCTCCCTTGATTACTTCTCTTTCCTTTCCTTTTTATAGTTCCACCCGGACCTCAATTTAAAAAAAAAAAAAAAAAAAAAAAAAAAAAAAAAGTCTTGCTTCCACCAGGTGGCTGCAAGTTATTTTTGTGTGTCCAAAAACCTGAAAAGAAGGCTCAACTTAAATACTTCATTCATTCCAAATTCCCAGTTCAGAAGAGAACAGTTAACAGCCTCCTGTTCTTCTGTTAAACTCCTGCTGAGTTGACTAAAAATCCAGTTAATAGAGTCTAGTGATTTGCCTCCAGTGTGAATATTCCTGTATCAAAAGGCTTACAATGATAGTGTCACTTGCCATATTGGGCTGCCTTGACTGCCTTTGGCAGAATTTTCCATTCTGACCATCCCTGGACTAAAGCCAGTTATACCAACAAAGCTCCAGGTCTTGCCCAGGATGGGAGTATTATTAATTAACAGATCTGTATGCCAACCAAGGTATAAAGCCCCTCTCATTATTTGTGTAGAAAAAAAGATTTTTTTTTTAGAAAAGAACAAATAATATGTAAAGTAAGCAAAGTTAAATGCATGAGTTGCTTTCTAGTGAAATTTCTTTAAAATCATCTTTTAAGGAAGAGAAATATCACTCCCTTTTGTTCAGAAAATTCATTCTTTGCCCTAGGAAATCATCCTGTTAAAGAGAAAAGACTCAGTTATTAGGTGCTTCATTAGTTTGGGGAACTCTGAGTTAGTGCTTCTACCGGGGGGTGATTTTTGTCCCACAGAGGACTTTTAACCATGTCTGGAGACATTCCTGGTTGCTACAACTCGGGGGTTGGGGGCATGTTACTGGCATCTAGCAAGCAGAGGCCAGTGCTGAACCTCCTGTAGTGCACAGGACAGCCCCTACAGTAAAGGATGATCCAGCTCAAAATAGCAATAGTGTAGAGAGATTGAAAAACCATGCTCTAGATGATACTTCCACTGACACAAATCATTTGTCTTTAGTGAATGGATTATTTGAGTTTAAATCATGAGCATGATCTGTGGGACTCCAGTGACTGTCTCTAAAGGATATTCTACCTGGTAGATATCTCGGGAACTCGTCTCAGAAATCCTTTTGACAAGCTTCATCCAAAAACATGTTTTTAGGAGCTAAAAAATAAAAAGCAATTATTAACACCTAATTTTGCCAACTTGAACTTAACACTCACCCATCTATAGTTCCCATGGAGCATTAATGCTTCAACAAAAACTCAGATCTTGTCAGTTCAATGAGTCACTACAGCCTCCTTCTACTGAAAGGTGCCCTGTCAACTTTTCTTTTTTTTTTTTTTTTGATACGGAGTCTCGCTCTGTCACCCAGGCTGGAGTGTAGTGGCGCAATCTCTGCTCACCACAAGCTCTGCCTCCTGTGTTCACGCCATTCTCCTGCCTCAGCCTCCCTAGTAGCTGGGACTATAGGCGCCTGCCACCATGCCCAGCTAATTTTTTTTTTTTTTGTATTTTTAGTAGAGACAGGGTTTCATCGTGTTAGCCAGTATGGTCTCGATCTCCTGACCTCATGATCTGCCCCCCTCGGCCTCCCAAAGTGCTGGGATTACAGGAGTGAGCCACCATGCCTGACCGCCCTGTCAACTTTTCAAGGGACTTGTTTCTTTATATCGAGCAGATGTTAGGAGCATAGGCTTTGCAGTCAGACATTTCTAAGTTTAATTCCTGGGTCTGCCACTTACTAGCTGTGTGACATCGGGTAAGCTACTTTACCCTCTCCAAGACTCAATTTTCTTTTCTGTAAAAAAAGTGGATAAAAACAGTAGGTAGCTTTTTGAATTAGGAGGACTAAATGAGGCGATGCCTCTAAAGCACAAACCACAGTGCATGGCACATAGAAATGACTCCATGAATATCTCTTCTTATTGTTGTCGTCATCAGTAGTGGTAGTGGTGTAAAAAACCAACACACGGCCGGGCGCGGTGGCTCACGCCTGTAATCCCAGCACTTTGGGAGGCCAAGGCGGGTGGATCACGAGATCAGGAGATTGAGACCATCCTGGCCAACATGGTGAAACCTCATCTCTACTAAAAATACAAAAATTAGCTGAGCATGGCAGCGCATGCCTGTAATCCCAGCTACTCCAGAGGCTGAAGCAGGAGAATTGCTTGAACCTGGGAGGTGGAGGTTGCAGTAAGCCGAGATCGTGCCACTGTACTCCAGCCTGGCGACAAAGCTAGACTCTATCTAAAAAAATAAATAAATAAAAAACAACACACACCCCACACCCTTTCCTAATACTAAGGTAGGCTTTGCAGCGGAGAGAAAAGTAGCGATACATTCCACACCAACAGGGATCTTTACCAGTGATGAAATGATCAGAAAACATGATAGCAAGTAGCAGAGAGCTCAGTTGTGCCACAGTATCGCTAAAGGAAATCTTTCTTAGACTAAAGTAATATCCCAGTGAGATGGAAGCCTCAAAGAAGGTGCCCCAGGAGGCAGGACTGGGCTTAATCTACAGATGTCCAGGATTTGGGGAGGCGAAAGAGGCAGGAGTCTATGCTTAGGCACTAAGCAAGGAAACATTATTGCTTCCTTTGGGAGTGTCCCTGACTTACCAACACTGTATCTTCATTAGCCTTAACAGAGCTTCTCCTTGGAAATATTCTTTCAGAAATTACACTATTCACTTTTAAACAAAGGATGGCTTCAACCCAGTTATGATGACTCCAATCTAGGCATGTAGGTACCTGCTTTGTAGGCATTCGCTGCTCGAGAAACTTGAGGGCTAAATTCTTTTTATATGCGTGTAATTTTGTCTTTTAATGTTTGCTTCTTAACCAGGGGTATGCATCAGAACTACATATGTACTTTTTTATTTTAAAAATGTACTCATTCCAGTTGTACATTAAATATTCTGATTCAGTAGATCTAAGGTAGGGATTAGACATCTGTTTTTAAAATAAGTTCCGAGAGTTTAATCTGGTCAAGAACCACTAATTTAGAGCAGTGGTTCTCCATTGTGGGTGATTTTGTCCCCTACAGCACATTTGGAAATGTCTGGAGACATTTTTGATTGGTGGCGGGAGGGTGCTACTGGCATCTAATGGATAGGCGGTGAACATACTACCATGAACAAGACAGCCCCCCCATAACAAATAATTATCTGCAAAAATGTCAATAGTGCTGAGGTGGCTGAACCCTGACTCTAAGGATAAAAGATACTGAAATACATGTTTATTTCTGTTAATACCCTTCCTACTTTGTATCTTACAAGACTTCATAACTTTATTTATTCTGTAGCAACACTGTGGAGAGATGGGAAGAGATAGTATTATTTTCATTTTAAGACAGGAAACCTGAGGTCCAAAATGAACTTGCCCAGATCCTCAGGGCCCTTTCTTCTGAAACTATGGTATTTTCATCCCCACCTCTGAGAGCACTGTTATTGTCTACCTAATTCACCACTAGTGTCCGGCATATGTAAGCCTTCAATAACCATTTGTTAAATAGGTATTGATGACTTCCTAGCCCTGATAGTATCTTGTGTAGTTTGTCAGGTATATTTTCGGTTTCCAATTCTAACTCAAAAACATGAATTAAGTCCTTAAAGAATCTCACTGTGGATTTTTGCAATTGTCAGTTGATTTTTTGTAAGCCTTGAAAATATAGTATTCTGGTTCATGTAATGGGTAATGAATCGCTTTGGCCCATTTGATTTTTTGGTGAATTTGAAGATTCATTGGAAAACCTTTTCTGTTTCGACAACTTTTGAAACAATTTTGTAAATGTTTTAGTTCTGTTTTCCACCTTATTGAGCATCTGAAGCCAAGTCTAATGCTCTGGGTCAAGACACTTTAGAACTCTTGCTTCACACTACTTAACCCCAGGTGTCACTATCCAGTCTCAAAGATGTTAAAAGAGTGAATTATCAGGCCAGGCGCGGTGGCTCATGCCTGTAGTACCAGCACTTTGGGAGGCCGAGGCAGGCAAATCACGAGGTCAGGAGATCGAGACCATCCTGGCTAACACGGTAAAACCCCATCTCTACTAAAAATACAAAAAGTTAGCTGGGAGTGATGGCACACACCTGTAGCCCCACCTACTCGGGAGGCTGAGGCAGGAGAATCACTTGAACCCAGGAGGCGGAGGTTGCAGTGAGCTGAGATCGTGCCACTGCACTCCAACCTGGGTGACAGAGTGAGACTCCGTCTCAAAAAAAAAAAGTGAATTATCCAGAATTGCACTGCGAGTAAGTTCCCCAACTCTGGATACAGTGCTCTTTCTGCCATACTCTGTGCCTCTAGAAGATGGGGCTACAGTGTTTGTCAGCCCAAAGCACATTCTGAAAGCTGCTCTTTTGATACAAATCCCAAAGAGGGCTTTTAGGGAGAGAAAAAAAGGCAGCATTCTCCTAAGAGGAAAACACGAGGAAAGATTCCAATTAATTGAAGTTTCTAATAAATGGCTGTTTAATAATAACAATTATAACATTTATTTAGAGTTTTCTAAATGTATATTTTCCTGACTGTACATTAGAGATAGCAGCACCATCTTGTTAAATGTGTTATTTCTTTTAAATCCTCTTAGCAGCCCTAGGATATAGGAACCTTCGTGATCTCCATGTTACAGGTATTGAGGCCAATGAGAGCCAATATTCACTGGGCACTATGTACCAGGTACTGTTCTAGGCACTTAAGTGTAATAATGCATGTAATTTTCATGATCTCCTTGTGAGGTAGGTTTTTATAGATGAAGAAATTGGTTTACTGAGTGGCAAACTGACTTCGGCAAATTCAGAAGCCTGGAAAATAGTCCTAGATCCAACCTCTTTCTTTCTGACCACAAGAATAGCCATGTAACTATAATATCTTAGGCAAAAACTTTACACTATTCAAATATGTGCTTCCTACCCCTAAAAGCCCCCACTATACTGAGTGCTATGTGTCCCAAATTCATCCACTGGGGTTCTTACTGTAATCACTATTTCCCTCATGGATCACCGCAGGATATAAGACAGAAATTGTGATTCTATGACCCTCTAGCTAGAACGTGGCTTATTAGTCACAGCTTGTCCACTAACAATGATGGGTGTTGCATAGCTAATCAGAGAGACCCCTTAATGAAAATTCAACCCCATTAGGGCAGGTCTTTTCGTGAATGTGGGGACATTGTCACTGGACTCAAGCTCTATGAATACCAGCAGACCCTGGTCCTAAAATGATCCCAGAAAGCACTTCTGTAACCCACTTCAGGGTGATACCCCATCCTCAGCTGAAAGAGACTACAGCGCAGTAGGGAATCTTGCATACCATATATGCTTCAAAATCCACTTCTACCTAGGCCTAACTAAGGGGTAGGTCTCAGCTTTCAGTCTATCTCTCCCTCTGTGTTCTAAGATCTTTTATCCCATAAGAATAAAGTTTTGTGGTTTATTTGGGGGGTAAAATGTTGGTAACACAATAGCATTACATCCCAGACAGTTAATAAATGGTTTAGGGTAGCAGCTTAAGTTCCTTAAGCAAAGCTTGACACAGTGGTATTATTAAATAACAATGCTCAAGATTTTCCAATGAGGTACTGTTGACTCTTTTAACCTACCTACATAGCTAAGTTTTCAATGGCACTATGAGGTTTCACAGATTAGCAATACTTTATGGAAAGGGGAGGTGAGTAATCGACAGTTATAGAATAACATGGTTATACAATCTGTGCATAATACAAATGGAGTTGCAACTAAATCATTACGTGGTCATTATCCAATAATGCCTAAGATGTCAGCAATGTGAAAATTTGAGATCAGGTATCACCAAAGTCCTTTCTTGATTTATTTCTAACCAAAGCTTACACTAAACAATGTGACAAGGTGATGAAAGAGAAAAAAAGTAAGGAAGGAAAAGAAAAGAGGAAAGAAAGAAAAGAAAGAGAAAGGAAGGAAGAAAGGAGAAAAGAAAAAAAGGGAGTTGTTTTTTCTCTTGAAACTTTAAAGAGCTTTCCCGATAGATCGTCAGCTGTTAGCCAACTCTTGAAAGTGGCAAATCCCTTGGCCATTGGAAAGTGGCCTATATGCATTGTTTCTAAAGAGTTTGTTTATTCAAAATATGTCTGGTTTTGGCATTCAGGTTGGGGGCTCAGGGGCAGTGGCTGAGGTCAGCACTGCGTACCGTTTAATGAAGCTCACTCTTGCCTGTGGTTTCTGAACACCATCAAATAGTGGTAACTGAGGCAGAAGGGTAAGTGGATGTGGACGTGAGGGAATTCTTGTAAAGGCTCCCCACTTGGCTTACACAGAATTAGAGAAATGGAGGCCTGCTTGCATTTGTTGGTGCACATTAGAAATAAATTTGGGCATTCAACTTAAAGAACTCGCTAACGACAAGATGCACAAAGAAATGCTATTATGTATTTAGCACAGTCTTTGTAAGCTTAGCCAGGCAAGGAGGCTTATCAAAAGAAATATGTAAATAACACAACCTGCTTTACAAAGGAAAAAAGAATAAAATTAATCCAAGACATTCGTGGCGTAATACTATTTTCTGCCCTCGGCTTTTCTTTTTATAACTTGAGACATGCAGCCTAACAGTCCAGCACAAACAATAGCACACTCCAAAAAAACCCAGACCCGGGGCATCCCTCCATCCCTAGGAAAGAACTCCAAATGCGTCTCCAGCCTCACACACAATATTATTATGAAATCTGACATTGTCATAGCCAAATCCTTGGCTTGGGCAAAGTCCCCCCTTCCCCCTCCTTTGGGGGGAAAAGGGGGAAGCGTCAGGAGGGGTGGGGGAACGAAGCCAATCAAAGTTAAAATAAAGTCTCTTTCTAGCAAGACTACTGTCTATAACATGTTGTTCCTTATAGAAAGTGGGATATGGTGGCATTTGCTTGATTAACTTGCTCGACAAAAGTGACAGCTGCTGTGGGTGCATGCGGATAAGCTGCACGGCGCAGTTCCGCCTTTGTACATCTGTCAGCAAAAAGGGAAGAATAAAGAGTGAAAAGAGACAAATTGGTCCCAAAAGACACTCCATTCAACTTAGGAGGTTTGCCCCATTCAGGCGCTCGCTGTGCGCCTCAAGTACTGAGAGCTTATTCAATTTCATTCACTCTTTCGAATGAACCCACAAGTGTTTAATTTCTTATTCTGTCACCTCAAAAGGGTGGGGGGTGTGGGGAGGAAGGGGGAGGGAGCCTTGTGGACGAGAAGCATTGACGGCAAGGCAGAGTGATCCGGGCCTCACGTATTAACTCATGGCTAATTTATGATTTAACTCTCTGTGCTCAGGCCCTAGACCCATCTGAACACTTCAATGGGGGACCTGACGCAGACTTCTTACCTCCTGGCTGGTGGATCCCAAACCATCTGTAGCTGTCGAGGGCACCCAGCATGTTGAATGTGTATCTTGTATAAGGACAATGGTCTGAGGTTTGTGCCTTTTACAGAAATGAGATGGCTGGCTCCCCAGGGTAAGGTTTGGGTAAGTGATCTGGCAAGTGTGTGTGTGTGTGCCTGTGTGTGTGTGTGTGTGTGTGTGTGTGTGTGTGTGTGTGTTCGTTCTCCCTCCCATAAAGAGAAAAAAAATAGAGTCATATGCAGTGAGAAGTAGAAAGAGGAGAATACGGTTTCCTGAGAGTAAAAATAAAGCAAGAGGAAAGGGCGCCATTGGAGGCAGAACCCAGCTGTACATGGTGAAAACACATGTTAACTTTTAAAAAGCAGCACTTTGTCTTTATTTTCCTCATTCCTGGGCCCCAGGCATCAGAACCTGTTTTCTAGACTCCCTTAATTGGGCAGTTGCTATGGACACCCAAATATTCCCTCCTAGGAGATCAAGATGCCCTCTCCATCCACCTGTGCTGCCTGCCATGCTCTCCCCAATCTGCTGCCATCTTCCCTCCTCCAGCCTTCATGCCACTCTGCCTTCTCTTCTGAAACCCAACACCCCTCCCAGCTCCTGGACCACCATCTGAATATTGTCCCTGCACCCAGTCCTTGTATGTTGACTGCTTTTTGGAAACCACTCAATGCCATATCCAGCTCCTAAAAAGATCATGTTCTTCCCTTATGAGAAATCATTCCCCAAAGAGCTCATGTTCATTGAATTGAAATAGATCTAGTTTCAAAACTGTCTAGAGGACTTTGGAAAGTGTTCTTAACCCAGTTAGAGTTGTTGGGTCTTATTGTCTTCAAATTCTAGGATTCCAGACAGTACCTTTTAGATGGTATATTTGTGTCCTTTCACTATCTGCTTGGAAACCAGCTGTGTGGTTTAATGTAAAGCATTCCATTTACCTATTCACCTGAATTTTTTTCCATGTAATAGCCTGGAAATTATGTACATACATAGACCATGCTTTTGTATGTTGAGAGTAATGATGAAAACCACCTCAGCCCGGGAAAGCAACTCCCTAAAGTCAATTTGAATTTTCCTAAGTAAGAACTTCAACTTTGGCTCACAAAACTCTAATGATTCATGACTCTAGAAAGTTTAATGTGTGCAAATTATGAAATTAGCCCTAATATGATTAGCCAACCCTGTTTTAAGACGGCAGAGTTGGCACTCCACTTTATCTTTCCGTTCTGTACATGAGTTACTATCCTTATTTTAGAGTATGATTTCTATAATCATTTCTATATGGTATGCAAATTTCTTATTCAGTTGCTTACGTCAATCTGCTTGCGAATTAATGCAGTTCACTCTAAATGCAGTTCCCATACCTAAGAAGCGATCAGGGGAGTGGGCAGATGCTGTTCGTGAACAATCTGAATTCAGTTCATACGCTGAATCCTTCTCCTACATCTTAAGTTCTTGTATGCATATCAGAGAATAGTTTTCAGATAAATTATTCGCACTGCTCACAAGGATAATGGGTGGTAGGATGTGCCACCAAAACTGGAATTTTCTTTTTGACATAATCAAGCTTTAAAAGATTGAGACGACTTGAAAGTGCAAATTCAGATTGTAACTATACATTTTCTCAAAACAGTAAGTTCCTTTGAGAGGATGGAGGCTAAAGGCATGGGGGTCCATTTTCTCAGTGCACAGGGAGGCCTATGAATAAATCCCCCAACATATCCAGAGAAAAATAGGCCCTAGGAAAAAGGTATTGTTAACAGTGGTCAGTTTGTTAATGCCCAAACTGCACACCTGCCCTGGGAGACACAGGTGGCAGACAAGGCCTGGTTAGAAGCTGATTGGGGCTTAATCACATTGGGCTCATTATTTATGTATCTTGAAGAAAGAAATGGTCGGAACTGAGAAATTCAGGTACATAAGAGAGCCATTCCTTTTCTCTTACATATCACAGTTTCCCGGTTTGCTTGCAGAAAGTAAGGTGTCAGCTTCTGATGTTTGCTACAAAAATTTTCTATGTAAGTGTCACAAAATCGAGTTTTCCTGATTTTGCTGTGATATGTCCTGCTGTTGAGCCAGGGGTATTAGAGCAGCTGGTGTCTGGCCCATGTTCCATTTTTCATTCAGGGTTTGACCATTGGTTACATTTTTATTTAATTTCTTAGACATTCCGCAGTTTCAGAAGTTCTGTTGTGCACAGGCAAGCACAGATCTAATTTTGACATCTAAGTTAGATTCTTTCTTTCAAGGCAGGAGGGCCTTGGAGGCTAATCAAAAGAGATAGAGGGGGGAAGGTATATTTTGATATTTGGGCACCTTGAGTTCAAAGGTGGGAGGGTTTTGAAGGTTTTTGCCTTGCTCTTCATTTAAGTTGATATTAATAGGGCATTCATGTAGTTATAGAAAACATTATTTATCAGCCGGGCTTGGTGGCTCACACCTATAATGCCAGCACTTTGGGAGGCTGAGGCTGGTGGATCACTTGAGCTCAGAAGTTTGAGACCAGACTGGGCAATATGGCGAAATCCCATCTCTACAAAAAAATACCAAAAAAAAAAAAAAAAAAAAAAATAGGGCATGGTGTTGCATACCTGTAGTCCCAACTACTTGGGGTGCTGAGGCAGGAGGATCACTTAAGCCTGGGAGGTTGAGGCTGCTTTAAGCTGAGATTGCCACTGCACTCCAGCCTGGGTGACAAAGTAAGACCCTGTCTCAAAAAAAAAAAAAAAAAAAAGAGAGAAAAAAGAAAAGAAAAAGAAAACATGTAACCCATGGGCTTCCCAATCTCTGAAGGCTCAGAAACAGGAAAAATACAATAAAAATTAAAAGCCAATTTATTACATATGAAATTACATTTCCTTTTCTTCCTTTTTCATAGAGAACAAATTCATATAAATATTATATACTATAGAAATGTAAAATAGGATTTAACAAGTCATTACTTCTTAAGGTTGTTAGGAGAAGTAAATGAGTTTAAGTCATATACACTGCTTAGAATAGTGCCCGATATATAATAAGTGCTCACTAAATATTTTCTTTTCTTTTCTTTTCTTTTTTTAAGATACTAGGATCTCACTTGTTGCCCAGGCTGGCCTTAAATTCCTGGGTTCTAGTGATCCTCCCGCCTCAAACTCCCAAGTAGCTGAGACTATAGGCACATGTCATTGTTCTCTGCCTACTTTTATTATTATTATTGCTAGGTTTTTTTTTGTTTGTTTGTTTGTTTTAGAGACAGTTTCACTTCGTCACCCAGGCTGGAGTGCAGTGGTGCAATCATAGCTCACCTCAGCCTTGGAACTCCTGACCTATAGTGATCCTCCTGCCTCAGCCTCCCAAAGTGCTGGGATTACAGCTGTGAGTCATTGCAATATTATTAATGTCACTATAGAACTTTTTTCCAAATCAGATTCAATGAGACATAAACATCCTGAGAGAATTTAATGGGTGGCTCATGAAGAATAGTTCTTCTGTTCTGGCCAGGTGCAGTGGCTCACGCCTTTAATCCCAACACTTTGGGAGGCCGAGGCAGGTGGATCACTTGAGACCAGGAGTTCAAGACCAGCCTGGCCAACATAGCAAAACCCCATCTCTACTAAAAATACAAAAATTAGCCAGGTGGGGTGGCACACACCTGTAATCCCAGCAACTCAGGAGGCTGAAGCCTGAGAATCGCTTGAACCTGGGAGGCAGAGGCTGCAGTGAGCCGAGATTGCACCACTGCACTCCACCCTGGGCGTCAGAGCAAGACAGTCTCAAAAAAAAAAAAAAAAAAAAAAAAAAAAGAGTAAAAGAAAAATAGTTATTGTGTTAAGTACATTTGGAAAAACACAAAGTTAAACGGACTTCTCTACTACAGAACTTCTCAGAGCGTTTAATATGCTAATGTGGCACAACAAATCAGAATCACCAATAGTGTTCAGACAGAGTACAGCATAGAGTATGCACACATGTATTCACATATACATTCACAGGCCAGTGAAAAATGCGAAGCTAGAAAAATGTATGCTTAGCTGGGCACGGTGGTGCACGCCTGTAGTCCCAGCTACTTGGGAGGCTGAGGTGGGAGGATCACCTGAGCCCAGGGAGGTTGAGGCTGCAGTGAGCCGTGATCGCGCCACTCCACTCCAGCCTGGGTAACAGCAGCCTGGGTGATGACAGAGTAAGACCCTGTCTCAGAAAAAAAAAAAAAGTATATTAATGTCACCTTTAATTCCTTTTTAAAACTTAGAGTTAAATCCCTCTGAGTAGTCATTTTGTCCTGTCTGTGTTTAGCCCACTGAAATGATAAAATAGCAATGGTCCCCCAGGAAGAACCTCCAGTTTTCCTCCTACCAATCTTTGAGAGACCATAGCTGGAGACCTGAGTGGGAAACATAACTTTTCCTGCAGCTGGGAGGCTGCTGGTCTCTGATGTACACATGTTCTTTTCTTTTTATTGGGCATTGTTCGGTGTCTTCATGTTTTTGAAGGCGTTTCACAGCCTCAAATCCATAAACTTCAGAACCACCTCAGATTCAAAAGGTGAAAAGGCCCTTACTCAAAATTTCAAAACAAGTTCTTATTCTAGACAAAGAGAGGAGTCGACTCTATTTGGAGCTTTCCAGTCCAAGTATATGTCACCGTTTAAATAAATAAAAAGACACAAACTGTCTGGATTGGTTTAGCTGGGCTGGGAGCCCTGTGATAAGAGGTCACTGGTGTGAGTTACTATGGTAATTGAGTAGTATCAGCAATAGTTTTGCTCTCATGAGCATTAAAGCACATAATAATAGGCAAACAACAGTGGTTAAAGCAAGCAGGTAGGATTACTATGTTCTTTTGTCAGAAGTATATAATGTCTTGTAGTCAGTTTTAAAGACTTCTCAACCCCCAAATCCACCCCACCGTCACCTGCTGAGTAATTTTGTGTGCTTAATCTCCTGCCCTCAACTCCAAGCTCTCTGCTAATTTGAGGCAAATGGGTATTTCTGACATTAAATAGGGCAGCAAGGAAGCTCTGACCTAGAAAACCCGCATTCTGAAGCACTGAGAAAAATATTCTTTCAAACAATTTTGTTAAGACTCTTTTGAATGACGAGGGAAAAAGAAAAATAGCTTTCACTGAAACAGGAGGTTGCAGCCTCCCAAGGAAGGGTATTTTGCAGAACAAGAAAAAAGGAAAGAAAAAAGAAAGAAAGAGAAACTTGCAGAGCATCCCCACTCCCAACTTCCCCCATAAAACTTGTCACTTCGCATTGCCATCCGCTACCCCAACAATAATCACTCCGTGCCTATTGCTAATTGCAAGCACAGCTGAGGCCCAGCGGGGAACCCTTGCACAGTCTCAGGCCTTTATACGAGGCTCAATCTGTTGTATGGCACTTGTTCACACACAAAAAAACTACCAGCAAAGGCAGAAAGAGGCAGAGTCACAGGTTTCTTGTAATCCCTCTGCCTCCCCGCTGACAGCCCAGCCCTAGAAGCATTCCTGGTTTTGTCCTCCTCTTTACAAAATCTGAAGTGACCTTAAGCTACGAGCATGTCAGCTTTTGAATGTCGAGTTGCCGGCTTCTTCAGGTGCATTAAGGAGTTGGGGGGGTGGGGGCTACATCTGGCTTCTGCGTGTCTGTTTGCAGCACCCCTGGGGCGAGCTGTGGCTTCCTGTAACATGTAAAATATGAGTGTGAACTCAGGGTTCATGGCAAGGAACAGGAGGTCATGCCTCCATTCAGTTCTAAGTAAAGAAACTGGGAGTTTGCAGATGTTTTTCTGTATGTGTAATGACACCAACCCCCTCCCCAGCCACCGAGCAACCGAGCGCCGTTTTTTGATAAAATGTGCCACAATCAGTGTGCTACTTGCAGATTTATTCATATCAATTTTTGCAATTTATATATTCAGAGACAAGATTGCTATTTCGGCAACTTTATGTTGGATGTCGTACGTGTGCGTGTAGAGAAAGAGGGAAAGAAGTATGGGGCGGGGAGGGTGGGCAGAGAAAGAAAAGAAATTAAGCCTGTGCCTCGGGCCACCAGCTGGGGTGTTGTCAAGGAGACAAAGCATCAGACGGGAGGGTCTGTGTCCCGCTTTTGCCCAGCGGTCACTTCCTGCCCAGACTTGGAGCTGGGATATCTATTGCTTCTGGCCCAGAGGAAGGCCCATGAATGGCTACTTTGAGGGGAGAGTGGGTTTGGGGGGGTTGGGAACAATCCCCCAGTAGACAAGGCCCAGGCCACTTGAAGAAAGGCCTTCCCGTCCTCCCTGGAGGTCAAGAACAGGTAGGCCCGAGAAGAGTTTTGATGTGGCCTCTATTTGGGCCTAGTGGGGGGCTCCCAGCCCTTCCTTCCCACCTTGCCACCCTCTGAGATGAGAAGGGAATTAAGCCTCCTGCAAAATTCCCACTTGCAGAAATTTCTATTCCCAGACCCCAAAGCCTCACACTGTATTTTCACCAACAGAAGACATTGGTTGGGCGAACAGGGAGATTAATCCTCCCAAGCCTGGAGAATAAATGCTCCTCAGTGGGGCAGTGTTAATTGCTGAGCTTGGTGCAAAGATCATTTTGAGGCATTTAAGAAATACATGATTTTTATTAGTATAACTGTTCCACGTAGGAGTTATTTTTCAGCAAAGGGCAAAAGCTTTGCCTGCCTTGCATTATTAGCCTAATTCTACTTAATTGTTTCCTAAAATAAGGGCTTCCTGAACACACATTCCAAACCTTAATAAGTCTGTTGTGGTGGGAGTGATTCTGGATGGAGAGCTGTTGCCCTTTTGGGCAACTGGGGTCTCAGGGCTGAGTATTGCTTGAGCAGATCTGGCTTGAAAAATTGGAGCGGGGGCTGGTGGATAAGGGACAGGGGAGTCTCTGTGAAAACATATGAGGTGATGTGGTTCACGGTGTAAAAAAATGCATCCTTTTCTTGTTGTTTGGATCCAGTCCTCTATGAGGATTCTCAGTTCTCATCTCTGGGCTTCATTTAATTCTATTTCACAGATTTAGAAATGTTGGCCCCGTGGCATGTTTTAAATAAACCAAATAAATGACTGAGCAAATGCTACCAGATTTGTTCTTTGTTCTTCATAATCTCAAAATTCTGTGGAGCCTTGAGAGCTTGAGAAATTGCCTCAGTCCTGGGATTAAATGAAATGACTACACTCATCTTACAAAGATTTTTTTTTTTTTTTTTAAAGTATGTTTGGGTGTGCCAGATTAGAATATGTACATTGCTACATATCTGTTCTTTCTTAGGCAAAGTTTCGTTTTAAGTATGGGAAGTGATTTTTATTTCCCATCTTTCTTTTAATTGTCATAAAATCACATAACAAAAAATGTACTGTCTTAACCATCTCTAAGTGTACAGTTCAATAGTATTATATAGATTCACAGTGTTATGCAACCGATCTGTAGACGTCGTTTCATCTTGCAAAACTGAAACTCTCACCCATTAAACAACTCCCATTTACCCCTCCCCTTAGCCCCTGGTAACACTGTTCTACTTTCTGACTGTTCTAGATACCTCATATAAGTGGAATCATACAGTTTTTATCTTTTCGTGACTGACTTATTTCATTTAGCATAATATCTTCAAGGGTTATCTATATTGTAGCATGTGACAGGATTTCCTTCCTTTTTAAGGCTGAATAATATTCCATTGTATGTATATACCCCATTTTGTTTACCCACTCATCCTCTGATGGACACTTGGGTTGCTTCTACCTTCCAGCTATTGTGAATAAAGCTGCTATGAACATCAATGTGGGCGTATCTCTTCTAGATCCTACTTTCAATGTTTTTGCATCTATACTCAAAAGTTCCACTTTTGAGTAAGTATAATGGTACTTACTCAGGTTGTGGAAACCGGAAAAGTGGTATTTGCTTTTGGGTTGGAGGTAGTATTCCTAACTGAAAATTCACATCAGTGCCTCTGCTTTCCCATCTTGTGCCTTCGTGTCTTTAAGTTGGTATCAATGAGTTGAACTTTGGCTTAGTTTTCTCCTTTGAAGATGGTACACCATTTCCAGCAATATCTTATGATTATTAGGAAAGATAGCCTTTCTGAGACCATCACACCTCCTCACTGATGACCACCCGCCATATTGAAAAGTGGGATTGGGTAGGATAAAGGGGGATTTTGTGACTTGTTGGGTTTTAGACAATCAGATTGATTCAGAAGCAACATACTTACTTGTATTCTGGCTTTGGCTAGCTAAAAATTCCCCACTAGATGTGTCTTCCAGAGAGAGACCCCTAGATAGTTCATATAAGCTAAGCTTTGGATTAAACTCCCCTGCTTGATTTGCTTTTAGAAAGGATCCTTCTGGACTCTTGCCTCCCCTTGAAATTTCCCCCATGCAACAGGACTGACTTGGGTTAGAAGGCTGAAATGCATTAAGTCGGGAGTCTACTTGTGGATTCATCCCTTTAATCATTCGTTAGAAATTTTGATGCTAAAGAATTACTTATTACACATTTTACAGAGTTGGAATTTGGTCATTAATAGATAACTGCTTATCTTAATAAAAAATCAAGATATTTGGGACCTTCCTAAGGGAGTTGAAATAATGCTCCCAAATGTTAAATCCCTTATACCTTCCCACAGAAGCAGCAAATATTTTAAGCAGTAATAATTTAAATATATCTTTTAAATTATTATGTCTTTTGCATTATCTCTTCCTAATGAGAAAAGGCTAAAGGCAAAAGAGGAGCTGAATTCTCTCAGCAGCAGGTTATAGAAAGCCATAGTCTCTGAAACTGGTTGTAGCACGTTGTCTCAGACTCCTCCGTCAGTGAGTCCTCAGGGAGCTGCCGTCCAAACTTTAGGACCCGGCCATCCTGAAAAGCCACAGCACTGATAGCTTTGTAAAGACTTCAGTGGCATGGGTTTTCAGGTATCCAAAGAATTACGGACGTTAAAAAAAAAAAAAAAAAATCCTACCCTCAACTAAAAATGACACTTAGGGCAGCTGAGAAGGTCATTCTGATTATCTGTACCCTCTGATTTTGGTGTCTGTTTAGAGCTTCGGTGTCTGATTATAGCTTTGGTGTCTGATTATAGCTTTGTGCTGTTAGCTGCGCGTCCTGAAGCTGTGACTGGGAAATACCCATTTCTAAGAGCAGTTGTTTTGAAGGGTGAATCCTGAATTATAGCAACACTCAAGTAAGGCAGAAGATTGTATCTTTCAACGGCATACTGGTTCTTGAACGCATTTGGAGGATATGCCCTTTTAGAAAGTATTTGTTCAGCCCTTGGGAAGCTTTGACAAATCTGGAAACTTGCTATGAACTGCGTGCCGTCCTTTAGTGCTTTGCCCACTTGGCATAGACGGCTTGAACGTGCCAGGGTTTCTTTGTCAGACCCTCTGTGAATCTTTGATTAGAACACCAAATACAACCAGATCCCCGGTAATCGTTAGACCTGAGAGACCCAGGGGGCTGTGGAATTTTGGCTTAGGCTAATGAAGCTACAGGGACTTTGGTGGAAGTGTAAAGAAACCCTGAATGATGCTTTTCCCATGTTCTTAAATTACCCAAATTGTAAGGAAGAAATACGCATTGAAAGCTTCAAACATAAAATATTTCATTACAGTATTTCAATATAGCAATTGAAATAGGTTGTAGGGGTTTTTTCCCTTAAATAATAGTTCACTTTTGTCACCAAAAACAAAATGAAGAACTTAGTCACATGGGCGTGGTCAAAGTATTATCTTCCTCTTTGACTCCTTGCCAACAAACAAAATGTTATTTCATTAGCCCCTCTAGGCAAGATGCTGTGCCAGTTTCTCTGAGGTGTGGCTGTGTTGGGTTAGAGAAAGGGAACTTTCCAGAGAAAATATAAAAATCCTCCAGCATTCAGTTCAAAAACACCGATTGGTTACCAAACAGTTACCAAATTGCCTGCTTGCTCAGGCATTTTTAGAAAAACAGAAGCTGCTCAAAAAGGTGGGGTTTGTTTGTTTGTTTGTTTGTTTTTTCAGAGACAGGGGTTTGCTCTGTTCCCCAGGCTGGAGTACAGTGGCACAATCATAGCACTGGAACCCCAAACCCCTGGGCTCAAGCAACCCTCCCACCTCAGCCTCCTGAGTAGCTAGGACTACAGGCACACACCACCATACTTGGCTAATTTTTAAATTTTTTGTAGAGACGGTGTCTCACTGTGTTGCTCAGGCTGGTCTCAAACTCCTGGCTTCAGGTGATCCTCCCACTTTAGCCTCCCAAAGTGCTGGGATTACAGGCACTGTGAGCCACTGTGCTTGGCCTGCTGCTCAGAAAGTTTTGTACAACCCTGAGTAGTTCACACTCAAGGAGTTGTGATTTCTTATTTGGGAAGCAGGTTAGGACAACATGGCTCAGATAATAATACCCAGTACTTAGGATGTGCCTGGCACTGTTATAAGCACTCAGCACCTAAATAACTCATTTAATCCTAAGTAGGTTTTATTATTATCTCCACTTACCAGATGAAAAAACTGAGGCACAGCGGTGTTAGGAATTTGTCAGGATCCAAACACAAGTGGTCTGAGTCACGTGCATTTTCTTAGCCACAGGTTGCACTGCCTCTCAGAATTTTAAGTCGATGTTCCATCTCTTGCTAGCTGCTAGACCACTTTACTTCTGAGTCTCAGTTTCCTCATCTGTGAAGTGAAACTATGGATGATGATAAAGATTCAGCCACAGCACTGTTTAGAATTTAGACATGAACTGCCCAGGCATTTAATGCTTTGCTTTCCTAATATAGATGGCTTGAACATGCCAGTTTCAAAGGAATACATGTTTAGAAAAGAACTAACAATAGAACTCAGTTCCTAGTGGATTTCAACTATCACTCAGGATGGAGATATATTGGACTGAGTCACAAGTTTTCAATCAAAGAAGGTGTGTGAAGGTGTGTGTTTCTGCATGGTATGGTTATTTGTTCTTAGGCCATTATTTTTTTAAAGAGCTCATTTTTATGATATTGGGTGAAATATTTCCCTCACTTACAGGCATGGGGTAACATATCTTGTTGGGAGTATGTGTGTGTGTATATATGTATGTGTGTGTGTTGCTAAAAGTGATTTACTACAGTATGTGTGTTATACTTCAATAAAATTTTCCTGTGAAGAAAAAAGCAACACAGGAAGAACCGAGTTTGGATTAGACTATTTTCACTGGATTTGTGACTTTGCCTAAAATTCTTCTCTTCTAGTGCTTCCTGATGACATCTTTAATTTCACATGAGACAGTTTTTTCCCCTGACATGAAAAGGCTCTACCATTTTGCTCTCCTTATTCACTAAAAATTGTAAAGCCTATGATATGTAATTTTTCAGAAATTTTGATCAACGTTATAGCTTTTGTATCTCTAAAACTCTGTTAGGAATATTCAATCATTGTGATGAAGGAAACTTTTCTAGTTTCTTCCACTAGCAATTGATGAGTTACCAACCTAAAATAGAAGAGGAGGTAGGATGATAGGGGACAAGAAAAATTATGTCAATGCTAGTCAAGAAATGGTAGCCTTCGGACTCATTCACCTTTTTCTTATCATTTCCCTTAAGAGTCAGCAATGATTGTCTCTCATCCATCAGTTCTTAAGGCTGTTGAGTGGTTTTCCATGGGGATGCCCCCGAGTCCCCACACTCTGCTTAGCAACTTTCTATCTTCATAAAATGTAGAATCTTTCCGACACCAAGCCAAGCTCAGGCTCTAAGAGAAACAGTTTCAACAGCGTTGTCCTACCCACACACTTCTTTGAGAACTTCAAAGCTGAATGAATTTGCTTTAGGGACACCTAGGACTAGAGCTGTTTCTGTGTAACCAATCCATTACTTCTATAAAGTACCAAGTTGAATGCAAACAACTTTTATACAGATTTAGTGGTAAATAACCAACTTGAAACTTGTCCCACCACTTACTAGTTGTGTGACCATAGGCTGCTTATGTAACCTATCTATGCCCTTTTCTCTCATCTACAAAGCAAGACTGTTAATAGTATCAACATCTTGAGTTCAAGTCAATGATTAAACTATATAATGCTTGTAGTATATTTCGTGTAGTGCCTGAACATTATAAGGGCTCCATGTTCAATGAGTAGGCAACTATTCTTATGAATTGTACATGCACGTGAGTGCATATGGGTGTATATTAGGAATCCTGTACAAAATAGTACTTTGCTGAAAACAGTAGACTCTAAAGTCCTACGGAGTTGTCTGGTCTGACAGGGGTTTGTGTAAGTTAAAGGGATAAATTACTCTTGTGACAATTGAGTATGAAAATACAGTCAGTGGTTCTATCTCCTCTCAGCCACTACTCCTTGTTTCCACTGCCACTCATCTGTGATATATGGCTTGTTCTGAAAACAAATGTACCATTAACAGTAATGTCTTTGTAGGATATCAAATTAACATCAAGATGTTGGGGGTCAGGAATTAAGACTCATGTAAATGAGAGTGGCTATCATGACAGAAGACATAACCGCAGTAGCAATCATTGTAGCAACACTCTATATAGCTGATTAGATAGTATCCAGAGTTAAATGAAAGCCCATTTTCTGTGAATCCTATAATGTCCAGTAAGGTGTTAATTACCCATCTTCTGTCTCAAGCCTAATCCCTTCCAGGGGGTAAAGTTTCCAGGGGAACAGTGAACCCAAGAGCAGGGCTAGGAAGAGGTAAGTGAGCAACTTTTCTATCACAAAATTTAAGGGAGAACCAAAAAATATAGTAACCAAGATAAATAACATTTTAATACAACATTTTTATAAAATCAAAATTAGTGCAAAAAATCCATGATGACTGAAATATCAAAATTTTCATTAAAGACAAGATCTGATCCTGCACTTGTACAACCCTGCCCTACTCCCTCACCCTAATCCTGGCCTTGGTGAACCCGAATGTTAGAGAATAAATATTTTATGTTTAAGGATTTCTCTACATGAAGTCAGTATGTTTGCAGGGCAGAATGGGTGACCCAAGTGTATCTGCATATTAATGATCTAAGCTTCTTACTAGAAAGGGAGGATCAAAAAAATGTCTTTCTGTCACATATTGAAAGTATGTCCATGGGCCAGGGGCAGTGGCTCACACCTGTAATCCCAGCACTTTGGGAAGCCAAGATGGGCAGATCACCTGAGGTCAGGGGTTCAAGACCAGCCTGGCCAACATGGCAAAACCCCATCTCTAGTAAAAGTACAAAAAATTAGCCGGACATGGTGGCTTGTACCTGTAGTCCCAGCTACTCAGGAGGCTGAGGCAGGAGAATCACTTGAACCTGGGAGACAGAGGTTGCAGTGAGCCAAGATCATGCCACTGCACTCCAGCCTGAACACAGAGCAAGACTCTGTCTCAAAAAAAGAAAAACAAACAAAAAGAAAGTATATCCATGATGTTTCTGAGAGGAATAACAACAGTGGGTAAATTTTATTGAGTCCTTACTATGTGACACTCACTCTGCTAGGCCCTCCACATACATGATTTCTTTTAATGCTCACAGTAATCCCATGAAGAGAGTACTGGTATTAACCCCAAAAGGAGACTGAGGATCAGAGAATTAAGTAATTTCCTTGAGGTTACCCAGCTAATAAGTAGCCAGTGTAAGGTGAAGCTGTAACTCACCCCACAGGGTTTGAGAAATCACTCATTCTGTGTCTGAATCTTTTTAATTCAAGACGTAAATCTAGGTCAATATAGTTTAAAATGTGCTTTATGAACCCAAAGTTTGGGTGATGATCTACCAGAAAAAACTTTACAACACAATTGCATGGTTAAGGGGCTACTTGTGTGTCCTATAAGGCATGCATACAATTCCAGAAATATTCCAATGGGAATAATTTTCTTCACCACCACATGACTTTCCCTGGTAACGTGTTCCACTTTCTCCCTTGTTTTTGGGAATCTTTTAGGTTGAGAGAGGGAGAGAAAAAAGAGAAGAAAGATGATGATGATGATGATGATGATGATGATGTTGATTGCAGTGGTGGAGGTGGTGGTAGCTAACATTTATTGAGGCCTTATCATGTGCCAAATGCTGTTGTGAGTGCTTTATGAGCATGATTTCATTTACCCATCAGAAAAAGCCTATAAAAGGCTAGTTAGTCCCCATTTTCATCAGGAAACCGAGTCTCTGAGAACATAAGTAACTTGCCCAAGATCACAAACCCAGGTGGATGTTAGAGCCTGTGCTCTTAACCACTACACTGTAGAAAGAAGAATTAAGTGGCAAATTTTTAGATAAGCCTTCCAGCTTCTTTTAAATAGAGCCTTCAGATCCAGTTCAGCTGCTGAAGAAGTTCCCACCTTTCCAAGGGCCCTGTTGTCTATGATGGGCATCCTTTTGGGTGACAAGTTCAAAACCTTCACAGAATTTTCCCCAGAGGGCATATTTTAAAGGTGCCCAGGCTGTTGGGGGCTTTATTTCTTTAGTGCTGTGTTTTAGGATTAAAGTAGCTTTATTTAGCAAGTTTCAAATTAATATATTTGAATTAAAGGGAGGCAGTAAAGGAGTAGAAATTATACTTAAATACTTAGTACATGTCGTCAGCCCACAATTCTTATTTCTACAGACTTAGAGTATATTTTACCGAAAAGTTAGTGCCCAGGTGTTAGGGTAGCTCTGGAAAAGGCATATCTGAACCAAGGACTAAACAAAATAGGGAGCACTTAAAATATTTTATTAATTTCCTCCTTTGAAGATCATAACAAATCTGCTGCATTCCCATCCATCTCAAATAAAGCAAACCCGATTAATAAGCACTGTGAGCCCCGTGAGGAAGAGCAGAACAACCCAGACACCAAGGATTGTGCTGATAAATGTTTAATGACTGGCTTTCTGGGAGGGAGAAAGCCCTGGTTTGTGGCATTTGCCAATTCCCATGATGAAAAAATCCCCCACGAAGGCCTATTTCTAGCTATCAATGTGATATCCCTGAACGCGGATTCGGGAAGAGATGTGCAAGATCGGCTGTCATGACCGGCAAACACACTGCTCCATCCCTTAGGGAGGAGGAACGGAAGACAGTCCGCTCTTTCAATGCTGTGGCTATCTTGGAGAGCTGCTGCTTCCGGAGGCACTCACTGTGTGACATTGGCAAGTCACTTCACCTCTCTGGGCCTTTGTTTCCTCCTCTACAACAGATAACGTGGAAGATCCCCTGTACCTCTAACATTTTAAAGTTCTAGAAGGCATTGCCTCCTGTTTTTTCCGACATCCAAATGCCTTGAAGCGCCTTTCTGGAAAACCAAGTTAGCACTGTGCTGCATCCAAAAGTGCCTCCAATTTCATCTCCTGAGCATAAGGTTTGGAAAGGAGTGACTTACTCCCTTTTGCCTCTTTAAATGTGTAGCCAATGGGGCATCATACATTTTTTACACTTCTTTTGCTAGATGTGAGATCCAGGAAGGAAAGCATGGATGTTCCAGGGCTTTCTTGTTCTCCTGGGGTGGGAGGCTGCGTGTGATGCACTGATTCATTGCTGTATGCAATTTCTACCTCCCTATCCTTTCGGCAGCCGAGCAAGATTGTTGATAGTCTCCTACCTTTTTATTTTTATTTTTATTTTTTACTACTAGAAGCCATTTACAAGAGTGGGAACTGCTTACATAAAATGGAGGGGCGGCAGGGGGTTGCGTTATTTTATTTTTTTTTTTTTTTTCCTGAAAGGTGGCACGTCTCTCAGCAAAGAGAAAAAGGCATGTTGCACAAGGCTTGCTGGCAGTGATATAAGCCAGCGCCGGTTTGCCTGTTGTCACAGCCAAAGCAAAATGCCACCTCTGCCTAGAAGCCAGAGTGCCACACTCCTCTTTTGTGTCCCTGAGATGTACCCCTCATGAGGCCCTGGAATTGTAGGTTTGGCCAGGAGTTTGCCAGGATTGCTCGAAGGTCATCTTCCAATCCCAGGAGGCTGGGGGTAAGGGGAGGTTCATCATAGTTCTCAAAATAGATCTGTTGAGCCCCCCCCCCCCCCAGATTACATGTCAGCTACAACCAGTAAATGTGGAATTTGAGGCCTGGGGTTAGCACAAGAGAGCCCTCCAGTTGCCAGGAGTAAGGTAGGGCTGCCAGAATACCAGTGACCCAGTGATCACCCTGTCCCTGGGCCCCTTCTTAACAAGCCCAGATGCAGTGACAGCAAAAGCTCCAGAATCCCAAGGCAGGAGGTGCCAAAAACACCCCCCAACAACCATTAACAAAAAAAATTTTCAGTAAAATGTTCTCACCCCTAGAGGGGAAAACCTGTCCATGCCTGAAGCAGCTTGACCCCAGCAAACACCCTGCCTCCATGGAGTGAACTGCAAATCTCCAAAAAAAAAAAAAAAAAAAAAAAATCTACTTCCTACCCCTCCTGCTCCCTGGGGAGGGACAGAAGGTTCCTAAAACTGACAGTTTCGCCTCCATGATCTTTAAAAGAGCAGAAGCTGGCTGTGAGGCTGCAGTGCTGCCTCGATTGGGGTAGTGTGGTCTCTGTTGCGGCTGGGCTCCAAGGAGAGCCACAATTGGCTCTGATGAGGAAGGAGCCTAGAAATGAAAGATTGCAAAGAGGGCTTCTGTACGCCATGGCTGAGACTGTGTCGTTTCTTGCAAGGTGAAACTTGGCAGTTCTACCTTGCAAGTAAAAACCTAAATTAATTTTTTTAAAAGAAATTAAGTCAGAAACAAGGCTTCGGAAAAACTGTGAGTGTTAGGCATAAACTGATTTTGGATGATCTTTAGGTGAGAAAGGGTGGAGTTACCATCAGAAACATGTTTTTATTTATGCTTTTCGAATCCCCACTGGTGTGCGATGTGTGTGTGCGCGCGCGTGCATGTGCGTGTGTATTGGTTAGCGTGAGAGTATGCATCATCTCAATTCTCTAACCATTTCTTTCTTTTTTGCATCTTTTCTGTGCACAGTTCATATAGATCCCCTATAAATAAATATATAGGTCCATCCACACCTTTTCATTTTATTTGTAAATTGTTTGGTATAAGCGGCAGAGCGTAATGAAACCTGGTGAAGTTTAAAAGATTAGATTTTTTTTTATACTGACACTTCATAACACTGTTCATATGTCTCCGAGTGAGATTTATGAATATATGAGCAGTACTGCAAAATTATACTGCACCAGAGACTTCCTGCACCACAGGGGTGGCAGTCTAAAGTGACACAGCTTCAAGCATTTTTCACAGACAAGAAGCAAAATTTAACCCCCTTAAGGGGAAGTATGATTTCAACAGCTTGAAATGAGCTCATTTGTAGATGGTTTTTTTTTCTCTCATCTTCCATAATTTTTTGGTGTTAAGATTAAAACAGATTGCACAGCCAATATAAGGGCACATAAGCTGCCCAGAGTACAGTTTGGCCCTTAAAGAGAAATTTTCATTCATTGTCTTTATCAGCACTCCTCAATCAGGTAAATGAAGATAAACTTGCCCCTAAATTCCTAAGGCTCTCAGCCCAATTTCCAGTATTGTACTTAGCAGACAGGGTGTGGAATTTTCAAACGGTAAGTGGCAAGGAACATCAATTAATCCAGTGGAGAAGCCCTCATCTCTCTGGCACCAAAGACAGTGACATTAGGAAATAATTAATGTATTGAATATAAATGGTGTAAAATTAACCAATAAAAAAGAGAATCAGAAGAGCAAAAGATGGTCTGTATGAATTGAAACATAGGAAATGTCTGTCGTGGAAGAGTTCAATTAGATTCGAAGTCCTAACTGTCTTAGATTGTCTGTCTTGGATTGGTCCAGTACCCAGTACCTTGCAATTTTGTATAAACTAACTAACGTTCATTAAACTCTATGCTCTCAAATTCTCTTTAACCATTTTGTTTCCTCCTGGAACAGAGTGGGGTACTCAAACATTGCCTGCTCTCTCTCTGCCCTATAAATGCTCCATGATGTGTTGGCTGGAGAACTTTTGTCTCTTTTTTCAGCAATGGTACAACAGCTCCATGAACGTGATCTGCACCTGGTTGACGGACCGGATGGACTTACAGCTTCATATTTATCAGTTGAAAACACTAATTAGGATGGTAAAGGTAAAAGAAAAGATTATTATTCTTCTTTGCAAATAGCTTACTGAAATATATTTCACTGGCAAGCTGCAAAGCTTGCTTAACACAAAGAATATTAGTTTACATATAAAATAGTATCTCATACAAGAAAAACCTATGCAATTGTTTTGTGATGCATGATAAATGTGTTACTCAGACAGCAAAGGGAAATTTAATACAAATGAATTTGATATCTTTTTCCAGAGAGGAAAAATACTTGGTTTTGCCATACAAAAATACGGCAGAGGCCATCGTGTCCTTTGCATTAGACTTTCAAAAACTGGCTTTTGGTGTCATTATGTTAATCACATCCATTACCAATTTCATTTATAGTTTAATTAAATAAAATGTTGCCGCTATTAATTTAATAGAAATATTTACCCCCAGCTATTTCTAAATATGTCCTGTGATCATTATCAGAATGCAAATCAATATTGTTCTCATAGTTAATTGAAGTAGTTCGTCTTACAATGCGTGTATACAATCAAATGTAAAGGATCACAAAGGTGAGATAACATACCCTGAAAGTAGCTTTTTCCCTTGTTCTTGTGTGTGCACCTTGGACTAATGATAATTATTTCAGCGTGAAATCTCAGTGGTTTACATGAAATAATAAGATCACAGAAGGGGGTAAATACATTTTTGATCATTTCAGTTTCTATTTGATGCTTCACCATAGAGGGTTTTAAAACATTTGTATGCAAAAATCTCATTCAAAGCACAAAGTCCTTTAAAATATTTTAACAATAAATGTAGCTGAATGTCTATTTCTTAACAGTTTGCCAAAAGTCCCTGCAACACCCACTCCTGGGCACCCCCCCCCCCCGCCCCCACCCCGTTTCTTAGTCTCTTTTGGATCAGCACCATTTCACTTTACCCCAGTGCTGACTTACAACCAACTGCTGTTCCGTTGTGTGTAATTAAGGAGAATTATTATTATCTGCATTTGATCTCACAAAGCATCCACCCGGGAAAGGTTATAGACAGCAGTGTATTACAGCTCTTAAAAAACGAATGTATACACTTAGACTATGGACCCAGCCTCATTTTCACATTTTTTTACTTCAGTTCCTTAGGACCAGCTCAATCGTCAAGTGGTCGCCTGACCACTTGAATTCCATTTTCTGTGCATAAATGCACTTTGGGGAAATTGTCTGTTTGACCCTTATTGGGTAGACATGAAAAGAAGATATAATTGTCATACTTAAAAATTATCTTCCCATTATTTCTATTTCCAGATTGGTGTTGGAAATTAACAATATTTTATGAAGGAAAAATATAAGTCAGAGGGGAGGTTTAATCTTAGCCTTTTGCCAAAACAAAAAAAAAAAAATGTGGTATGAGCCACAGAGAAGGGATATAGAAAAGTCACTGCCAAAGGAACCCCTTCACTTTAGCAAAAAGTGGGTTCAGCTTAACTAATGCCACAACTCAGAGCTATGAAGCAGAATTCACAAACTTTAAACCAAGAACATCACCCAGAGGCCTCCTCCTCCAGGGCAAATTTCCAAGGATAATTGGCTTTCTTTCTTGCATCAACAGCCACTTCATTTATTCACCCATTCATTTATTATTCAGCAAGCATTTATTTATTCATTCAACATTGGATAAATATTAGGTGGGCCTCTACTTGTATATTACCAGATGGAGGATTCAGAAATGACTAGATGTGGTCTCTGCACTTAGGCATTGAGAGTCTAGTTGGTATACACGTTGCTATGGAATTTGAATAAAAGGGAGAATGCTCAAATGCTTTTTACCTTTATTTTCCCCCATCATATTCTGGCAACAATTATGTTATTCTAAGTGGCAACAGAACAAATGATTGAAAAGTACAAAAATTTAAGTTAATTGTGTAGATATCTGGCCCACACCATGCCTAACATTTATTCAGTCTCTTACCCGTCCCCATCAAAGTGAAAACACAGTTCAGGTAGCTGTCTAGCTTCCTCCTCTCAGCAAGACTTGCAGGTTGATGCATGATTGAGGATAACCTTATAATTTAATGTCAAACCAGATTACTTTTTTGTTATTGGACTTCAGTAAGCTGAACTGGGTTCACTCATTAACTCTGTAGTCATTACAACATGTGACCTTCAAGAGGGGTTGACATTGTGATTGTTGCTATCATGACCGCATTAGATGGACTATTAAAAATAGAAATAATGGGCCGGGCACGATGGCTCACGCCCGTAATCTCAGCACTTTGGGAGGCCAAGGCGGGTGGATCACAAGGTCAGGAGATCAAGACCATCCTGGCCAACATGGTGAAACCCTGTCTCTACTAAAAATACAAAAATTAGTTGGGCATGGTGGCGGGCACCTATAATCCCAGCTACTCAGGAGGCTGAGGCAGGAGAATCGTTTGAACCCAGGGGGTGGAGGTTGCAGTGAGCCGAGATCGATCTGCTGCACTCCAGCCTGGGTGACAGAGCAAGATGCCATCTTGAAAAAAAAAAAAAAAGAAAAAAAAAAAGAAAGAATGATGGGAGTGGTGTTGACGTATGTTAGCATTCCTTGTCTTGCCCCTTTAGCAAGTTTCCTATATCAATAGGAGAAACAAACAGCAGAATCAGTAGCTGAAATGATATGCAGTGTGATGAGGAGAGTTGTAGTTAGAGACCTTTTAAAAAAACAAAAAAAAAATTACAAAGTAGACAACAGCCAGATGCTTCTGGTCATATTCAATTAACACTGAAGGATTTCTAGAAAAACAGTCCTTGAGATACCTAAGGAAATCTGAGAGAAACTGCCTGAAGGAACAAAGAAAGAACTTGTGGTGCAGTAATACCAAGCCATTGTTCTTGAAAAAGAGCCAAATTTCTTCCCTGAGACCATAAAGTTGTGAACAGAATAGATACAGTTCTTTCCCAAGGAGAGAAGAAATGAGTCACATGTCTGCAACATATTGATGAGGCATTAGCGCTCCATCTTTCTCATAATTGCCACTGCCTGTAATAGGTTTCATATACCAACATACATATGTCTGTCTTATGAATGAGACAGAGGGATATCAGTACAGCTTATGCAGTTACAAGACTCAAAAATACTAAAACAAGACTGCAACAGAAATCACAAAATACCATAATCACTCAATCCATTATTTATATATTATAGCCCCTTCCTGTGTCTATCATATTACATTACACTAACCTAAGAGAAAGAACCAGTCCACAAAAAGGAACCAAAACAATTATGGAACATTTCCCTTTATGGAACTGAATAAACACAAGCTTATGTTCTTTGCTTTGTCTCATCTAATATAGTTTATCCTGTCACTATTTCTCATTTTCTGTCATTCAAAGGATCTCAGTTTTCAATACAAGTGAAATCTAAGCACAGTGGCTTTTTATTTGACAATGCATAAAGTGTGATATTTAGCTGAAGGTCAGTGCTCTCCCACCCACACCTGCTTTTACCTTCTCCCTCCCCATCATGGAGATGAGATCTCTCTTATCACTGTATCTTTTCCTTCCTTAGAAAACCTACAGAGATTTCCGATTGCAAGGGGTCCTGGACTCCACCTTAAACAGCAAGACCTATGAAACGATCCGGAACCGTCTCACTGTGGAGGAAGCCACAGCATCAGTGAGTGAAGGTGGGGGACTGCAGGGCATCAGCATGAAGGACAGCGATGAGGAAGACGAAGAAGACGATTAGACCATTTGGTCCTAGAGTCTGCTGGGACAGAGTCCTGTAATCAGTGCATGTCCTTAGTCTGTTAGTTAAACCCATTAGGAATTTTCTGTCAACTACCATGCCCATGAGATGTTTATCAATACAACTGCCATTTTAGCTATGTGGTACCAAGATTAGCAAATGACCTTCATATCCACTGATTTCCTGATGTCCATGTCTATATGTTTACAAGCAATATGGAGCACCATTCTTTAAATACTGTTCATGGAGAATACATAGTCTAACCACTAGGCGTGTCCCTGTTATCAGCAAAGATCAATGATGCTTCATTCATGTACTATGTATGCATTGGTGGTAAATGGATGTGAGGGCAAGTACATCAAGTACATTCACTCTGTTTCACGTATGTGGATGCCAGTTAATTAAATGAGTACGTAAATAAATTAATTAAAACACATAGATCTGCTTTGTGTTTTTATTTTTATTTTTTGAAAAACAAAAGGCAAGTCTCCAACAATTAACTTTTGATGCTTTCTGTTCCCCTAAAACCAAAAAATGAACCCCTTGTGTCGTTGTTAACCCATCCTTTCATTTACTCATATAATTAGCCAAAAAAAAAAGGATGGCTACATACCAATGGATTGATTCTCTTAATTGCCACGGCAAGGGGGCGATCCTATCATGACTTAACATCAAGCGCGCAGTTCAAAACTACTGTCTTCTGTCAAAGTTTTCTCCTCTTAAATGTTATTTTGCTTTTACGTCTCAACTGTGTATGTAAAAAAAATGAATATTTAAATTACAACCCTAGACTAAAAATGTGTTTATAATAAGATGTGGATATTTCCTTCAGTAGATTGTAACCATAATTTAAATTATTTTGTTCCACACTGTTTTTTATATCTGTCATGTACATTGCATTTTGATCTGTAACTGCACAACCCTGGGGTTTGCTGCAGAGCTATTTCTTTCCATGTAAAGTAGTGGATCCATCTTGCTTTTGCCTTATATAAAGCCTACAGTTATGGAAGTGTGGAAAACTGTGGCTTCTCAATAAATATTCAGATGTCCTAAGAATATACGTTTGGGTCTGTCTTCCTCTGTCTACTTTGAATGCCAGAACTGAAACACAACAAGAAGAAATAGGAAAGGGGAGGGAAGAGGTAATTTTTGTAGAGTGTTCTTGAAACTGTTGGAGTGGGTCGTTTTCAAATGCTCGTAGTTCTCCATGAGAGACTGCCTAAAATTCCGTTAATTCAGACTCCACTAATTCAGAACCCGTGGGCATTTGGACATGTTGGACAGATTACACTTGCATTATAGGATAAATAAGGGTTTGCTAAGCAAGTAAGTAGTGTAAACGAGAGAAATGTTTCTCCTGTACGAAGAGAAGGCCAACAAACTGTTTTTAAGCACCACTTTAACAGCAGTGTTTGCATTCAAACAAAGTGTGTGCCAATTATATATGATTCTTATATATTTGTTAAAGCATTTTAAAAGATTCCCTAAGATATGGAGTAGTCTACTTGCTCCTCAGGCCCTGTCAGCAATATAATCACCTAGGTTTGTAAGAAATTAAACATTTTGTAGCCTTGTTTGCTTTATTTGCATCTGTCACTAAACCAGGCTGATCTTTCCTGGAAGCTGACTGAGGCTTTAGGGAAACAGCTACTTTTCCAATAGGACCAGGTAGAACGGTCGCCAGTTGTCCTCTACAAAACAACCACTTTAGACAACATGTCTTGCTCTGCTTACTTGAGGCCTGCAGGTACAAGGCAACAGTACTTTCTGCCTTTGTGGGCTTACAAAAAGAGGTCCTATTTATTGAGCAACTATGCTATGCCAGGCATTCTGCATGTATTACCTCATTTAAATCTCACAACCACCATAAGAGGAGAGAACTATTGTTATCCTCATTATAGATTAGGAAATTAAGTTCAAAAGGGTTGCGCTAACTTGCCCAATAGTTAACTCTATGCAGAAGCATTAATCCAGAAATTAGAGAATAAAACTATTAATACAAATGGTGGGGATATGTCTTTCAGGTATGACAAAACTTTGATTGCCCAGGGATAGACAGTTAAGTCAGAATGGCACAGCCAAGATTTTTTAAAACATATTTTTATTATATTTTGAGTTGCAAAATGAAATCATATATCTTGTAACAATTAAAATTTTTTTATCTTTTTTTTTTTTTTTTGAGATGGAGTCTCTCTCTGTCGCCAGGCTAGAGTGCAGTGGCGCGATCTCCACTCACCGCAACCTCCACCTCCCAGGTTCAAGCGATTATCTTGCCTCAGCCTCCCAAGTAGCTGGAACTACAGGTGTGTGCCACCATGCCCAGCTAATTTGTGTATTTTTAGTAGAGACGGGGTTTCACTATGTTAGCCAGACTGGTCTCAAACTCCTGACCTTGTGATCAGCCCACATCGGCCCCAAAGTGCTGAGATTATAGGTGTGAGCCACCGCACCCGGCCTACAATTTTAAAACATGCAAAGTAAAGAGGGAATGTCTGTCTAGTGTGTGAAAGTTAGCAAAAGAACGAAAATGTTCAGGAGCCCTGGAGGAAGGCTAAGTGAATGGGTTAGATAACTAACCAAAGGGCACGATGTAAAAGTCATGAGGAAAACTAAGCCAGAAAAGACTTTGTCTCCAAAACCAAGGTTAAATTTAAAAATTCCTTCAAAAAAAGATTCCACTGCCTTGCACTGAGGATCCTGTAAAATAGTACCCCCAGCAACCCTAGGAAAGGGGTTATGGGTAAGGAAATGACATCAGAACACATCAGAAAGCACCGACCATGTTATCCTTGACCACTGCTGGCCTCAGTTTATTCTGACCACAAATGCAAAGTCAAGAAGACAGCTTTGATGTTCCTTTTTGTTTCTTTGGGATGGTATCTTGAGTGATCGTCTTTTTTCTTTTTTAGTTTTTTATTATACATACAGAAAAGTGCATGAATTCTAAGCCTACAGCTCAATGATTTATCCTAAAGTGAACACACTCATGGAACAACTACCTAGCTGAGAAATAGAACATACTGAAGACCCCCGAGGACCCTATGTCCATGCCCTTTCCCAAACTCTACCCACTCCTTACACCCCAAAGGTAACCACCATCTGATTTCTAATGGCATAGAATACCAACTTGCCTATTTTAACCTTTTTGTCATTGCAATCACAGTACATATTCTTTCGTGTCTGGATTCTTTTACGCTACATTACATTGTTGGTGTAATTTTGGTTCATTTATTTTCATTGCTGTATAGTAGTCCAAGGTATAAATAGACCATAATTGATTTATCCATATAAAAATGTTGTTTTACATTTTCGACTATTATGAATAATGCTGCCATGAATTTCCTTGTACATATGTTTTGGTGCAATTGCTGGGTCCTGGAGTAAAGGTATTTTCCTTTTCAGAAGATGTGGCCAGTTTTCCACAGAGGATGAACAAAGTTATGCTCACACCAGCAGCAAGTTAAAGTCTCCGTTGTTCCACATTTTTGACAACATTAAGTGTTGTCACTCTAATTTTTGCCATTCTGGTAAGTGCTGTGGTGGTTTATAATTGTAGTTCACTAGTTACCAAATGAAGTTGATTGCCTTTGAACATGTGTATTGGTAATTTAGCTAGCCTCTTTTGTGAAGTGCCAGTTTAAGTCTTTTTAAAACATGCAAAGTAAAAGAGGGAGCATCTGTCCAGTGTATAAAAGTTAGCACAAGTAGGAAAATGTTCAGGAGCCCTGGAGGAGAGCTAAGTACATTTTTTATTTAGATAGCCTCTTTTGTGAAGTGCCTGTTTAAGTCTTTTTTTTTCTTTTTTTTTTTTTTTTAATAAGTGGAAAAATTTAGAGCTATTTGAAGGCTGATAAGGAAGAGACCACAGGAAAAAGTGCCAGTTAGATGTAGGAACTATCAAGGAAATTGTGAACCTGATAGGCGTTCACTTTATGAACAATTGGTCCACAAATACTTGAGTACATACTGGTCAGGCAGGCACTGTGCTAGGAACACCTGGATTCTTTCTATTCCATTTCCCTTCATTAGCCAGAGAGACCTTTCTAAAGGCAAGTGTGATCCCGTTCCTCCTCTAATTAAAAGCCTCCAATTGTTCTCCTCTCCTTAGAATGAAACCCAAATTCCTTAAGGTGGCATTCAAGGCCATGAACAATCCAACCCTTGCCTACTTCTCCAGCCTCTTCTGTTAACTCTACTCCTCTTATTCCCAGGGTTCATCCACACCCACCACCTTCAACTTCCTGCTGTGCACCGTAGTTCTTCCCACCTGGGGCCCACCTCCGAACAACCTCATCTCATCCATCAAATCCCCACTAAACTGGATCTCCCCAAGGAAGCCTTTCCAAACACCACCCTCAGTTCAGCATCTATTTCCTTAGTATATATCCTCATAACAGTATCTACTTCTCCTTCTTAGCATTCACACTACTCCTGAATGGGTTATGTACACTGTTACATGTTTCATATATCTTTTCTCTACTTCAGGAGGGTACAGGCTATACCAGCTTCCCCACTCTGTCCCCAAGGTACTCAATAAATATATGACTAATAATGAAGGCTGAAAGTACAAGGATGGAGATGATCTGTTGCTATTCTCGTAGAACTTATAGTATAGGTAGTATGAATCTTCCAAAGACACAAACTAAATATTATAAGACTCAGAGGAGGGAGAAGGAAAGGAAGGCTTCCTTGAGGAGATGGGCCTTAAAGAGCCCATAAAGAGGATTGGGAAGGACAAGAACAAGACCATGGGGAGGCCAGGGGATGTGCCACTTGGCTGGAACATAGAAATGGGAAACTATTCTCTTCTCTGGTGGATTCCCAGTGCATATAGTAAACACTCAACATATACATGTTAACTTAAGACATTAATGAATATGCCCAGTGTGTTAAGAGAGCCTGCTTCGTGGGAAGGCTTAGGCAAGAGGTTGGGAGAGATTGTCATGGGAAGAGTAGATTGAAGTGTCAAAGGAGGACATTTAGTTCCACTTAGTTTGGGTTTGTTGGTCTGCATAGCCAAGAACTAACTACTATTTTTAATTTTTTCAAAACATTTAAAGAAATTTTTTAAGTTAAAAAAAATCAAATAGAACAGAATTATATGAAACAAAACGTTCAAGCCTCCCCCCCCCAACACCCATTTCCCCAAAGTAGCCATTGCTAACAGATGGGCATATATTCTTCCAAATATGTTCAAATCATATACAAGTATATTGGAGATTTTATATATATATAAATGATCCCAATATATAAATGAGAATCATCCTGAGCCTACTATTTGGCAAATCACATTTTCCATTTATCAGTATAGATAGGATCATTTGTACCTCTGCACATATAGACTTTCCATATAGACCATATAGACCACATATAGACCAGTACTTTGGTAATGGGTGTAATGTATTTAAGGAGATTTTCTGGTCAAAGAAGAAACAGGAGCAAAATAAGATAAACTGAAAATCTAGGATGAAATTAGGATGGATCAAAACATAATGGAGGAAATGAGCCATCTGTGGAAGTGACCCAAAAGACTGTTTGAAAATGTGTGACTAAAGAATTTCTGAAACACCCCAAATCCAATCCCAGTCTAACTGCACTATATCACAGTTATCTGTTTATGTGTCTGTCTCCCTGCTAGACTACTGCCAACTAGTTGAGGTCAGGCACTGTGTATCCATTTCTGTATGCCAGTCTGGTGCCTTGCATGTAGTAGGCACTCAATAAATGTTGGTTGAATTGAATGGGTGCACATCAGCAATATACACCTGAGTATGATCATGACCAAGAAAACATAAACTAAATTTATTGCAATATATTCTGTCTATAAAGAAGGAATTACAAAGAAGATGGGGAATCACGATGGCTTTAGAAAATCTATTGACCTCACCTGAATTTTCAATGCAGGTATGAACAACCATACTGTCATAAATTTGAATTTCTATAAAAATTTTAGGAAATCAACAAAACTACAAGAGTTGTATGACTAGTGTTTAAGCACAAAATTGAATAAGTTCATTTCCTTTAAATTTTAAAATTTAAAATAAGTGTGTTCTCTTTGTGGCTAACTTAGACACATAATTAACAAGTCTGAAATTAAGTCAAATGAGGCACAATTCTGTAATTCTTGGTAAACAAATTTTTAAAAATCAATATTCATCTTTTATTCAAGGTTGTTTTGCTTCTTCATTTAAATACTAAAATTATCATCTGTTTTCCTTCTTATGAAACCATGCATTTCATCTAAAGTTGTAAATCAGCATTTGTTGTAACTAAGCAAAACATGAGAAAAGGGCTGACGATGGTGCAATCTGCCAGCAGAGTTCTCTACCCTGACAGTACATTGAAGGTCAAAGAAAAACACTGAACAACAAATTAATCACAGCCACCAGCTAACGGAGGGATAAAACGATTACAATTAATACATACACACAACTACAAATTAAGAGGAATGCAAAGGCGACAAGCAAAAAGTACACAAATAAAATTTTTCTTATTTCCTAAGAATTGATGGTGAGATGGCCAAAAGCAATTGTAAACATGGTTCAGTTGGCATATTTCCCTCTGTCCATCAAAAACAAGTTGGCTTGTTTCCTGGGCAGTGAATACAATTGCAAAGAATAAACAAGGCTTTGCTTAAAGCAGGAAACATGTGATTAAAGATAGTACAAATTTCAGAGAAAGTGTCAGAAATTTTGGAACGTGTTTAAAAGAAAATCAAAGGCAACATAAGAAGACAAATACTGGTGGTATTTGGTGCAATGAAAAGTACAGTTTATGTGGAAGCTATGGCTAGGTTTCAAATTCTAATGTCACTACATTGTAAACAGGACCACTGAACTATGCACCTCACTCAGTCGCCTCCAACACCTCCTGGAATAGGGTTTTGAGCATGAAAAATTCCTCCATAGTATTTTTTGGTTCAATTAGTCTAACTTTGAATAAAATTTTTAAAATAAGACATCAAGATTATAGATTAAAAATTCCAGGGCATATGAAGGGTACTGACATCACAATGTATTTGGAAAATCTGAACTCTTCCGAGCCCTAATTAAATGACAATTAATAAACTTCAGGTTGCATCTACTCTTTGTCATCTTCAAACTTCCGTAACAAGGCTGCTATACACACAGTCTTGGGTTAATATTCTCTTGGAGAGCACAAGGAAAAGTTGGTGCTGTCCTAGGGAAGAAACTTTCACAAAGTGAACTGAGGGCAGAGGTGGAACTAGAGACTTAGGAGTTGATCTTGAAACAAGCACTCATTCCTCTCCCAGTAAATTAGAGAAAGATGATCTCTGAGAATAAGGAGGGCTAGATCTTGTTATTACAAAGGATGGAGCTCAAACCACTCTATTTAAAATATTGAAGTAAAGATGAAAGCAAGAGACCACAGGATTTGTAGACCATTGGGCAACAGGTATCACAGGAGTGAATAGAAGGAAGAGGTTGTGAGCATAGGTTCTCATAGGTTCTGGGGTCAGGATGACCTTGATCCAGATTTCAGATGATCAGTGGTAATCATTAGCCACATGACCTTGGGAAAATTACTTCATTTCCCTAGGCCTCAGTTATCTCATCTGTAAGATATAAATAGAATCATACCCTAGGTATTACCCATTGTTATAAGCTCATCAGGTTGTCATCAAGATTAAATGTATTTCTATGTGTGAAGTGCTAAAAAAAAAAAAAAGGCACACATGCTAAGTGCTCAACAAATGTTAGCTAATATTTTACTGTTAATTTCTTTCTCTTTTTTTTTTTTTTTCTTGAGACAGAGTCTCACTCTGTTGCCCAGGTTGGAGTGCAGTGGCATGATCTCAGCTCACTGCAAACTCTGCCTCCCAGATTTAAGTGATTCTCCTGCCTCAGCCTCCCAAGTACCTGTGATTACAGGTGCCCTCCACCATGCTTGTCTAATTTTGTATTTTTAGTAGAGATGGGGTTTCACCATGTTGATCAGGCTGGTCTCAAACTCCTGACCTAAAGTGATCCACCTGCCTGGCTCCCGAAGTGTTGGGATTACAGGCGTGAGCCACTGCGCCTGGCCTACTGTTAATTTCTTAAGGATTTAAGAGCCTGCCACATGTTTCAGGCTTTGAACAGATGATAGATATGGCCAAGTCACTACGCTTAGAAAGCTGAATTCTGCTACTCACCGTTCTTATTCCATTTCTTCCCAAAGGAACAGCACATGATCAGTGGTGGATTGGGCAGCAATGTGTTAAGCAGTGTCAAGAAAGGTATTCTTGCTACCCACTTCATTTTTTAGCGTTTGCTTTTATGCCTTGAAAGGGAAGCATTTGTTCCCCTTGTCTACATTTCTTCACATTCTCCTTTACTTGTCTTTGACTATGGATCTCAGTAAATAATTATTAAAGGAATGAATAAATAAATGAGTTTCTTTCCATGTCTCCCCTTCTTCATCATCACTGCTTTCATTTGTGTTTCCCTAGAAATAGACCCTAAGAAAAGAATTCTAGTGCAAGTGGTTTACTTGGGAGGTGATCCAGGAAACACTAATAGAGGAATGGGGGAAAAAGATTGAGAAGCAAGGCAGCCACTATGGGTAACTGAAGTTTGATTGCTCTGGGAAAATCTGGGAGCCAGGGTAGAACATACTTTTCAGTTATTCCTCCTGAGGAGTGAGAGAGCTGGGGTATTTATACTCCAACTCTTTTTCATTATTGGTTGAGGACAGATTGGGGGAGAGGGCAGGCAATGTTAATTTTCCAGCATTTCAGACTTGCAGGGCAGATGGGCAAAGCAGACTCTGATCATCACAGAAAGCCCTAAGACAAATAAGTACAAGAACAGCAATGGTAAGTCAAGCCCAGTTGCAATGAAGTGGTAACAGAGGTGGGCAGGACACCAACATTATCTGCTACAATCACCCTTTTGCAACCCAGGACAGAGTCTGTGGTCAATGTTGGCCTAAGAACAGCAAGACAGAATTAGCAGTTCTACTGCCAGAAGCATTGCCTGGCCAGGCTGGATTTGGAAGACTCTCTAGGGTGGTGAAATAAATTCCAGCCTTCAATACAGTGGAATACAATGGAGCCAGGAAAAAGAACAAAGTAGATCTATATGCACTGGTACTGAAAAATGTTCAAGATATATTGCTGATATTTCATTAAGTTAAAAAAAAATCAAGAGGCAGACCAGCATTTAAAGAACTCTCCCATTTGTTTAAAAAAAAAATAAGCAAATCTATTTATGTGTGTGTATTTTTTTTTTCAATAAATCAAATGAACAGTTATCATTTTGGCTTCCCAGAATCCAAATCCATGGAAACTGAAGAGGAAGGGATGTTCCCTCTCCCTGCCCCTGACAACTAGAATGTGCCTAATAACCAGATGCTCTAGCTCAGAATCTTGACTCTTGAGAGAAGGACCAAAAGGCATGGCAGCATTGAAGGACTTTTCCTGGGCCTCGGGATCACTGAGGGGCATCCGGAGACTGGTGAGTGGGCCCAGCAGCAGCAGCCCAAGCAGAATTGCCCTATGGTTGCTTTTGGCTGTGCCTCACATCACTGTTCCATTGGTTCCTGATGGAGCCTGTGTCCCAGCCTTCAGCCGATTCTGGGAGCTACTGTGTAACCTCCTTTTCTGCTGTCAAGTTCTACTGTTGAGAACTGAGAGCAATGGCTGATGTAGGAAAAAAATTTAGAAGAAACTAGTAAGAGTGCTTATCTCTGGGAAAGGGGATGGCAAAATTCAGATGGAAAGGAGATTTATTTTTCAGTTCAATTTATTTTTAATGTTATTGTTTGATTATTTCAACCCTGTGCATTTACAATTCTTTCAAATTTAAGACATTTTAAAAGATTGCATTTTAAACAGCTTTGCTTTTAAAAAGTGTCCCGGTCGGGTGCAGTGGCTCATGCCTGTAATCCCGGCACTTTGGGAGGCTGAGGCGGGCGGATCACAGGGTCAGGAGTTCAAGACCAGCCTGGCCAACATAGTGAAACCCCGTCTCTACTAAAAATACAAAAATAAAATAGCTGAGCATGGTAGCGGGCGCCTGTAATCCCAGCTACTCGGGAGGCTGAGGCAGGAGAATCGCGTGAACCCGAGAGGCGGAGGTTGCAGTGAGCCGAGATCGTGCCACTGCACTCCAGCCTGGGTGACAGAGACTCCGTCTCAAAAAAGAAAAAAAAAAAGTGTTCCAATAAAGGTGGTACCCGGACAAGAAAAATGTAGAATTAAAGTGTAGTCCTAGCAACAGACACAGGATGGAAGGTTAAGTATCACCCTCTAACCTCTGCTCAGGTCCTCTTACAAAGAAGAGCTTCTTAACCTGAAGAGTTTGGCTAGGACTCAAGAGGTTCGTGAGCTTAAATGGGGGTGGAGATAGGAGGCAGCAACCTACAGTAGCATTTGTAGTATTTGTGACTCTGTGACCAATGGAAATCAGATATTTTCCTATCACATTACAGTTGTTATGATTTCTGAGTGATAAGTGCTTCTAAATTACCTTAATTATTAGATCTGCCACTAGATCTTGTTTCATGCATTAGGAAAGACGCATACCAAAGAGATATCTGCGCTCCCTTGTTTATTGTAGCATTATTCACAAAAACTAACGTATGGAATCCACCTTAGTGCCCAGCAATAGATAAATGGATAAAGAAAATTGGTGTCTATATAAATGGAAGACTACTTAGCCTTTGAAAAAAAGGAAATTCTGTCATTTGCAACAGCATGGATGAACTCAGAGGATATTATGCTAAATGAAATAAGCCAGGCACAGAAAGACAAATACTGTGTGATCTCACTTATGTGTGGAATCTAAAAAAGTCAAATTCATGGAAGCAGAGAGTAGAGCAATGGTTACCAGGAACAAGGGGTAGGGGATGCAGACAGATGTTAGTCAAAGGGTACAGAGTTTCAGTTAGGCAACATGAATAAGTTTAAAATCTAATTTAAAAAAAAAAAGAGGGGCTGGGCACGGTGGCTCACGCCTATAATCCCAGCACTTTGGGAGGCTGAGGCAGGCGGATCACCTGAGGTCAGGAGTTCGAGACCAGTCTCAACATGGAGAAACCCCACCTCTACTAAAAAAAAAAAAAAAATACAAAATTAGCTGGGCGTAGTAGTGCATGCCTGTAATCTCAGCTACTCGGGAGGCTGAGGCAGGAGAATTGCTTGAACCTGGGAGGTGGAGGTCATGGTGAGCCGAGATCGAGCCATTGCACTCCGGCCTGGGCAACAAGAGTGAAACTCCATCTCAAAAAAAAAAAAAGAAAGAAAGAAAGAAGCATATATATCACTGTATCACACATTTATTTTTTAATATTTTGATTAATAACTACATTATTAATATGATTGATATCTTTTAGAAGCCTACATATTTTATCTTATTCATTTAAAAGCATTATTCTGGGCAAGGCATGGTGGCTCACACCTGTAATTCCATGACTTTGGGAGGCTGAGACAGGAGGATCACTTGAGGCCAGGAGTTGAAGACAACCCTGGTCAGCATAGCATGACCCCATTTCTACAAAAAAATTTACAAATTAGCCTGGTGTGGTGGCATACACCTGTAGTCTCAGCTATGTGGGAGGCTGAGGTGGGAAGATTGCTTGAGCCCAGGAGTTTGAGGCTGCAACAAGCTAAGATTGCATCATTGCACTGAGCAACAAAGTGAGACCCTGTCTCTATAAAATAATAATAACAAATTTTTAAAAAATGAAAGCATTATTCTGAGAAGGGGTCCACAGGCTTACCAGACTACCAGTGGGGTCCATGGTGCAGTGCCTGTGTGCACACACACAGAAAACTTGAGAACTTCTGCCAAAGCTCTTCATCTTTCTCTTCCTCATCTCGCTTTTTGCTTTGTCCATTTACTCTTATCCTAATTTATTTACCTATAAAGTAGCAATAGTGTCCTTTTCTTTTTTTTGTACAAAGAACATAAGCTGTATGCTTTTACTTTCTTTGTTTGTTTGTTTTTAGCAACAGGTCTCACTCTGTCACCCAGGCTGGAGTGCAGCAGTGCGACCATAGCTGACTGCAGCCTCAAACTCTGGGCTCAAGAGATCCCCCTATCTCAGCCTCCCAGGTAGCTAGGATTACAGGTGTATTCACTGTGTCTGGCCTACTTTTACTTTTTTGAAAGAAAGTCAAACCATCAAACCGGCCAAGCAATTCAACAAATGATAGTCTCTAGTTTATTGTTTGAGGATATTAATAGGTCATATTTTTGTGTTTCTTGGCAGGATGAAACTGTGATTGGATGAAATTAGTGGTTATGAGCAAGGAGGGGGGCAGGGTGGTCTCAACTGGCTAGCTATGAGTTTCCACTCTGCCATTCAAATAAACATGTGGCCTTAGACTAATCACTAATACCCACCAAACCTCATTTACTTCGTCTGAAGAGGAGGATAACCAGTCCACCTGCTTTATAGGTTCACATTGTTGATACAATAATAACAATCATTGTACATAATTACCATACCCACAGGTGCAGAAACCAGTAACAGTGATTGTCTCTGTGGAAAGACAGTAGAGATTTGGGGTGGAAGGGAGACCTGATTTTCACTACATATTATATTACATTGTTTGAATTCAATTAGGGTTAGCGATTTTTATTATTGCATCCAAAAAAAAAGTGAGGAAACACAAAACTTTAATCTACTAATAGCTCCATAGTTGATCAGTATTCATTTATTTACTTCTTTATGCTAAGTGAAAACTTAATTTCATCTACAAACAGAAATCAAAAGAGAATACCTACCACAGCAAACTCTGTTAAATAAGCCGATGCTCAAAGTTAATTAAACGATGGGGGCTTGCTCAGCTTTCCTTTGATTCTCCCAGCAAGCCCTTATTCATAGAATGTTAAGTTTCTCCTGTACATTACTTTGTACCACTTCCGCTCCCAAGGAAATTGTGGAGGTATGGGTGGGAGTGAGAAGAACCTCTAAAGGAATTCTTTATTATGGAAATAAAATAGATATTTTCTTAATATTCAAGGGACAGTCTGGGAAGACTTCCTTCTCTTCGGTTAAAAACTAGGCACCTCTTAAAATATTAGTAAGGGCCAGGCGCGGTAGCTCACACCTGTAATCCCAGCACTTTGGGAGGCCGAGGCAGGTGGATCACTTGAGGTCAAAGACCAGCCTGGCCAACATGGTGAAACCCCATCCCTACTAAAAATACAAAAATCAGCCGGGCATGGTGGCGGGCACCTGTAGTCCCAGCTAGTCGCACCACTGTATTCCAGCCTGGGCAGCCGAGCGAGACTCCATCTCAAAAAAGAAAAAGGAAAAAAATAAAAATAAAAAAAAAATATTAGTAAGGAGAATGAAAGCACCAGCATACACATTCTGGAACCGAAGAAAATGGAAAGTCAGTCAGCCTGTTAGCCACCAACAGTGACTAAAAATTTTGATTTGCACTGAGCATTGTCTACAGGACTGTGGGGAAAAGGTCTATGTATTTAAACTAACATGAAGTTTGTCCTGTCCTTCGACACTGAACATGCATGTGGGGAAAAAAACAGCTGTACAAAATACACTGCTATAAGCTGAGTGCAAGGGTGCACATGCCAGAAATATAAAGAAAAGAGAGCAAAATTCTTTGAGTCATTTGATTCATCAACAAACCAAGCATAACTTGGTGATGAATGTGACTGCAAGGACCCAGGTGATGAATGTGACTGCAAGGACCAAAGCTGAACAAGACAGACCCCTGTTCTCCAGGAGTCCACAGGCCAGGGGGCCTAAACGGCAAAGTTTTATTCCCAAAGGAATGTTCAAAAGGGGTGGTGGAAAGAAGGACAGCATCCTAAGAAGTGAGTCTTTAAAATCGCCAACACCACACGGATGCTGTCAGCAAAATATAGACTGTGGGAAACTCTACATGACAAACATCCTGATTTTCTCAAAAAGTAAATTGCAAGGACAAAAAATAAAATAAAAAATAAATAAATAAATGGAGAGAAGTCTATAAATTATAAGAGATTTAAAAGGCAGAACAACCAATCATAATATACGAACATTATCTGGACCATAAAGAAAGGATTTTTTAATTATGACATTTATTTTAAAAATTGGAAATGTGAGCATATTTGATGATGTCAAAGAATTATCGTATTTTAGGTGATGGTCTTTAAATAATGTATGGATAACAAAGTATTATGTCTGGGGCTTGCTTTAAAATAATATGAGGAGGAAATAGATAGGTATGTAAATGAATCAGGATTGGCCATGGATTGATCTTATTGGGGCTGGGTGATGGTATATGGGTTCATGATATTACTCTGTGCTTCTTTTGTGTATATATAAAATTCCTCAAAATAAGATTTGGTTATTTTTAAATCACAACAAGAGATAGAGCAGAAATCAGAGAAGCAACTACAAGCATGCAGTTCTCTGGCTGGATGAGAGCTCAAATTCAGCACAAAAGTCTAGCTCGTGCAGGTAAATAATCCTCCTCTTTGTACCTTCTCTTCTATTTGTGGGGTATGGCCAGGACCCCTCTTCTCATTTCTAGTACTTCCTTTGGCTGGAGCTTCTGATTCTTTTTCTAGGCATGGTAGGCATGGTGAGAGGTTTGCACTGGCCCAGCAGTTCTCATGAGTGTCCTCCCTTTTGGCCAGCCAGGCTGCATTTGTAAAACATCTGGCCAAGGCCAGAACCTAATTGTTTGGGAGCCCTTTGGAAGAGGCACAGACCACCATGGCCTCATTAGCCCCAGGCTCCTGCTCACTGGGCTCAAGTTCAGGTGGCCAGATGAGCACCCACAAGCAAGCTGTAGAACAGAAGGTCTAGAAAGTGTAGAGGAGGCTGGGCGCGGTGGCTCACGCCTGTAATCCCAGCACTTTGGGAGGCCAAGGTGGGCGGATCATGAGGTCAGGAAATCGAGACCATCCTGGCTAACATGGTATAAACCCCGTCTCTACTAAAAATACAAAAAATTAGCCAGGCGTGGTGGTGGGCACCTGTAGTCCCAGCTACTCGGGAGGCTGAGGTAGGAGAATGGCGTGAACCCGGGAGGCGGAGCTTGCAGTGAGCCCAGATCACCCCACTGCATTCCAGCCTGGGCAACAGAGTGAGACTCCGTCTCAAAAAAAAAAAAAAAAAGAAAAAACTAAAGTGTAGAGGAGCCAGACACGGTGGCTCAAGCCTGTAATCCTAGCACTTTGCGAGGCCAAGGCAGGGGGATCACTGGAGGTCAGGAGTTCAAGACCAGCCTGGCCAACATGGTGAAACCCTATTTCTACTAAAAATACAAAAATCAGCTTGGTGTGGTGGCACACACCTGTAATCCCAGTTACTCGGGAGGCTGAGGCAGGAGAATTGCTTGAACCTGGGAGGCGGAGGTTGCAGTGAGTTGAGATCGTACCACTGCACTCCAGCCTGGGCAACAGAGGGAGACTCTGTCAGAAAGAAAAGAAAAGAAAAGAAAGAAAATAGGAAGGAAGGAAGGAAGGAAGGAAGGAAGGAAGGAAGGGTGGGTAGAGGGTTAGCAGCCCATTTTCTGACTACGGGGTTCTCAAGAGCAGGGAAGAGAAGGCTACTCAAGAAAATGTTCAAAGCCTAAAGTAATCTGGAAACATCTGCATGCCAAAAGGGATGTGACACGGGTCTCCTTTTTCTCTGGATGCTTCTCTCTCTGGATGCTTCTCTCTCTGGATGCTTCTCTCTCTGGATGTCTTTTCCCACATGTCTTCCTCTTTTCTATTACCTAGGTCTGCACCGTTCTTTCTACATTCTAAGTTCTCTGTAATTTGGCACCCAAGTCTGCCCTGGGTAAGAATATATGGGCATAAACAGCAATAAGATACCATTTGGAGTCTATCAAATTGGTAAGGAATTTTTTTTTTTTTTTTTTTTTTTTTTTGAGACAGAGTCTCACTCTGTTACCCAGGCTGGAGTGCAGTGGTGTGATCTTGGCTCACTGCAACTTCCGCCTCCTGGGTTCAAGCGATTCTCCTGTCTCAGCCTCCTGAGTAAGTGGGATTACAGGCACCCGCCACCATGCCCAGCTAATTTTTTGTATTTTTAGTAGAGTTTCACCAGTTGTATTTTTAGTAGGTTTCACCATGTTGGCCAGGCTGGTCTCAAACTCCCGATCTCAGGTGATCTGCCCACCTCGGCCTCCCCAAGTGCTGGGATTACAGGTGTGAGCCACTGAGCCCAGCCTTTTGTTTTGTTTTGTTTCTTTAGACAGGGTCTCCTCTGACACCCAGGCTGGATTGCAGTGGCGCAGTCTTTGCTCGCTGCAACCTCCACCTCCCAGGCTCAGGCAATGGTAAGGATTTTTTAAATGATTATACGTAGTATTTGTGAAGGTACTGGGAACAAGGAATTGTCACATCCTGCTGACTGGAGTGGGGCTAAATATGTATCCCCTTTCTGAAGGGCAGTTTGTCAGTTGGTATCTAAAGCTTTAAAAATGTGCATATCTTTTACCATAGTACTTCTGCTTCTGGGAATTTGTCCTACAGGATCAGCTATGCACAAAATTCATGTGTGAGAATGTTCCCGATGGAACTCTTGCAAAAAAATTGTAAACATCTTAAATATCCAATGACAAAGGACTAACTCACGTGAAAGACATATAGTGAAGTACTACAGAGACATTAAAATAATGTCTTAGTAGCATATTTAAAGCATGGGAAAATATTCATGCTATATTAAATGGAAAAGCAGATTATAAAGCAGTATGTATCATATGATGTCATCTTGTAAATGCATAGAAAGAATATACACCAAAGACTTGTCTGCAGTTTCTGGGTGGTAGGATTTGTGCAATTTTAATTTCTCTTCTTTGTAATTCTCTACTTTTCCCAAAATTTCTCCATCGATTATTTTTTAAATCAGAAAAAAACCCACCTTATTTACAAAATCAAATAAAAGAAGTAAAGAACAGAATAAGAAAGAATTTTTTTTTGCCCTCTTCTTTCCTCTCGTCCTCTAGTCAGCCTGAACAACCATTGTTATCAAAATAGTTATTATAACCACAATAGTGAATACTCCGCTTTCTATTGGCCAGCCACCAGCGCTGAGATCCTTCTGTGCATTTTCTTTTAGTCCTTACCTATGATGAAGCAGGTATTTCTCTCCTGCCAAAGATGGGCAACTCAGCCTTGCAGAGAGGTTTAGTAAGTTGCCTGTGGACACACAGAACTGACAAGCAAGGCTTCTGTCTTGATCAGATTGCAGAAGCCACACTGCCTCAAAGACACTTAGCCCTACAAAGCCCAGGAAGGAGTTTTATGTTGTGTCATAACGTTTTAAGAAATGCCCTGCTCCAAGGAGACCCAAGTTCCACCCAGGCCAGAAATCTGTCTCTAGAAAAAGCACCAAGCAATGAGCTGCCAAAGGGTGAATCTACCCACACATCATGGAAATGCCTGCAGAAACTCTTTATTTGTGATTTTAGCCTGTAACTTCTGCTGGAGTGAGAAGTTTTTAAAATTTGTTAACCTTACTGCCAGGGAATTCTTTGAGTTTATTTCTGGTTGCTTGTACTTTTTTTTAACTCCACCCTTTTTGAGAGTCTTATATCACCCCACCATGCTCATCATTCATTCTCCAATACTCCAATAACAGCACATAGTGGTTTAGAGAGGATACTTACTTATGCATGCCTATTGGTTGAATGATGGAATGTAAGTTCCATGAGGGCAGGGACTGTGTCTATCTCAGGAAGTGCTGTATATATTGGCATCTAGATGGTACCCAGTACAGAAAGGCTCAAGATAGCTAACGGCTCAAGATGGCTAACTAATGAATGAATTATATTGCCTTAGGTCCTATCTCCTTTCAATTTTTCGGGACAAGAATTATCTTTTTAATTTATGTGAATTGGAGCACCAGCTCTTACCTTTTCCTTGCCCCCACCTTAATTGCTTTAGCTGTAGGTTCTTGGTATCTTTCTTGAAGTGCCGAAGTCGGATTTGTAACCTATGTCCCTGGCAGGATTCACCATGGGTTTGCACAAAGGGATTGTCAAGCATTTGGTTTGGTTTCTGTGTCCCAAGGCTTTTTCTTGCTAAAATAAACTTCCCCACCCTCTCCCAGAGCAAAATTCCCAGTTCTGCTAACTGGGTCACTTGCCAAGGAGCCAAGATTTTGTCTTTTTTCCCCTGGTCTTGTCTAGGGCCAAGACCCAGTGAGTTGAGCTCTAAGGACTTGCCAAGGCTTTCTATTAATGCCAGTTCCTACAAACATCTCAGACCCTGTCCTCCTGACCTCAACCAGATCCTCCACCTCCAAAGGCAACCTGCCAGATAATGTCTCTGGAAAGTTTGAGGCAGTCTCTAGCCTGAAGTCATTCACCTAGAACCCCAGGGCAAGGGGTACAGGTTCAAGTTCACAACTGCCACCCCTCTGCTGAGGTTGTGAGTGAGAAGAATGCTGCAAATGAGCTCCCTTGATTAAGCATTCTTGAGCTTATTGCAGGTTCCCTGAGAAGCTGGATTAACTGCCTGCCTCCAAAGACAACTGTGTTAGAAGTTTGGATGCAGTTTATTTTTAAAAGTCTAGATGAGAGGCCAATTAATTGATGTGGTTGTCTGGTCCAGAGAAAGAAATTAAAAGAGCATAACTCAAGAGGCAGGTGAGGAGTAGTGTCTCTTTGAGGACTTGAGGGATGGGAGCAAGTCAAACTAACTCATAATGATTCACTAATTTAACAGATATATAGATATTATAATATGTATATAGAAATATAAAAAGTGTATTTAACAGATAGTTAGAAAAGTATACAAATAAACTGTACATAGCTTGATGAACATTCACAAACCAGAACCCAGATCGGGAAACAGACCTTTCTCAGTACCCCAGAAGCCCCTCTCTTCTGTCCCCAAATGTTGCCTATTTTGAATGGAATCATGCAGTACCAAGTATTTGAATTTGGCTGCTTTTGCTCAACATTATTTTTGAGACTCATTCATGAAGCTGAGTGTAGCAGCAGTTTGTTGATTCTTATTGATGTATAGTATTTAATTTTGTGAGTATACCACTATTTATGGGTTCCACTCTTGATGGTTATTCAGTCAATTTCCAATTTAAGGCTATTACAAATAGTGCTGCTGTAAACATTATAGTACGTGTCTTTTGGTGAACACGGGTACTCATTTCTGTTTGGTATATACTTAGGAGTGGTGTTGCTGGGTCATAAGTAATGCAAACACTCAACCATAGTAGATACCGCCATGCAGTTTTCCAAAGTGTTTGTCCCTATTTCCATTCCACCAGCAGCACAAGCCAGTTGTTTAGTTTTGGGTTTTTAGTATGGTGCTTAGGAGTACACCTCTGAAAACCTCTTACCAGTTACGTGAGCTTTGACATGCTACCCAGCCTCCAAGAGCCTCAATTTTTGCATTTGTGTGATGGAGATATCTATTATATACACTGGATTCACAGGACGATGTTGAGGACTGACTAGGGTGGGTATTAAACTTAGTGCTGTGGCATACAATAGGCCCTCAGTAATAAGTAATCATCTACTAATTGCTACCCTAGATTCATCCCCGAAGAGGGAGAGTCTGTGTGTGTGATGAAGGCAGCGATGGAAGCAGAAAGAAGAGATTGATTCCTTTTTGATTGATTGATGTGCTCTTCGCAGTATTTTAGAGTTCTCATTTTGTCTTCACCTAAGTCAGACTATAAATTCCCGGGGTGGAGCATCAGGGATCTTTACCCAGGTAAAGAAAAGATGGGATTCGACTGAGAGCTCCAGAGATGCGGGCAAGAGAGAACTTTTCCGTTTGCCGGTACACACGAGAAGTTCTTATCAAAGCCAAACAAAACAAACAAACAAAACAGAGCTGAGAGATTCGCTTGCAAAGCGATCACAACGCTTCAGGTTCTTATTCAATGCACCATCTAACTCAGACCTACATTGCCTGGCAAACTTACAGAAGTTGGGGGAAGTCTGAAATCGGTTTCCCTCACCCCTGTACCCCTTCCGGTCCCTTTTCCCTGCCGGCTTAACTCCTGCTCTCAGCACTTAACGCTAATACCTTTGGGCAGGCTCCACCGCGGAGTTTAACCAGCTGCCAAGTTAAATAACGCGGAGGATCCTAAGCCGTCTTCCCAGGGAGTCGGAAACCGACATCTCTCAACTACGCAGGGCCAGTCAGTCACCAAAACGCCTTTTAATTTCAAATATGCATACACGGATGTGTGTGTTATATCATATATAAAAATACATCATCATCGTTCTCTATAAACGATTATTTCCTTTGGGTTGCACACCAAAATCGCGTAGCAAGTGGAAAACCCAGGTAGGCGAGACGACTTCCTTCCCTCACTGCGCCTTACAAAATGACACGTCTGCTGGCAAATTGCTGCACGCGGGTATTGGATCAGATTCCTAATTAAATAGCATTTCTAGTGATGGGTTGCCGATAGTATATAAGTATATACATACATACATATAAACAATATGCATATATATGATATGCATATATATGTTTGTGAATATATATGCATCCAGGGCAGAGAGGAGAGTACTAAGCTTGCACGGATAGACTGCAGATCTGCTCTTTTAGGAGAATTCTTCTGGCCTAGAAGTGTATTCGCTGCCCAGATTTCCGAAGAGTCAGCGAATGTCCTCTGATGTGATAGCGGAGGGAGTTGGGAGGATCCTGGAAATCACGATAGGTTTGCACCACCGCCCCTCCCCCTACGCCCCCGCCCAGGTCTGCAAAGCCGGTTGCCCCTGGCTAATAGGCGCCTTTCCTGCTCCACGGTGAAAACTAGTCTGTGGTGCATTGAGATTTGCAAACCATTCCCTGAATGCCAGGGGCGCTGCAAAACAGCCGCCGGGTGCAGTGGGCCGGGCGCTCGGCCACCCTGGCTGCGATCATCGCAGCCTCCCAAAGGATGCGGGCAGATGCAGACGGCTCTGGCCCATCTGTCCCTAAAGGCCTGGGACTGTGCTTGCGTGCTCCGGGAGGGTACCCGAAACCTGGGAGCTCTCCGGCGCTCCCAGCCTCGGGTATCTGGGGCTCTTTGTCTCCCAACAGCACTAATCCTGAGAACAACGCGCACCGAAGGCGGAGGCCCCTGTGCTTTGGACAAGCCCGCCACGGGCAAGCCAGTTCGAATGTTTTCAATAAAATGCTTCCTGGGGAAAAAAGAGAGGATAGCAAAAGAATTTCTCTTCAGAAGTTAATCTATTTTCAGCAGCGGTTAAGCGCGGCACCAAGTAAATCAGATTCTAAATGTTCCTTTGGAAAGAAGGAAGAAAAGAAAGGAAAGGAGGAAGGAAGGAGAGCTGGAGGGAAGAAGGAGGGAGGGAGGGAGGGAAGGAGGGAGGGAATAAGAAAAGACATTCCTTAAACCATAAAGTTTGTTTGTTTCAGGATTGGTTCCTCCCCCCCCCCCAAAAAAAAAAAGTCAGGAAGGAGCGGGGTCCCCAGTGCCCGTGTTTCCCCAAACTCGGGAGCCGCAAGCAAGCCTTCTCCTCCCAAGCTGCTCGGCTCCCTGGGGAGATGGCATACATAGGGCGCTGTGTTATGTATTGCAACCAGATGAAAAAATAATAACGGTTTTTAAAATAATAGTGCCCCTTGTCATCCAGAACCAAGATATGCATGCCACAGGGGCTGAAATTGGAACACTTTTTGGAGTGGAAATGCTTGCCTTTTTCTTCCGTGGTGCAAATGTGTGAGCTTTTTGCGCAAGAAAGGGATTTTCTTCTGAGGTTGTCTACACCGCAAGAAGGCATCTGCTAATTTGTCCTAAAGTGAGGGCGATTTCGGGCATTTAAAAAAATATGTTTTTTAAACAAAAGTCATCATTACAGTGCTTCGGGTTAGTGACCATAAAATGGACAGAGGGAAGGGGAGGGAGGAGAGTCTCAGCTCTAGCCGCGCCAGTCATATTTAATATGCTTCCCATAAGAGAAGCTCCTGTAAAAATCAATAGACAGCCGCCAGCTGTGCTTAAACCTGCGATTTCAATTAAAACACTGCGCTCCAGTCCTTGAGGTTGGGCCCGGATCCCCAGTCAGTGGTGTGCGGGTTGCTTGGCCAGGGCGCGGCGTCGCACCGCCGCGGATCCCAGAGGTCGCCGCCCCGGTCAGGCCCCGCAGAGCAGCGGACGCGCCCGGCCTTGGCGCCTTGTTCTTCGGCGTGGGAAGGACACAGGCCGCCGAGGGGCCTCAGGCCTAACTGTGATCGTCTGTTTCCCTACCGCCGCCGGGAGTTTGAGGCCCAACCTAGGGCCAGATGGCGAAGAAGCCAAAGCGTCCGGCTCTAGGCTGAGGCGCTCCAAGTGAAATAGGCCTGGGGCTGAGGCCTCGGGCTAGGGAAGGCGCCAAGGTGGATTCGGGCCCGGCGGCCGTGCGTGACGGGCTGCAACCCACGCCATGGAGCGAATCGGAAGGCCACGGGCCTGGGCGCCCGGGGATTACACAGGGCAACCTAGGACTCCTGCCCTGGAGCGGAGCGCGTTCTGCGGCCTAGTAGGCCTCACTTGGGCCGCCACCGCGTGCCTCCCGGACAGGCGGCTTGCTGGGTCCTCCTCTTGACCCGAAGGCACCAACACCTCCAACGTGGAGCTTGTGTACCAGTTTGGGTTGGGAAAGAGACTGGAACTTACAGAATGTCAGCATAGCCTCAGCCCACTTCTACTGGAAAATCATGCTTTGGGGGACAGACTTCTTGGGGAGGGAGGGATAAGATGACATTATTTTCCATAAATGAATCCACATCCCTGAAACATCTGCTCAGCCCTGGAGCCCCATGTTGCCCTTCATGTCGAGTTATTTTGGATTTTCCTTTACTGAAAATGCGTAGGTGGAAAAAATGTCACCCCAAATCCCACAGAACCCTTCCACCGACTCCCTAAAACTGTGAGATTTTAATTTCTATAGTTGTCCCTCTTTAAAAAAAAAAAAGAAAGAAAAGAAAAGAAAAAAAGAAAGCAGTTCAGCCTCAAAGCAAACAAAAAAAAGATGCTGTATATAAGAATGAATTTGGAGGATTTGGGGACAGCGAACGGAAATCTCAGCACTCCCTCCACCATGCGCCACATTTCCCCAGTCCTCTATTATTCTGCCTGAAATCATCTCGTTTACAGAAAATATTTGTTTGCACTATTAGTTGGTACTGGAGTTAATTACTCAATGTGTTAACGTGAAGTAATATGTATAAAAGTAGGATCAGTGTTTATTGTGTGGGTGAGCTGTTGAGCGGTGCTTGAATAAACTGCAATTAGGGTTAGATAGAGATTAATTAACATGTGAGTGGCAAGGTGTAAAATAGTTTCCAACCCTCCACTTCAATATAATCTGCAGGCGAGGGAAGGAGAAGTTTGTGGAAGCTAATTAAATACTTTCATAAAAGCCAGTGTATTCACCCAACATTTGGAAAGAGAGGCACATTAGGGGCAACTTGTTTTTACCCAAATGTTTTCTTTCTGTGGAGGTAGCACTCCTTTGTGATGCTGGAGAGAGAGCGAGAGATGGCTTATGCAGCCACAAAAAGCGATAGAAATGGCAAGGCAGGTTCATGGGAAGCCCTTGGAAGCCTTTCAGCCTGATGGAGCTTTCAAACCAGCAGATCTTTCGAGCTGCTGCGGAGAGCAACAATTACCCAATTTGGAAAAAGGGTTGGGGTGCAGTACTTGTGGCAAACGGGATCCACAGGAGAGTCGGGATAGAAATTCGGGTCTTGAGATGCTGCAGGTGTATTGATATTGTTTCAATGTTGGGGTGAGTTGGTTTGTTTCATGTTTGGTGGGAGGAGGGAGTAATCTGTGCTGTTGTGTTCACATTAACATAGGGATAGGGGTACCCTGGGTCTGGAATTCTGTCTCTCTGAACATCTTCTAAATTAAATGGGCTATATGGAAATGTTCTTCTCCAGATGAGCAAGCCTCTTGGCTTAGAAATCTGGTAGTTTGGGGAGGGGGTGGGAGGGTGACGTTATGGGAACAGACTTATGATTGCGGAATTTAGGGGCAGTTTCAGAGTTTGGCAGGGTGAGAGCATTAGCCTATTGCAGTCCACCTCCAAGCCACTTTCCCTCAGGGACCTCTCTCTGTTCCCTCTCTTTTCTTTCCAAGTACACTTTTCCTTCCTTTACCTGCTATGTCCAAATCCTGCCTAAAATTGCACCTCAAAGGAGCCGCAACTGGATGGGTGGGCAGAAGGAAAGAGACTTTTATTGAAGGGAAAAAGGGAGCGATTTGCCTGAAGTTAAAACTAGAGCTTTTCTCCCCCGTCCCTTAACGTTCTCCAGGGATGTTTCGCAGCATGGAGGGGCCTAGGACAGGATACTCAGCCCTCTCAAGACTTGTTCCTGGGTGAAGAAACAGAGGGTTTACCTCTACCACCACTTTCTCTGGCTTCACATGATCGTGTGTCTTTGGAGATGGAATTCACTATCAAACCCTGTTTGCTCATATTATATCCACGGTAATCCTCTTAAACTGTGATTGCGGCTACAAAGCTCGTGGTCTTGCAAAAGCTGGCTAGCAAGATATAATTGTCCCGCGAACAAAACCAGCCAAAACTTTTCAAAAAACCCTTGCACCCAGTCCTCCCCCTTTCCTAAACCTAATTCTCTCGCTCGCTCTCTTGCTAGCCACCACCACCCCCCTCCGTAAGAACCCTCAGCCTCGACCACTTTTGTTGTCGCCAAGAGCACCCGGCCTGTTGAAAGTGCTGGAGCGTCTTTGAGCAGTTTGTTGTGATACGCAGGTGGAATGGTCTGCAAACAGATGAATTCAGCCCCTCCAAACCAAGCGCGGAGCGCGCTGCTTTTGTGCGCCAGGCACAAAACGCTGAATTCCTCCGAACTTACTTGGGGCCTGTCTAGAAAAGGGTCTTTTCTTCCCTCTGCTTGTACCTCTGGCCACACTAAGTCTCTGCCCGTCCCCCTTCAGGCCCCCTCCCTCTCCTCTCTGATAATCCTTCTCTTTATTTTAGAAAAACACAAAACCCGGTTCCACGCGGTGCTTTAGTGGCTAAAAGTGAAAGAGCTGCCTTGGCAGAATTCAGCTCTATGAATCACTTCGGAAAATTGGTTCGACTGAATGGCCTTAGGAGGAAAAACGTTTTAATAGGATCCAGGGGGAGGTTCTGCTGTTTCAATCTGCTCCTTAAACAGGTGGAGATGGGACCTTCTCAATTATACAAACAGTAAGTACCCATCAGCTGGGAGAGCTGCCCTCCGAATCCTCCCCGCACGCAGCCCTAAACCAGAAGCAGAACTCGGCTTTGCCTCAGAAACCCGATCATAAATCAACAATTCTGATCTATTAGGATCTCCGAAAGTCTTCCAGCTCTCGGTTTAGTCTCCCCCAGCCTCAGACCCAGAGCTGGCCATAAAGCTGGAGGCGCACCTGCGCGGCGCCGAGGCCCCCGAGATGCCGGCGAGCGGCCTTGCTCTCCGTGACGCTTCGGGGTCGTCCTTAGTCAGTGGGAGCTTTCTCCCGACCTCCGACGCCAGCCAAGGCGAGCTCATTGCTTTTGCATAAATTAATATTTCCCCATTAACAAGTTCCCCCCTCCAAACGCGGCGCCCGCGTCCATGCGCCACATCCTAATGAGGTAATTATCATTTGCGCGTGTTCGGGGCTGGCGCCGGTTCCGTGGGTAAATGGCAGTTTATTAGCACGATGCCCAGCTCGGCTGCGGAGGGCTAAGGGATACTTCGGCTACTAGACTGATACCCAGGGGCCCTTTGGGGGCGCCGCGTCCGGGACCCTCCGCCCTCCCCGCGTCCCCCAAACCTGCAGGCCTCCAAAGTTGTGAATCACGCACGGAACTCTGCCTAGGTTTGGGTTTGGGTCCCCCCCCCCCTTTCCTTCCACCGGCAAAACCATCACGATTCCTCCCCCTCCCCCTCCCGTCTCTTCCCTCTTTCCCTATTCGCAAACCGCTCGCACTTTCCCGAGAGGAGCGCGGGCGCCAGTTGCCTCCTTTTAAAGTTTGAGGGGCGGTGGTGGCGGCGGCCGGCAGGCGCGGGGGAACACAGGGGCCGCTACGGGAGCCGCGCCGCCGCCCATGTCATTCCACTTCAAGTGACTTCATGTGATGTCAGCTGAATGTAAAAGACAGTGATCTCACGCGGAGGGGAAGATGTTTGCCATCAAAATGTGACAGAAGAGACACGCTGCATGGCTCGGAACGCATCTCCTTGGTGGTGGGGGAAAGAGGTAAATGCGAGGTGGCTCTCCGGTCCTCTTTAACTTTGCCCCTTCACTGTCCAGCTCCCAGCACGCGTGGCAGAGGCCCGGGTCCAGGGAAGGGCTCAGGGGGGTTAATTTGAGACTCTTTTCTCACCGCCCCCCCCCTTTTCTTTTGTAAACCCTCCCCCTTCTTCCCCCTTTCAAAGTCCCAGGGCAGGGGCTGGTGGGTTCCTTTGCGCGCCGGGTTAATGGGCGGTAATTTGGTACCCTTGGGTGCACTTTGTTTTGCCCCTGTTCATTTGAATGCAAATGGGTGACCCGGGCCCGACTAGGTGCTTATTAAATTGCAGTTTTCCCCCCTGCCTTTTCCGGAATGCAGACTTAGAGGAGAGAGGCTGCGCCCTGGCCCAGCCTGGCTCGGCTCAGCTCCGCGCGCCATGGCAAGCTCGGCTTCCCTGGAGACCATGGTGCCCCCGGCCTGCCCGCGCGCCGGAGCGTCGCCGGCCACTTCCAAGACACTGGCCTTTTCCATCGAGCGCATCATGGCCAAGACGTCGGAGCCCCGTGCGCCCTTTGAGCCCCGGCCTGGAGCGCTAGAGGCGGACGGCAGCCAGGGCAAGAAACTGCTCAACCTCTGCTCGCCGCTGCCCTGTATGATCCCCCTCCAGCCCCTAGGCTACGAGGTGCCGTCAAAGACACTGCTCAGTTACTCGGAGCTCTGGAAAAGCAGCCTCCGGGCGGGCGGCGGCGGAGGCGGCGGCGGCGGTGGCGGCGGCGGCGGCGGGGGGGCCCCAGTGTGCGGCGCCAGCGGCTTGTGCAAAACCAACTGTGGCGTGTGCTGCAAGGCCGAGCTGGGCCTGGCGCCGTCCGCGCTGCCCGCGGGCAGGGTCATCAAGCCGCAGGTCATCAACCAGGCTGTGGGGCTGCCGGCCAGCGGCTCGCTCTACTACTTCAACTACCTGGACTCGACCGCGTACCCGCCGTCTGAGCTCCTCAGCGGCCACCTCTTCCCGTCTGGCCTCCTCAATGCGCAGGCCCCCGCCGCCCTGGCTGCTCACCCCAAGCTCTTTCTGCTGGAGAACGCCAAGCTGGCCGGCCTGGCTGCGGACAAGTTCCCCCACCCGGCTCCCTATCCCCATAAGGAGCGCTTGCCGGCGCCGCTGGAGCAGGTACTGAAGGAAAACTCGGCCCTGACTGCCGAGCGCGGAGGCGTCAAGGGCCACAGCAAGCTGCCAGGAGGCTCCGCAGATGGCAAGCCCAAAAACTTCACCTGCGAGGTGTGCGGCAAGGTGAGGCCCAGGGTTCGGCGAGGGGGGCCGGGAGGGGCGATCGGCGGCGGCGGCTTCCTTGGGGCAGCCTGGAATGCCCCTTTTTCAAGCTGAGGAGCTCCCCAGTAGTTGACTACCCAAACTGGGAGCCTCGTTGGGCCTCAGTTTCCTATTCTGTAAAATGGGGATGCCCTTGTCAGCGGCCACACAGTATTGGTGTAAGCAGGAGTTTGGGCAGCACTTTACAAACTGAAAAAGGCTCTGGTTTCTGAAGGGGGTGTTGGTTGGGGGAGGTAGGCTGTGGCCCCCCCGGGGCTGATTGTAGGCCCTCGGACAGACGCACCACAAGGCCCCCCATGTCTTTCCATAGGTGTTTAACGCTCACTATAATCTCACCCGCCACATGCCGGTCCACACCGGAGCCAGACCGTTCGTGTGCAAAGTCTGCGGCAAAGGCTTTCGCCAGGCCAGCACGCTCTGCAGGCACAAAATTATCCACACCCAGGTACGTGGCCCCCGGGTCGGGCCTAGCCCGCGCGCAACCCCCAGAATCTTAGTGATAACACCGGGGATACGATGGCCAAAGATTATCCCTTACCCTCTAGGGTTGAGTGGGGGTGGGGGGGATGTCCCTTCCAGGTGTTCCCGAGGTGGCCTCTCCTTACTGTGCACTCGCCCCTTTCCTCAGGAAAAGCCACATAAATGCAACCAGTGCGGCAAAGCGTTCAACCGCAGCTCCACGCTCAACACGCATATCCGCATCCACGCGGGCTACAAGCCCTTCGTCTGCGAATTTTGCGGCAAAGGCTTTCACCAAAAAGGTAACGTGCCAGGCGAGGCCTTCTCTTCTCACCTCACCTCAGGACTCGGGTCGCGGCTGGCTGGCAGGAAGGCAAAGAGGGATCTGGAGAGAGAAGGCGAAATCTGCAGGCGCGGGCGCAGCATTTCTTTAGAATCGGGTTGTGCCTGGTGTAGGGGGAAGCTCTCCTAGCGGGGTTAGTAGACCACGCTGTATGCAGGCTGGGTGCACTGAGAGACTCCGAATTCGAGAGGTCGAAGGAAGCACGGGGACAGAAGGAAAGGATGTAGGAAAAGGAGAGGGTATTGCCCTATAGAAAAAGGTTCCTTTTGTATCCGGAACTTCCCTTTCAAATGAAAAATATTGGAGGCAAAATAACCCTCCCGGGAACAATCTAAGATTGGGGGAAACCGGTATGATCCTTGGCCCCTGGATCGGATTTTCCAAGGCACTTTTGGATCTTCAGTTGGTAGTTGGGGGGCGAGAAAGAAGTAACTTTAAAAATGAGAAGGGGGAAAAGAAAAAGGATGAAGCCCGGGTTCGTGCGAATTTCTTCTAGCGAGGCATCAGCCAGGAGAAGGACTCGGTGCGTCTCTGGGCTACGCAAAAGTTTCCCGGCCCGCGGAGCGCGGCGGGAGGGAAGCTGCACCAGCCTCTGTGGCGGGCAGAGCAGGAGCGCAGAGCGGCTCCGCGGGACTCAGTCTCGGTCTTGTCGGGAGAGCACCCGGCTTGACGCTTACGAAGTTTGACAACTTCTTCACTCGAAGAGGTCGCGCCCGCCTAGCCAAGCGTCGCCTTTTTTGAGCAGGCACCTGGGCTGCCCCTGGGACGCCCGCCTCTTCCTCCCCACCATTCTACTCCATACCCCCACGTTTTTTGTTCTTGATCTGTTGTAGGGAACTACAAGAACCACAAGCTGACCCACAGCGGCGAGAAGCAGTACAAATGTACCATCTGCAACAAGGCCTTCCACCAGGTCTACAACCTAACCTTCCATATGCACACCCACAACGACAAGAAGCCTTTCACGTGCGCCACTTGCGGCAAAGGGTTTTGCAGAAACTTTGACTTAAAGAAACATGTGCGCAAACTCCACGACAGCGTGGGCCCTGCTGCCCCCTCCGCAAAGGACCTGACTAGGACAGTGCAGAGCTGAGAGCTACTGCCTTGCCCTTCCTTCCCTCCCTGTACCACCTGAAAACAGATCACACATATAAACTTATTTCTAAAATTAAAAGAAAAAAAAACTATAGCAGAGAGGCTAAAATCTATTTATCGAAACCAGCATATTTTTGGAAAGCTAAATGTTTCCTCGATGACTGGCAGCAAACTCGTGGCCCCCACCTTTGTATATTCAGGAAACTTATTTAAATCCAGTGCGCCGAAACGTATTTAATTCCAGGCCTCCGCTTCTCCTGGGGCAGCCAGTTTTAACCCCAGCCTGTCACCGTGAGCGCCCCAGAAGAGCGCGGCGCCCCTAGCCATCTTTATACAGCCATGTAAATCCTCCTGTACAAGCGAACACGGAATATATACATATATAACTCAATAAACAGAATCATTAGTGCGCGTTTTTTTCCCCCTCTCCCCTCGCGGCGAGGTCAGCTCAGCAACCCCAAAGAACGAGAAGGAATTAGGCGTTTATAGCATTTCCTTCCTAAATGCACCAATTTTGGGACGCTGGGGCCAGGGTTGAGGCCAAACCGGTGTTCTTGCTGGGCTTGTGTGCTAAGGCCCCCAGGAGTGAGGGCGAGCAGGCCTACGTCGGCCTACAGCAGGTGCCAAGTTTTTATTTGGTGACTGTTCAGACGCTTGGGATTCTGGGTGTTGCCTTATTTGGGTAAGCAAATTCAAAGAAAAGGGTTAAAAGCGACTGGGTGTTGGGGAGCAGCTTTTGGGAGCGTCCTTGAGCAAAGCGCCACGCCCCGCGAGGGTAAGCGATCTACGCCCTACCCCACCGGAGAGCTTCTGGGCGCGTCCCCTTCTCCGGGAGACCTAAGGAGGGCAACCACCGCTCCCAATCTCCCTTGGCGGCGAGAACTGGAGGGTAAGGGTCCCCCAGGCCAGCCAGAGCCTCGGGGCTCACTGGCCTGCGCTCTCGGTCTGGGGCTGGCCTCCCGGTGCCCTGAGCCCTGCCGCCGGAGGGCGCGCCCGGGCTCCCCGAGCTCGCTGCCGCCGCCGCCGCCGCCTCCTGGGTCCTGATTACCGCTCCGTTAGCCCATTTCCTGAATAGCTATCTCTGCTGCCGAGCACGCTGATGAAATGATCTCACGCTTGCTTTCTAAGTAATGACCCAAATTAAGAGAGAAAACAGAGACCCTTCAAACAGCATTACATTAATCATCTAATCATTCCCAGGAGGGGGCCGGCCGCCGCCGCCCCGTTTGATCCGAATCTGGATAATCAAGAGCTCGGATTACTGGCGCGTCGCTCCGGGCCTCCCCCCACACACACTTTTAATATCCGCGCGGCGATTCAGCCCACGTCTCTTGGAACAATGTTCCCCAGCGCCAGGAGGAAGTGCGGCGCGGGGCCCGGGAGTGCGCTTCCACGCAACCTCCCCATTGAGGGGGCGAGTGTGGCTGGGAGCTGACCCCACGCGTATTTCCACGGCGGGAGGCGACTATTTGAAGGGAAAGATGCTTAACGCAAAGGGCACCCCCTCACTCCGCCAAGTAACTCAGAAAGTGACTGGAGTGCGGGTTTGCCCAACACCTGGTATACAGTAGGCGCTCAGTGCTGAGAGTGCCAGTGGTTTCCACTAGCGAAAACCCTGTCATCTCCCGAGGGCTTGCTCTATGCCAGGAACTTAACACACATCCTCTCGAACGGTGACTACAACCCTCAAGCTGGGCATGATTATTCCCACTCTACAGACGGAGAAATAGAGGCAGAGATGAACTATGTGACATGCCTGGGGTCACCAGGCTTGGTAGAGCAGGAATTCGAACTCCGGGGGTTTTAGGAGGCCTGCGCTTCAGTGGAGGAAGAATCTCGGGGTTGGGGCTCGGAGAAAGACGCTCTGGGGCAGGATGGAGGTTGTGTCCTGGTCAGCCAACGGTTCTGTCCCCGCCCGCCGCCCAATTCGCAGACCCATTGCGCGGGGAAGGAGAATTGTCGATTTTGTTTGCACAGAGGACGGCGACAGCTTCCTCAGGCTGTCGCGGGGGTATTTTTAGTACCTCCGATTCAGAAATAGGAACGCGTACATTAGAATTCCATTTCCTGAAAGGAGAGCGTCCTCGTTTTTTTGTATTCCTCCCCTCCTCCCCTCAAGTCTAGGAAGACGCAGCCAGGGGAGGGGGGAAGAGGAAGCGAGGGGGAATTTAAATGTTAGCTCGTTCTGGCTGCAGTTCGCTTAGGGGAGATTGGGACCCAGAGGAATATGCAGATTTAACTCCGAAATCTCGGTGGATGCCACAAACCCCAGGAAACCCCAGGATGGGCGAGGAGGACTTGGCGGCTAAGGATATGAAAATATCGCCTTGCTTTTCCCAGACATCTATCCCCAGGGAGACTGCAGGCCGGTTTAAGGAGTCAGCTCCCTTTCCTTGTCCTCATATAGTACAATAGTGTCTTATTAGCGCTCTCCCCCCATTACGTCTGGGAGATCTTGGGTGTTCTATGACAGTGCCCTATGACAGCCATCTCAACCAAAATCTTTTCCTTCCTCTGGAGAGGATCCTTTGCAAATGTGGTTCTTGAAGACCAGACAATGACCAGGGCAAGCCCACCTTTTTCTTAAATAGCTCCAAAACTTTGGGTGAGGGACAGATACCACAAAATTTAATGCAAGGTCTCCTCTTTTAAAAGTTATGGGAAAAGTTGGCCTGCACGTGGAAATCAGGGTCAAGTTCTCTTTAAGAAGGAGAGATAAATAAAAGAGAGAACGCCTTCCCCACCACTGCCCAGGGAAATAACTCCCTAACCATCAAGTGAGAGAACATTCTTTGAGAAAGTCTGTAATAAGTTTTCACGGAGAGAGACTCCTAGGGTCCCCCATCTCATAAAACTGGAGAAATTTGCTTCCAGGCTTAAAATTCTGAAGAGGGATGGGGGCGTGCTTGCTTGCAAACTAGGCAGCAAATAATATAAAACTCATGCGTAGAGGTGGAGGCATTTCTCTCATGGACTGCTCATCTCTGCAGTGGTGGGGGGAGGAACATTAACTGTAGCTCAGGGGTATAACTGAGTAGAGTTTCTTGCACACTTCAACATCCTTGAGGTTGTTTCCTCATAACTTGATTGTTACTTAACCTTCACACCAGCTTCTGTCAATCGCTCTCACCTGAGAAGGTGTTATTTCACATCTGGTGCTAATTGTAGATAAACAGAGTTCTCTGTATCTATAGGGCTTAGTTCTACTTTCCACAAGTTTGAAGTCACTCCCAGGTTTAAGATGTCGGCTTCCTTCAGGTGTGGGATTCAGGAAAGGATTCCTTCACCTGAAAAGTAGTGTGAGGAGAAAATGAACCTTCTGCCTGAATTACAAAACACCTTTCACAGCCAGCACATGTTCTAAAGCCAACACTAAGCCCTTTCAGTAACCATCTTAGCTATTCATCCTTCTTAGTTACTCACCATGCATCGGAATTGATGGGTGAAAGGCTCTGTTTTCTGATTTTTCTCTCTCTTAATATTAAACTGTTTGCATGACTTGTAGTTTATAATATTAATAAATGACTTAAACAAGGTAGTCATCAGCTACATATTAATATTCTAACCTTGATTAAATTGAAGAGGCTGCCCTTAAAAAATATTTTTAAGAAATCAAATTGCGGGGGAGGGGAATCCTGTCACAGACACAAAAAAGACTCCAATTATCTTTTCCCCTACAAGATGTTTGTTCTGTCCATGACTGCTCACACTTCAGCAATCTTGCCAGCAAGACTCAAAAAAAAAAAAAAAAAAAAACCTTCTTCCAAAGCCACAGCCTCGTACATAACAGATTGTACAGTCCTATTGCCTTAGGCGGGTTAGAGGTTCCTCTCTGCAAAGAGTGACACAGAAAAGTTGCCAACATCCCAGACACATTTTGGGGAGCACTGTGCTCATTCTTGCCTTAGCCGCAGAAGTGGGTCTAGATGGTCCCCATTTTGCTGTTTGGCTCACAAGTGAGTAGGGGGCTGCCTGAGCCAGGTCCAAGAGTTAAAGCAGTAAGGCGTCCAGGTGTGCTGGTGGTGAGTGGGCCGGGGGAGGGAAAGAGGTGATAAGAGGAAGGGTGGGGGGGCTGCCAAAGAGAGGACAGGAGTCTTGAGAAAACGCTGGGAAATAAACAACCTCAAGGCAGCTGCGTTGCCCTTTTCCCTGCACTTCCCTCTCAAACGTCTGAGCAACCAGTTTGCTCCTAGAAACATGTTAATTGCCAACGGAGCTCATTAAGGCATGCACATGCAAAACACAGCAAGAAAGATTAAATGGACAAAAGCGCAATAATGAACTGTCAACAATCGGGCCCATCTACGCGACCAGGATCACTCAAGAATGAGGCATTTAGAGGCAACAAAGGATTGTCTGGGACAGGAAGAAAAGACGACCTAGACTTTTGTTTAGTCAACACAATTGATTACAAATGAGAGATTAACAGGATAGCTTCAGATTTTTTTTAAAAGAGGCAGAAAAGAAAAGTCCAATTAAGTCCACCGAATGTTAACTACATTGCGTTCTATGCCTAGCCCCAAAGAAATTCTCATTAAACCATCCCTGGCGATCCCTTTTGGAAAGTAATTTGTCTCCCTGATGGAGCAGAGAAAGAGAATCGTGTAAAAGAAAGCGTTAGTTCTTGGCACAATGAGCTTAGGAGACACACTAGAAAGAGCCAAAGGGGGAGTTAATGAGCATCTGACAAACTGCTTGGATTCAGGCCTAGAGAACAGCGATGAAAAGATGAAATTGGCCAACAACTATTCTTTATATCAAACATAAAAAGGCCAATCTGAAATGGGGCTGCTCAAAACTGGTTGAAAGTACATAGCCCAAGAAAAGGGAACCATGGCCAGGCCCCTTGGTGGACAGTGGACAGATAGTGTGAAGAACTCAACAGGCCAAGAGTTAGGAAATAAGCAGAAGGGTGGACTGACTCTCCGTGGCAGAGCAAACTCCAGCCACCAGCCCCAGGCCTTTGGAGGTGCTGATTTGAAGCTCTTGGTGCCCATCCCCCACCCTCTGGATGTTTCTTTCATGAGTGAAAAATGAATGTATCAGGCTAGCATTCGAGGGTTCCCCAAAAGTTCTGATAATTTGGTAATTAGCTGCTGGCAATCAGCAAGCCACCCCCCTCTCTTCTAGACCCATAGGCCTCCCAAGGGCACCATATGTTACCAGCTCACATTCAGTTTTTCTACCCTCCTTTGTCCTAGTGACCATTCAAAACCTTCACCCTTAGGTGATTGCCTTCCTAATTCTGCACGGAGCAGAGATGGCAAGGAAATGAAGACATTGATCCTGCCACGGCTTTGTGGAATAGGTCATGAAGCATTCAAATTATTATAGTTGTTCCTCTGGCTTTAAGAAACTACCTCATTTTAATGTTTCCTTTTTTGAACAAAGTAGGTCAACAGTATATGTCTATATGAGATACATATTACATTTTAATTAAACATAAACGTCCAGGCATCCCAACAGCAGAAGTGTTAGAGAGGTTCTTTTACACTTGGTGTTCAGCAGAGCCAGGTAAACAGAAGCTAGAGGTGTGACAGGATTTTTAAGTTTAGTCCATTAGTTAAGCAACCCAGAACAAATTCTCTGGTTTCTTAATGCCTTGTTGATTCCATCATTGAGGTGGATGGGTGCCATCTCAGATACTAGAGTGCAGCATTTAAATCTTGATTCTAGGTTTTGTATTCTTACTCTCAAATCCTTGGTAACAGCTATCACATTTCTGAGGGCTTGGCTTGCACTTCCAGACTTTGCTCATGCTTCATGGAAAAAAATGTATTAGTGTCTAGAAGTTAGAAAGGAGGAAGAAGAAGTATACCAAATTCAAAATAAAAACAGTCATCTAAGATTAGAGACTAGCTCTGGTTTTCAAAGCACAGAAGTGTTACAGAATCAAGAAGGTGTGTTTCAGGAAAGGGAGGTGAAAATGAGACTTTTCTACTGCAGAGAGACCAGAATCTGATACAGTTAATTCTTCACCAAGGCATCCTGTTAAAGCTACATGGCCCAACATGACTGTCATTGTTTCTCTCCTTTCTTCAGTGTTTTTCAGTCCTAGGTCTTATTTGGAGTTATTTTGCCTCAGAAAGTTTCAATGGTGTCCCCAGAGTTTCCAAATGTCCTCACTTTGCCACTGAAGTGGCTGGTGCTTAATTGCCTAAGGAAGGATGGCATGTTATCTCTAAGAAGAAAGGGTGAGTGGCTAGGAGCCTGGAGTCTGGCATAAGAGCAAGCTGAGTTCAAATCTTGTCTCAGCCACTTGCCAGAAAACAACTTTTATCTCTGTGTCTTCATCTGCAAAATGGAAATATTAAGGATACCTATCTCTCAGGGTTGTTGTGAGAGTTAAATGAGTTAACACATACAATTAGAACTGTAGAACAACAACTGGCGTGTATATACTAAGCATTCCAGAGTCCATTATTATTAGAAAAACTCAAGTATTAAAACTTTTATACAACGCTTTATAAAGAAACTACCAGTGTTATCTTGTTGACTCCTCATTACTTTTTTTTTTTTTTTTTTTTTTTTGAGACAGTGTCTTGTCTTGCTCTGTCATCCGGGCTGGAATGTGGTTGCTTGATCATAGCTCACTGCAGCCAAGTGATCCTCCCACCTCAACTTCCTGAGTAGCTGGGACCACAGGCATGTGCCGGCGTGTGCCACCATGCGCCACCATGTGCCACCATGCTCAGCTAATTTTGTAAATGTTTGTAGTGTCTTGCTACATTGCCCAGGCTGGACTTGAACTCCTGGGTTCAGGCAATCCTCCCTCCTCAGCCTCCCAACGTGTTGGGATTAAAGGCGTGAGCCACTGCACCCGGCTTACTACGTATTTATGAGGTAGTTTTCTTAGCCCTATTTTAAAAGGGAGCAAACTGAGTTGCTGAGAGGGTATGACTCCCTTTAGTTCACATAACTGACACACAATAAAGCTGGGACTCACCCTCAGTTGATTGTCTGATAGTGGTGCCACGGTACTAACAGGAATGTACATAAGAATCACATAAACATTTTGCTAAAAATGGAGATTTCTGGACCCCATGAAACTTAGCATTTCATGAGATGCCAAGTCAACAGATCTGGTTTATGGCCCAGGAATCTGCATCTGATCTGATGCAGGTGGTTCCCCAAACTATACTTTGAAAAACACTGATTTGGCACATGTGTTCTTTCCACTTCACCATGGTGCTGCCTTTGAAAGAAAGACGTAAGATGAAATACCATCAGCTCTTCTTAAATTCATACATTTGACATTCACTCAACAAATATGGCTTGAACATCTCTTATGTGTCAGGCAGTCTATTGGGTGCTGAATTTACAAAGAAGAAGAGGAGAGGCCGGGCACTGTGGCTAACGCCTGTAATCCCAGCACTTTGGGAGATCGAGGCGGGCGGATCCTGAGGTCAGGAGATCGAGACCATCCTGGCTAACACGGTGAAACCCCGTCTCTATTAAAAATACAAAAAATCAGCCGGACGTGGTGGCAGGTGCCTGTAGTCCCAGCTACTAGGGAGGCTGAGGCAGGAGAATGGCGTGAGCCCGGGAGGCGGAGCTTGCAGTGAGCCGAGATTGCGCCACTGCACTCCAGCCTGGGTGAAGAGCAAGACTATGTCTCAAAAAAAAAAAAAAAAAAAAATATATATATATATATATATACACACACACATATATATATACACATATATATAGATACACACACACACACATATATATATACATATATATATATATACAGAGAGAGAGAGAGAGAGAGGACATAGCCTCTGCCCTGGAGGGGTTTATAGTTTAGTGGAGGAGAAAAACACATACAACAAAAATCCCCATACAGTGCGTGGTTAAGAAGATGAAATTGGGCATTCAATCTAGTCTGGGTTGGTGTGTGTAGTGGACATCTGTTATTTTTGCCTGCTATAATCATTCTCCCGTCTGGTAATAGCACCCAGTATTTCCTTTGGAAAAACCACCCCTCCCCCATTCTCAGTCCACACGGTTAAGGTGGAAGCTATTCCAGCCCTCCGCATGGGCATGTGATCCAGGCCTGGCCAATCAGAGTGCAGCACCTTCCTGGTCACAGCCAATGGCTCAGAACTGTGCACCTGACCCAAATAGGGCCAATGAGAGTTCTACTCAGGACTTTGCCAGAGCAGAAGTCTTTCTTCTGGGTTGATAAATAGGTTACAGTTAGATGTTAGTCTGGGGATCTGGTGTGCTACAATGTTAGGAAAGACCTTCCTGTGCTGAGAATGTTAGAGGTAGAGCATGAGAAAAGTTGAGACCTGGCCCTTGACCTCGTTGGATCCTGGTATCACTGAAGCCAAATGCACATGTGGACTTATGTATTTGCTTAAATGCAGTCTCTCTGCTCTAACCCTAAGATTCCTGAATGATACTGGGCAGAAGACAGGGAAGTCTAAGATACTCCTCTTGAGGAAGTGATGCTTACGTTGAGATTTCAAAGAGCAGCAAGTGTTCGCTATGGAAGAAAGGAGGAAGAGATATCTCTGAAAACTTAAGTGAAAACACAGAGGCAAAAAAAAAAAAAAAAGACAGGAAGTTGATGGCAACTATATGTGGTTTGACATGGCTGGATTTAGTATTAACAGATCTGACTCTGAAACCTTGCTCTGCTGCTGAGCAGCTGTGGGACACTGGGCTAGAGGTTTGCCCTCTTTAAGCCTCAGGTCCCTCATCTGCAAAATGAGCACAATAACATCTACTGCACAGGACTGTTATGATGATCTAATGCAATAGGACAAGTCTAACACCTGATCCATTGCCAGCATTTAGGTAAGTGACCGCAATTATTATTGCTGGAAGGTGAGGGACCTTACGAGGTAGTGACTGGACAGCATTCTAAATTTCCTGAATAATCCAATGGATTTGACTTCTGGAGCTAGAGATATCTTAGGGCAGAGAGAACAGTTGCTGAGGCCTGACTGTTTCTGAGTGAAGCAGTAGGAGGTAGATGAAACATCATGGGCTTTCGAGTCACATAAGTCAGCTGATTTCAACACTTACCAGCTGCATGACCGTAGGTGATTCCGCTTAACATTCAGAGACCCAGTAGTCTCATCTTTGAAATCTTTAATATTGATAGGGTAGTTTTTAGAAAGATTTTTTTCCAGATATTTCATTTTGTTTTAGATTTGGGGGGTACATGTGCTTGTGTGTTACGTGGGTATATTGCATACTGGTCTGGTAGGATGGGCTTCTAGTATACCTATTACCCAAATAGTGAATGTTGTACCTGATAGGCAATTTTTCGATTCTTGCTCGTCTCCCATCCTCCCACTTTTTGGAGTCCCCAGTGTCTTGTTAGAAGGATTTAAATGACATAAAATGTGCAAAGTACATGGCACATAGATGTTGAATAAATTATAGCTATTTACTCTTATGATTAATTACTACTGCTAATGTTATTACCACTCTAATCTTGGGATACTTGCTTGGCAGAGCAAATAGACTACAGTGTTCTTTAGCAAATAAAATGCTATAAGAACTATAAGGGCAGGAACTATGTCTGCTTTGTTGGCTATGTTGTGTCCTATGCTTGGCATTTAGTGGGTACATTAAATTTAAGAGGTGGATATCAGCTTCCACTCCTCCCCATGGGTGGGAAGGTTACCAAACCCAGTATTATGAATAGCCATGTTGCACTCCATTCTGTAGCACTTTAGTCATAAAACAAATATTTATTGAAGGCTTGGTCTGTGCTGGGCATTGCAGTAGGGACACAACTCTAAAGAAGACAGATTGACCTTGTGGAGCTCACATCCTAATGGTGGGAGACACATGATAAACATGCCAAATAACAAGAAGTAATTTCAGATGATGGTAAACACTAGGAAGGAAATAAAAGAGAGTGACCAGATAGGACATATCTAGGAGAAGGCTACTTTAAATAGGTGGCCGATACCAGTTTTGGTGCAATTTAAGTCCCTGATGCACCCAGGAACTAAGAGAAGCGTCAATACAACTCCAGTTGGCCCCTCAGATTAATCCACTTGGATTTAATAAAAAAGCCTCCCTTCCCCCAGAGCTCCAAATTGCCCATTGGTTGATCCAGCTCAAATCTGCTTTAGGACTCAGAAAAGGAGTTTTTGAGGGTATGCCACAGAAAACAAAGAACATTCCTGGCCAGTGGGTGGAGTAGGCCATTGACCCATATACCATTTTCCCACTGAATGGAATGGTAATTGATCAAAGTAAAAAAATTTATAGAAAGAGATACTGCTGCCATGTTTTTAAACCGTGCATTTCCCAGCCAAGTCTCCAGATGGAATCACCGAAGCAACACATCCTTGACTTAAATGTGACTGTTTAACAGTTATATTGGGTAGGCCATATTTTTCCACAAGGAGGTGGTTGCTTGTCTTAGGAACTTGAGACTCTTAACAGACTTTTGGGTGAGAGCTTTCCAGGATACCACTCTTTCTCTCACACTTCCTGAAGTCACAGAAGTCGGAGACCTAGCTGTAGTGTCAGGAGAAGGGAACGACAGAGTGAACTGTTACACAAGCTCATAGAATGATGAGGTTTGTAGGATGTCTTAGTGCCAATGACTGTCACTAATGAACAATTCCTAAACACAAGGATGATTTATTGTTTGTTTTTGCCTGAGCAGCATCCACTTTCCCTTCTTCTGGTTATCAGCATTCTAATTTGCTTTGGGATAGCTGCCCTTCTTCACTGAACACAGATCACTGGAACTGTTGTGAAGCAATCTGTCCTTCCCCCCATGCCATATCCACTGGCCAAGGAACAGACATGGGACCCAAGCTAGGTCATACAGGTGCTTTCTCTGTTGACCCTTGAGCAGAGGGATAAGACTATAAATAACTGATGCTCATTCATTCCAAGGAGACTGTGAATCAATTTATTTTAAGAAGACTGTGGACCTGTTAGTTACACACCCTGAGTTGCTCTAATTTTTGCCTTTCCAAATCTGGCATTACAACCTTTGTTTTGTTTTATTAGCTGCGCAATAACATTCCAGTGAATTCCTTTTTCACATAAATTGGTCAGTGTTGTCCACTATGGCTTGCCACCAAAGATGCAGATGAGTATAGTCAGCTTCCTTCCATGACCCGCCTTCTCTTTGTAGTCCTGGAACCAGGACACCTCACAGTCAAGATTGGATTTCCCTTTCCAGGATTTTTACTGTCTACCTGAATCCCTCCTTATACTCCTGAGGGTCCTTCAGGCAGCGTGGCTTTTACACATTCAGTGCTCTGCTTTGCTTCTTGAAAAAAAAATTTGGAGGAAGAAAACACTATCCACACCCCATATTTATATTCAGAATAAAAATGTCTTTAGGGTAAGAAGGGCTGACACTGGTCAAACAGCTTAGGAAAGAGAGAAGTTAAAAATATAGCACAACAATAATGGGAGTTAGGATTGTTTTGCTTAGAAAGAGTTCTTAGGAAATAACTTTTTTTTTTTTCTCCCCCCAGCACTCCCATGATGTAGGAACAAGTTGCTAAATGTAGTCTACTAAAAAAGAGAGCATCTCGACCCAGACTTTAGAAAGATAGTTGCCTGAGGCCGGGCGTGGTGTCTCACGCCTGTAATCCCAGCACTTTGGGAGGCCGAGACGGGCGGATCACGAGGTCAGGAGATCAAGACCACCCTGGCTAACACGGTGAAATCCCGTCTCTGCTAAAAATACAAAAAATTAGCCGGGCATGGAGGTGCGCACCTGTAGTCCCAGCTACTCAGGAGGCTGAGGCAGGAGAATGGCATGAACCCAGGAGGTGGAGCTTGCAGTGAGCCGAGATTGCGCCACTGCACTCCAGCCTGTGGGACAGAGCAAGATTGTGTCTCAAAAAAAAAAAAAAAAGAAAGAAAGAAAGAAAGATAGTTGCCTGAGGCCAAGCAGTGAGATGGGAGGAAGGCTAGCTTCCAGAGTCTGAGTTTAGAAGTCTTTGCTTTGTTAACTGAACACAGATCCTACAACCTTGTACATTTGGGGAAGAAGTTTTCTGTATCTATCCTTTGTTCTTTTCCAAAAGTGAGTACATATTTCAATAAGGTTGTCCCATATATTTAATAAGATTCCATATATTCAAATAAAGATGCCGTATATTCAATAAAGTTATTAGTATAAATAGAAAACAAGGTTACAAATAAGAGAAAAATACGGTAGCTACAGAGATTACTGAAAGAGAAGCCTGGTTCAATAGACATTGAGTCTCCTAAGGCCTAAGATGAACAAGGAAAGGACAATGGATTATATCGTACTGTTGATCTTTAAGAGACATCAGAAAACAAACACAACTTCCTTGATCAGATTTTCTTTCAAGTTACCTCTTCAACCTTAAATGTTGTGAAGTATGTGTTCATAAGCTCTCGTATAGGCTCATAAGTCTTAACCTATAAGATCAAGTTCTCATAGGCTAGCACCAGTTGTGTTGCCTAATAACAACTAGAAGCTGCCAGACAACTTCAGTCATGACACAGTTTGTGGAAAAAGAAATGAAGGAAATCAAAGCTCTCTGATTATTGTGACTGATTCATAAAAATGCATGACTTTTAGTAAAATTGCCCTCTTGGCCAAAATTTTCTCTCACATAAATTTCTCATATCTTATACATCTATAATCAAATTTGCAGGGTTTCTCTGGGGATGAAGGCAGAGCAGAGTTGGAGGTTCTGCCTGAGCCAGCGTAAACATGGGATTTAAGCTGTAGGTCTAGGATTAATTTGAAGAAGACGCACAAGGTCTCTACGGTTTTCTCTCAAATCTATAAAATTGACATAAGTCAACTATCTACTGCATAGGAATATTGTGTTGTAAAAGAACGTACTGATGTTTGCAATTGCATCCCTCGGGGGTGCTTTGTAGAACTCACAAGTGGCTGCTCTAAGCTTAAAGTACTCATCACATCACTTCTGGTTAGATCAAGGGAAATGAATGGCTTTGGAAGTCAGTGTTATATATTCTGTCCTCTGGGAAAATAAATGCCAAAGTGTCTGCTAGAAAAAAGAGATTTGGGAGTTTTCAGTTTTCCCTATGAGCCCTTTAATGGGGGCTGATTTCCTCCTTAGTTTGTTTCCCACCCCTAGTGTTTTGAGGTGAGCCCAAGGAGTGAAAATCCTTCTCCCTCCTCTACCTCACTTTTCCTGTGGCTGGCTGGCTACCTCTCCTCCTCGGAGTATAGGGTACTAAGAAGAGCTTTTCCTGAAAAGGAGGGAGTTAAATAATACTAATTGTAGTAACACTTGGGATAGTTTATCTTACAAAGAGGCTTACTTTAGAAAGAGCCTTTGTCTCCCCTTACTTCACATCATTTTCCTAGATTTCCTTTCTTCTTCCTCCATCCTTCTCCTTACTCATTCCACATTTCTTTCATTCTTTTCCTTCACAGTACTTATCACAAGTCATATATTTCCTTATTCCTTTGTTTGCTTCCCAAGTACATTGGAAGTACCACAGGGCAGGGGCTTGTTGTCAGCAGTGTATTTCCAATGCCAAGCTCATGCCTGGCACCTTGTAGGCACTTAACAAATCTAGGCTGGAGGTACAAATAAAGTGATGTGTTGAAAATGATTTGCAAGGTTCAGATGGTGGCTGTCACTGGCTCTGTGCTTTCACTCAAGCTGGGGAGTAGAAACTCAAATCAACAGAACTCATATTCTATCATAACTATCACTTATTTGGCACTTGCAATACATGAGGAGTTTTATGAACATTATTTCTAATTCTCCCACACCTGCAAGGCACATGTCATCATTTCAGGTGGGGGAAAACAGAGGCTCTCAAAGTGTCAGTTTAGCCACAGCTGTTACTGGCTGAGTAGGCATTTGAAGACAACTCCGACCCACCCCCATGATGTTGTCTTCTCATAATGTCGTCTTCCCTTCTGAACATGGCCAGATTCAATGCATCCACAACAAATAGTTCAACACTACTCCCTTCCAAATGCCCCATGCCAGCTGTTTTTCTTCAAAACTTACTGTTTTTTAAAATCTATAGTTCTCTTATGATGTCTGACATTTTGTCTACCTTAGGTCATCAGTTTCATATTCAGGTCCCTTTACTATCCTGGTCGAGCTCCAGCTTATAGCTACAGTCTCATCCTATCTTCCTCTCTCTCTCTGCATGTTTTGTGGACCAGCTGTACTGGTTTCTTTCTCTCCTTGTAACAAGCCACATCCTTTTGTTTCCTGGGGCCCTTGAACATGCAGTTCCGTCCCTTTGATATACTTCTCCCCAACTTTATATTTAGCTAGAGCTAGCTCCTCTGCATCTCTTAAGACTCGCCTCAAATGTCACCTCCTCAGGGAAGTTTTATTTGATGCTCCTACACAAAGTAAACTTCCCCATACACTCCTCTCACCCCATCTCTCATTATTCAAGTGCCTGAGTTTTTGTTTTTGTTTTTTGTAGCCTTATCACAGTAGAAATTCTTTTTTTGTGGGTTGTTTTACTTGTTTTTTTTTCTTTCTTTCCCACTAGGATATAACGTCAACGAGGACCAGGATTGTGTCTGTCATGATTATTAGTGTACTCTTAGCACCTAAGTATGTGGCTCAGCACAGTACTTGAATCACAGTAGATGTGCAGTCAATCTTTGTTGAGAAATATTGGATCGTGTCACTCTTCCATTCAAAACACTCCAATGCTTTACCATTTACCACTCAGAGTAAAAGGCTTACTGTGACTTGCAAGACCCTCACCCCCATCCCTTCAAATGAATGTCTCTGAGCGCACCTACTTTCTTCCTCTTCTCTACTCCAATTATGCTGGCCTCCTCATGTTCTTCTCACATGCCAAGCACATTCCTGCCTCGGGACCTTTGCATTTGCTGTGCCTTCTTTGGAACCCTTTTCCCTACGGATCATCCTTCTCTTCCTTCATGTCTTTGCTCAGATCTTGCCCTTTGAGATCTTGGCAGGCTTTCCTCTACCAATCTACTCCTCTACAGATCTGTTTGAAATATGAAATCTACCCTGATGGCACGTTCCTTCTCTCTCTCTCCCCTCCCACACATACACTCCCTGTCCCCCTCCCCTGCTTTATTGATTATCTTTCTCCAGCTACTAGAGTGTAAGCTTCGTGAAGGCAGGGATCTTTATACATTCTTTTCACTTCTGCATTCCTCAGATCCCAGAATAGTACCCAACACATAGTGAGTGTTCAGTAAATATTTCATGAACGACTGTCTTGTCCCTTCTGATCTGCCCCATTGCTTTTCATAGCCTCCAGAGTCCCAGCAGGTCTTCATTTAATAACATTTCAAAGAGTGAAAAAGCCTGACAATAGATGTTAAATATGGCATTTTCATTTTATTTTATTTTGAGATGGAGTCTTGCTCTGCTGCCTAGGCTGGAGTGCAATGGCGTGATCTCTGCTCTCTGCAACCTGGGTTCAAGTGATTTTCCTGTCTAGTATAGCCTCTCAAGCAACTGGGATTACAGGCACGCACCACCGTGCCCAGCTAATTTTTTGTATTTTTAGTAGAGATGGAGTTTCACCATGTTGGCCAGGCTGGTCTCGAACTCCTGACCTCAAGTGATACACCTGCCTTGGCCTCCCAGAGTGCTGGGATTACAGGCATGAACCACTATGCCTGGCCTAAATATGATCCTTTCAAAGAGTATACTAGACACACCTCATTAAATTGGAGAAGACCTTCAGCAAACACCTGCAGGGCTTTCAGAGAAAATTTAAGCCTGAAATAATGCTGTAAAAGCTTTAGCTTTTTGCTTTCTGTTGTCATTGATGAGTCTGGCTGATCATCAGTTAAACAAAATAATGTCTTCTCTCGCCATCTTTTTTCTCCCCTCATGGCTGATGTCTCTTATGATTTCCCCTCTGCAGACCCACAGTTTCTTTTCGATAGATTATCCCTGGGCTAAGGAGCTGGCTTCTGAAGGCGGGGCAATTCTAGCAATCCTTGAGTTGTATAAACTTTTGGATTCACTCTACCCTTACGAGGGAAAACAAAAAGCGATCAGAAAGAGTTGGAGATGTTTAAATAATCTCCTTTCAAATTCTTCTAAAATTCAAATGTTATAATAAGAAGAGTGACAAGTATAGAATGAATTTATGAAGGCCTCTTCCAACTTTATTCATCCTAATCCAAAAGCTGCATTTCAAGGGTTATTGAAATCGTATGACTTTTAATAACTTCCGGTCATAAGGAACGGGATGGTGTCTGCTTATGTGCCAGCTGGGCTCTGTGATTCCACCATATTAGGCAGAGTTGTCTGAGTGTTTCGTCTTTATTTATTATTATTTTTTAAGAAGGAGCCCCTTTTGGTGTCTACAACTTTTTCTTTTTGTAGAACCCTCAGGACCCTTTCCTCCACCCTTTGCATTCTTCCTCCTGTGTGCTCTGCCAACACCTTCAGCTTCTCTCCACGGGAGCACTTACAAGCCTCCACTACACTTGCCTGTTTCCTCTTCATGGCCTACCCTCATCTATGAGCTTCTTGACCAGGAATGGTAGGGGTTCAAAAAAATTCATGGAAAAAAGCTAATGAATATAATTTTTTCCTTCTTTTTCTTTCATGAGTGATTTGGGTTGCTAACTTTTACTTGACCTAAATGTGCGTCACACTGTCACTACTCTTCTTAGGTAATTGATGACCGTATAATGTCTCATTTCAACTTTTTAGGATATTTTTAGACAAAAATGCAAGCAGAATCTGTACTTATCTAATTGCCCTGATTTTTTTTATTTTTTGAAACAATATGTTAGCACAATTTAAATACTTCTGAAGGAGTCCTGATAAAGAATTTCTTCTTTGTTTTATAAAGTATGAAAAGTTACATTTTTTAAGGATTAAAGATTTAAAAGCCATGAGTTTCTGTGAAAACTCATCTTTTGTTAGTCTCAAATGCCCCAAAAGCCAAATAATTTCTAAATCCTGCTCCAGAATTTGCTTCTGTTCAGCAGTTAGACTGATCAATTTTCAGAAATTGTAGGAGAAAAAAATAAATTCTGCCTCCAAATGATGTTTATAATCTCATATCTAAATTAAAACATGTCGATTCCACAGCAATAGTCACTATGGAAATAGAAACATATAGGCCTCGATTCTAAATCAAGAGAGTGTTTAGCTGGGTGGTATATATTTTCCATCATGTTTTTAAAAAATCTGTTACAGTGTATGCATTTTCAAAGGTCTGGATTTGATAAGCTTTTAAGAAATAGTACATGTATGGGTCAAATTAGAATTAAATGTACTTGTATGGTTTCAAATGTGGTTTATAATGTCCTGCCACATTAATGAAAATCCCATTGAATTATTAAACTTACTTTATGGGATTTTTAAAAATAAAGCAAAAGTACATTTGAAATAAATCCATGGAAGCCTCCATAGAAGGCAGATATGCCTAAACTTTATCTCCTTTCAAATTCTTCTAAAATTCAAATGTTCTATTAAGAATACTGATAAGTATAGAATGGATTTTTAAAGAGTTTAAATAGAATTGCCACTCACATCTCAATTTACACCTAATTATCAAGCTTAATTTAGTTTTAGAAACTGTTTAAAAATATATTTGCTAGTTTTAAAAATTGTCAGCTTAAAAAAACCCCAAAGGTAATAATAGAAATAATTTATTCTAAAGTTGTATCATGCAAAAAAGGACTTTAAACTTATTTAGAAGTTTTAGAAGTTAAAAAAGGCTTTTTCTCCCTATTCAGATGGATAAACAACATATTTTTATCCTTTTAAACTTTTTTTCTGGCAATTAGTGAACAAATATTCCTTCAACTAATATCTGTGTGCCTACTATGTGCCAGCCAATGTTCTAAAATCGAATGCCACTTCCCAAATCATAGAAAACAAACATATGCTGTGATCATTTTGCTTTAAATATCATAAGCCAAGCGTATAACTCTTTTACATAAAATATATAATTATTCTCATTTTAAAATTACATAGTTCCTTTCTTTCAAGGAGCTCAAGATGTTTCTAGAGTCAAAACACATTATCTTCACATTATCCCCCTGAAAATGGAAACCAAGTCCTACCTACCTTTTCTTCCACCAGGCATGCTTTTCTAAAAATTAGAAATGGAAAGGAGTAATTATACAGTCCTTGGTGAAGACAGAGTGATACAGCAATTCTGCTAGTTCTTTGCCCAGTAATTGCTCATCAGTTGCAGAAGGAGAGTGGCCTAATCTCTCCTTTACCATAAAAAGATCTGTTGTCAATATTCAATTTTCTTTTTATCCTGTCTCTCCAGGTATTAGAGCAGCATCTCTCTCTGCTGATACTTAAGTTCAGAAATTGCCTACTTATACATACTGTGCAGTACCATGTAATGAAATATGTAGGTCGACCCATCTTGTGTATGTGTTCAGAACTTTAGCCATTTGGACATCCTTGTAAGAGTATAGCTTGTCTCATAATTGGCCAGAATGCCAAACTCTTCCTCAGTAGGAGCTGACAATCTTATAATCATGCCTTCAAACGCATTGAGGATAATGATGAGTGAAATTCAGATGTGTGAGATTTTTTCCCTCCCCCTTGTTCTAATAGGGTTAACTGAGTCATCATTCTACTTGTCCATCTTTTTTGCTCTTTCTATTGACTTCATTTGCCAAAGTACCCCTAAACTTTTCAGAGACCTGTGCCATTAGGATCTTTCCTTGATACTTTATCAACTCATACAGTTATCTGTTTGTTTTTGAGACCGTGTCTACCTGTGTCTCCCAGGCTGGAGAGCAGTGGTGCAATCTCGGCTCACTGCAACCTCCGCCTCCCAGGTTCAAGCTATTCTCCTGCCTTAGCCTCCCGTGTAGCTGGGACTACAGGCACAGACCACTGCACCCGGCTGATTTTTGTATTTTTAGTAGAGACAGCGTTTCACCATGTTGGTCAGGCTGGTCTCAAACTCCTGACCTCAAGTGATCCACCCACCTTGGCCTCCCAAAGTGCTGGGATTACAGGAGGGAGCCACCATGCCTGGCCATTTTTTTGTTTTTGAATTGAAATGACCAGCTGTTTGAGAGTTAAACAGATCCACTCTCTGTTTCATATCACAAATTGCTTAACAAATAAGGATTTGAAGTTTTGCCTGAAATTCTACAAAGTGAATGTATCATTTAGAGCTCTTAGCTGCAAGTAACATGCAAGTGGCTTAACAATAAGGAAACTGATCATTTCATATTACTAGAAACCCAGAAGTAGGGGCCTCAAGTCTGTTTCTGTGTTCTCTTAGACTGGCCATCCTCTGTGTGAGGTTATCCTCGAGGCTGGTAGAAAGATACTGCAGGAGTTCTGGCCTCGTATGCAGCTCTGAGAATGTCCAGGTGAATAAAGTATTCTGTTTCTTTGGAGCAAGAAAACGTTTTCCAGAAACGCTCTTTGCCAACTTACTCTTCTGTTTCATTGGCCAGAATTTTATCACATGTTTAGTCCTAAATCAATCAATGGCAAGGAGAAGGGGATTAGCATGACTGGTTTAGATGAGTTGGTTTGTAGCTCCTGGAACTATCAATTGGGATGGAGCAGCTTCCCTGGAGCACTCAATGTCTTAGAAAAAGATGATATGTGAATAAAATTTTGTTGCAGTTAAGTAAGGGGAAGGTGAGTAGTAAGGATGTTAGATAACCAGCCAATGGTTTCTGCTACATAGGGTTTTAGGAAAGAGGGCAAGAAAGGTATTCACAAATTCACAAATTCACAAAAAGTGACCTTTTAGAACCAATGGACATGTTTCCCCCATTAGCAAAAGAAAGGTAGAGAGTGATATATTTATTTTTTGAACTAGAGGGTTCTTTTTAAAATCTAAATCTCAGCACAATACAAACACTGGGTATAGATAGATTGATTTAATGTTGGAAATTCCCACTTAGTGTAAAAATAGAATTTGCCTTTTAAAAAATTTTGGGTTATACAGTTAACTTGCTTTGTAAATCAGCAACTGTAAGTAACAACAGAAATAAAGCATTTAACAACCTTTGTGTCCAAAGTTCAAAATATTATCAATGGGGAGAATTAATTAGCTGAAGTCATCTACATACACTTTGTAATTTGTTTTCCTCTAAATTTAATTTGACATTTAGATTAAACTCAGATTTTGAAAAAAAAAGTCTTTGATGCTGCTTGGCATATCTTTGTACTACATTATGTGTTGCCGCAGAATTTACAAGATCAACATTTAGATGTCACCAGAGAGACATACATCCTTGTACTGTGATAGACATTATCAGGCACTCCCAAAGTAGCAGCAGCTATTTACATTGAACTTAAATAGACAACTATGGAAATGTCAAGAAGCATTACATTTTTGGAAGTTGGAAACAGAATTAGGCTTTCTGTTTTGAATTTGCATTCAAGTGACCAAAAAGTGTCTTTTGTGTTACAGTGATTTTGTATGAGCAGAGCAGAGACAGAGGTAGCTAGCATCTCAAACCATACATCACAAGGCTTTAGTGCATCATGAAATCAACCTGGGCTTATTATTAGCATTTTTTCTTCTATTATTTAATTTAAAAAGATACATAAAATATCAGAGGGCATTGTACATAAAGTAGGTTCATTTCGTTTGAACTTAATTTTATTTATTTTTATTTTTATTTTTTTGAGACAGAGTTTCACTCTTGTCACCCAGGCGGAGTGCAATGGCGAGATCTCAGCTAACTGCAACCTCCACCTTCCGGGTTCAAGTGATTCTCCTGCCCCAGCCTCCCAAGTAGCTAAGATTATAGGCATGCGCCACCACGCCCGGCTAATTTTGTGTTTTTAGCAGAGGCGAGGTTTCACCATGTTGGCCAGGCTGGTCACGAACTCCTGACCTCAGGTGATCCACCTGCCTCGGCCTCCCAAAGTGCTGGGATTACAGGCATGAGCCACTGTACCCGGCTGTGATCTTAATTTTTTTTTTTTTTTTTTGGAGACAGGGTCTCACTCTGTCACCCAGTCTAGAGTTCAGTGGCATGTTCTCAGCTCACTGCAAGCTCCACCTTCTGGGTTCAAGCAATTCTCCCACCTCAGCCTCCCAAGCAGCTGGGATTACAGGCACGCCCCACCACGCTTGGTTAATTTTCTGTATTTTTAGTAGAGATGGGGTTTCCCCATGTCGGCCAGGCTGGTCTTGAACTCCTGGGCCCCAAGTGATCCACCCATCTCAGCCTCCCAAAGTGCTGGGATTACAAGTGTGAGCCACCAAACCTGGCCAAACTTAATTTTATATTATAAAAATTTCAAGCATATACAGAATTAGAGAGAATAGTTTAATGAACTCCCACATACCCATCGCCCAGATCAAATAATTAAGTTTTTACCGCATTAGCGTTTTCACATTAGCTTGTTTTTTTTTCTTTTATGAAATATATTTTAAAGGGAATCCCAAATATTACATCATTTCTCACCATAAACTTTGCATGTATCTTTAAAAAGTATAAACATTTAAAAAAAAACCACAGTGTAATTATTATGATCACTAGTGAAAATAATAGGCCAGGTGTGCAGTGGCTCACACCTGTAATCCCAGCACTTTGGGAGTATTGCTTGAGGCCAGGAGTCTGAGGCCACCCTGGACAACATAGTGAGACCCTGTATCTACAAAAATATTTTAAAAATTCACCAGGCATGGTGATACATGCCTGGAGTCCCAGCTTTCAGGAGGCTGAGGCAGGCGGATTGCATGAGCCCAGGAGTTTGAGATTGCAGTGAACCATGATCCCCCCATTGCACTCTAGCCTGGGCAACAGAGCGAGACCTCATTTTAAAAAATTAAGAATTATTATTTGATTTAATGTGATATCTAATCTGTATTCCAGTTTCCCAAATTGACTCTTCTTAAAAATCTTTTTACAGGTTTTTGTTTTGGTTTTCGTTTGTTTGTTTGTTTTTGTTTTTGAGATGGAGTCTTGCTGCAGTGGTGCGATCTTGGCTCACTGAAACCTCCACCTCCCAGGTTCAAGCTATTCTCCCACCTCAGCTTCCTGAGTAGCTGGGATTACAGGCACATGCCACCACACCCACCTAATTTTTGTATTTTTAGTAGAGACGGGGTTTCACCATGTTGGCCAGGATGGTCACGAAATCCTGAGCTCAGGTAATCTGCCTGCCTCAGCCTCCCAAAGTGCTGGGATTAAAAAGTGCTGGGATTACAGGCATGAGCCTCCACACCCGGCCCAGTGGTCCTATTTGAAAGACAAAACTTGTTTTATTTATATATCTTTCTATATGTCTGTTTGTGGCAAGTCACAGTTGAAATAGATTTCTTAATGTGGCTTGCAGTCAAAAACATTTTAGGAAGTCATTGCTGAAGGCATTGACAAATTTTGGCTCAGGAATTGGGAACAAACTTTTCCTCTTGTAGATACACAGCTTCTACTGATGTCAAAAAAGATACAATAAGGTATAAATTTCAGCAATCAACTGCTTGTTTCTTTTGTGTGGAGCTAAAGAAATGCTTTGACATTATTTTAAATTAGAATTTTCTTATGAATACACAGCTATTCATTCTTAGTGGCTATTAATTTGACTATTTGTGGTACTTTATTAAGTAACTAAAGACTAGGCACTTTACTAGAGAAGATGCAGTCTCAATTTTAAGAATGTCATCTTCAAACAGAATGGATTTAGAGCTTTGTCTGCCACTGAAATAGCATTATGTGGGGCAAAATGTCAAGGTCAAGTGTTTAGGTATGTGCTTGATTTATATTCTATTCATCTTCCTCTAGGTCAACAAATTAGAGAACAGCCAGAAATTTTAAAAAGTTTTTTTTAGGAACTGCTTTTTGTTTTGTTTTTTGAGATGGAGTCTCACTCTGTCACCTCAGTGGTGCAGTTTTGTCTCACTGCAACCTCCACCTCCCAGGCTCAAGTGATTCTCCCGCCTCAGCCTCCCAAGTAGCTGGGATTACAGGCGCCCACCACCATGCCCAGCTAATTTTTGTATTTTTAGTAGAGACGGGGTTTCACCATGTTGGCCAGGCTAGTCTCAAAACTCCTGACCTCAGGTGATTTGCCGGCCTAGGCCTCCCAAAGTGCTGGGATCACAGCCGTGAACCACTGTGCCTGGCCTAGGAACTGTGTTTTTAAAGGTCCATTAAAATATCAGCATTGTGTATTTTCAGCCACAGGACATTTGCATATGCTTTTCCAACTGTCAATAATTAACTTCCTTACCCATTGCCACTTCTCTAAGTTTTTCCTTTTCTTCCTTTAAACCTCAATCGCCCCTTCCCCAGCAAAACCTTCCCTGACCTTCCTAAGTCATATTCCCCCATTATGTGCTTCAACCATCATGGGCCACTCCTTTATAAAACTTATTGGTGTTGCATTTCTACATTTCTCTGTTGCAGTAACTCAACTAATATCTATTTCCCTTCCATTGTAAGCTCCATGAGAGTGGGGATTGTCTTTTCTTATCATCCAGCCTCAGCACCTAACACAGTTGAACTCAACAAATATTTGATGAATTAATGAAGTGCTGACTAGTGGACTGAATGCTGTCACTTGTAAAGCAGTTAAATATGCAGGTTGACAATATCTTTTTCTTTTTCTTTTTTCTTTTTTTTGAGACCAAGTCAGTACTCTGTCACCCAGGCCGGAGTACAGTGGCCAATCTCTGCTCACTGCAACCTCCGCCTCCCAGCCTCAAACAATTCTCCTGCCTCAGCCTCCCAAGTAGCTGGGAGTACAGGCATGCACCACCACACTTGGCTAATTTTTGTATGTTTTAGTACAGGCAGGGTTTCACCATGTTGTTCAGGCTGGTCTCGAGCTCCTGATCTCAAGTGATCTGCCCACCTTGGCCTCCCAAAGTGCTGGGATTACAGGAGTGAGCGAGCCACCATGCCTGGCCTGACAATATCTTTATTTTATTTATTTATTTATTTTGAGATGTAGTCTTGCTCTGTTGCCCAGGCTGGAGTGCAATGGCAAAATCTCTACTCATTGCAAGCTCCACCTCCCTGGCTCAAACAATTCTCCTGCCTCAGCCTCCCCTCCCGAGGAGCTGGATTACAGGCCTCCCACCACCACGCCCAGCTAATTTTTGTATTTTTAGTAGAGACGTGGTTTCACCATGTTGACCAGGCTGGTTTCGAGCTCCTGAACTCAAATGATCCACCCACCTTGGCCTCCCAAAGTGCTGGGATTACAGGCGTGAGCCACCGAGCCTGGCGACAATATCTTTATAATTAACCATCATTGTCTTTCTTTCCATTTAATTTTTTAATCCCAAGATTCCAAAGAAGTAGGTCATGAGTAATTTATTACATGCCATAGTTAGTCTGTTGTTTTTTATGATGTTTAAAATAATCTGGCTTTAGTGGGGCAAGTTTTATAAATTGTGACAGGGGCTTATAGATAATGACTGTTTTGCAAGGCTACAAGAGAACTCAATGGTTTAATATGTATTTTAGGCCAGGAGTGGTGGCTCACACCTGTAATCCCAGCACTTTGGGAGGCTGAGGCGGGCGGATCACTTGAGGCCAGGAGTTTGGGACGAGCCTGGCCAAAATGGTGAAACTTTGTCTCTACTAAAAATACAAAAAATTAGCCAGGCATTTTGGCTTGTGTCTGTAGTCCCAGCTACTTGGGAGGCTGAGGCACAAGAATCGCTTGAACGTGGAAGGCAGAGGTTGCAGAGAGCTGAGATCCCACCAATGCATTCCAGCCTGGGTGACAGAGCGAGACTCTCTCAAACAAACAAACAAAAAAAGGTGTATTTTTAAAAATGGGTAAGCTACTGAGAAACTTCTTATCATTCTCAAAGCTATGATGTATATTAGAGACATGGATGAATGGTGTGGAGTCATTGGATAAAGTCCATAAGCCTTAGGCTGGCACACAAGGCCATCCACAATCTGGCTCAGACAGCCTCTCCAGTCTCAATTTCTGCCACTCCTTACTTCAATTTTTATGCTCTAACAATAAAGACCTATTTGTTCTTCGCATATGCTGAACGATTTCATGGTTTCTTGCTGTTAGCTCTGTTCCAAAGACCAACCTTATTCCAGTTTTCTCAGTTAATTTCCTTATACTAAAAAAAAAAAACCACACATATATTCATGTATTACCTGTGAAAGAGTAAAGTGTTACAGAGAAAGGTGAGGTCTCCTTTGACAATCCACCTCCTTTTGTACTCTTTAACGTAAAAATAGATTATCTCTTTGGAAGACACATGGTCATACTGTGCATGTATATTTTTCATAGAAATAACATATTGAATTATTCTGCAAATTGCCTGTTTTACTTAAAAGTGTGTCGTGGAGAGACGTATGTCTTGGTAATACGGAGGTCCATATTACCGTGTATAGATGTACTTCATGCCTTATAACTACTACATGGTGTTCCATTGTATGGCTAGACAATGGGTTTTTACATTTTTTAAGTTGATTCTTATTTTTTAGTTCTTTACACATTCAGAGAAACTTCTCTAGTAATGACCTATAGAAATGATCCCTTTGACTCGACAGGCCAGTTTTTAAAAAAGAAATGATCACCAAAAGTATATTCTTGACAATGGGGATTTTACTTATTTCTGTGCTGAGGATATTCGTTTCTAATTTTTTAAATTAGAAATCTAAATTTAAATGCTTACTGAAGCATTCTTACATATGCATCATTGTCCAACTGTGTTAATGTTTCTCTAGGATATAAATGAAAATATTGGGTCATTGGGGGTGCATTTTCAGGTTTTGTAGATACTGCAAAATCACCCTTCAAAGTGCCTATATCTAGTTACAGTCCTACCAGCATCATATGAAAGGACATTTTCTTCCATTTTTAGCAACACTTAATACTATCAAACTTTGTTAATTTTTCCAATGTGAGGAGTGAGAAATGGTATGTTGGGCAAATTCACATTTCTCCATTTATATTTGAGATTTAGCACCTTTTCTTGCCTTTATTGGCTGTTGTCATTCCTTTTCTGTGAATTCTTTGCTTCTGGCCACCCTCTCTGACTGCTTCTTGTTTAGGCTATGGCTACTGTGGCTTCTCTGCTCTCACTGTTTCTGGCTCTTTGATGTTTCTCTTCTTGTTTTTAAACAGGGTTATAGAGATATTTGCTTCTTTTTCTTTTAATTTATTCAAAATATATTCATAGAGTGCCTTCTAGGTGCCAGATACTGTGATGGGGCCGATGATATGATGGTGACAAGACAGTTTCTGTCATCATGGAACTTACATTTCAGTGGCAGACATATACAACACATTAATAAGCGGGTACATGACACAATGTCATTGTATCATTGTATCAGTTCATTCTTGCATTGTTATAAAGAACTATTTGAGACTGGGTAATTTATAAAGAAAAGAGGTTTAATTGACTCAGAGTTCCACAGGCTGTAAAGGAAGCATGGCTGGGGAGGCCTCAGGAAACTTACAATCATGGTGGAAGGCAAAGGGGAAGCAGGCATGTCTTACATGTCTGAAGAAGGAGGAAGAGAGTGCAGGGGAAGGTGCTACACACTTTTAAACAACCAAATCTCGTGAGAACTCACTCAGTATCACGAGAACAGCAATAGGGAAGTCTGCCTCCATGATCCAATCACCTCCCACCAGGCCTCTCCTCCAACACTGGGGATTACAATTTGACATGAGATTTGGGCAGGGACACAGATCCAAACCATGTCAATCATGAAGATAAAGCAGGTCAGATGACAGAAATTTATGGGGCATGTGGAGATGGTGTCTTATGTTAGAGAGGGTGGTCAGGGAAGGTCTCTACCAAGAGGTGGGATTTTGAGCAGAGACCTGAATGAAATGAGAGGGAGAAGAACCTTCCAAGCAGACGCATGAGCAAGTGCAAAAGCACAGAGGTGGGGGTAAGGGATGGGCAGAAAGTCAGTATGGTTGGAACTCAGAGGTCAGGGGTAGAATGGTAGGAAAGAACGTTGCATAGTCATGATCCAGGTCATGTAGGATTTTCTAGGCCATGATAAAGAGTGTATCTTATTTCAAGGATAATGGGAAGCCTTGGAGGTTTGTGGGCAGGACAGTGTTATTTAGATGATTCTGCGTGAAAAGAGGGGCAAGTGTAGAGAACGGTCAAGTGGATACTGCAGTCATCCAGGCAAGGGTGTCCAGGATATTGGGGATCACGGTGGTGAGGAACAGTCAGATTTGGGACATATTTTGAAGGTGGCACCCACACGATTTGCTGATGGATCATAAGTATGGTGGGAGGGGAAAAAGGAATAGTTGAGGAGGATTCCAAACTTTTGATCTGAGCTGCTGGAGGGGTAATAACAGCATTTGCCAAGAGGGAGAAGACTGTGGGAAGAGTAGGTTTGAGGGGAGAAATCTAGAGCTGTTTTGGACATGTTAAATCTGAGATGCTTATTAGATACCCAAGTGTCAAGTGTTGATTCAGCTCAAGGGAAAAATCAGAGCTGAAAATATTTACTTGGGACTTGTCCCTTAGTGGGTATATTTAAAACTATGGATGGGTAAATATCACTGACGGAATATCTAGAAAGGGGAAGAGGGTCAAAGACTGAGCTGTGAGGTATTCCAATATTTAGGAGACAGGGAATAGGGAAAGGAGCCAGTAGACTGAGGAGTTGTCAGTGCTGGAGAACATAAAAGAATCGTTTCAAGAAGGAGGAAGTGCTGGGTGAGATGGCTCACACCTGTAATCCCAATACTTTGGGAGGCTAAGGCAGGAGGATCACTTGAGCCCAGGATTTCCAGACCAGCCTAGGCAATACAGGGAGAACCCATCTCAACAACAACAACAACAAAAATTAGCCAGGTATGGTGGCACACAACTGTGGTTCCAGCTACTTGGGAGGCTGAGGCAATTTGAGCCTGAAAATTTGAGGCTGCAGTGAGCTATGATTGCACCACTGCACTCAAGCCTGGGCAACAGAGAGAAACTCTGCCTCAAAAAAAAAAAAAAAAAAAAAGTGTGATAAATTGTGTCAAATGCTGCCAAGGGATTTAGAAAGATGAGTGAGTGCTTAAGACAAACATTGGATTTAGTAAGATCAAAGGTGCTAAAGACCTCAAACTAGAGTAGTGTCAGTGGAAAGAGTTGGGGAGAAAATCAGAGGCAAGAAAGTGAACATGTCCCTCATGTATAAAGGTTGCAGAGGGGGATATGTTAGTATTGCTTACCCGCCATGTTGATACTGGAAGTCTCTTGGCTAGTTTCTGTAGCACAGGTTTCTTCTCTTTTCACTCCCAGCTCCCTTACCTCACCACCCCGTTCCTCTCCACTCCCCAGGCCGTGTTAGAAGCCCTACCTTGGTCTTTCTATAACACTCTACTTTTTCTGTTTATCCAGCTGACTCCCCAGAGACAAAAAGCTCTGAGGTAGGCATATTGTTTATCTCCACTTGTAATTTCTAGTCCACTCTGGGTCTAAGTAATAAATATTTGTTCAGTTGAACTTCATTTCTGGTTCAATTTAAAAAGGGAGAATGTGGTAAAAGGAAGCTTTTTTCTAGTTACAGGAGTTTCTGAAATTGACAAACATGTAAGGAAGTCAATAAAGAAAAAGTCTGTGAGATGAGCAAGCAATCACCTAATTGCAAAAACAGCACCATTTCTCAGGTTATTGGTGTTGCTAATGGCAGCATGTCAGGGCACTTTGAGGACCTGGTGTATCTGTAAAAAAAAACAAAACAAAAACAAAAACAAAAAACGGTAATTTTGATTGAAGGTTAATACATACAAAGGTCTTTGCTCAGTCTTCAACTAGTTCGTGACAATGATGTTAATTCCATTTCGGACTCTCAGCCTGTTAAGTTTATAAAGTTAAAATACATGCTTTGTGAAACCAGTGTTTCCTTTCAACCTAATTTTAACTGGTAATTGCTTCTCCATGGTTCCTCTGGAGAATCTGTCAGTGTGGTAGTGGGAACAGGGGAGAAGGAAAAACTAAGAATGCTGAGACCCCAGGTATAAGAGGCAAATCCCTAGTGTGACTTTGACAATCACTTAATGTCATACTGCTTCCATTCCACCATCTATAATTTGACGATTAATAGTATTCATCTATAATGTATTTTTCCTATAAAAGATGCTTTGTTATCACTGAATATTAACATTACTTCCAGTGATTATCAAGGTCCTCCGAGCAAAGACATACCTTTGCTTTCAGTATCCAACTTCTTTTTATATTGTACCATATGAAAACCAATGCCAAATTATTTACTCTGGCTTGAAGCCTCATGCTGTTTCATCTTTAATAAATGTTCTCATCAAATGTACTTTAATTAAGAGTCTGGTCAAAATGCAAATCCTGGTTTTAACATTCACCCAAAATACCTTTTTTTTTTTTTTTTTTTTTTTTGAGACGGAGTCTCGCTCCGGCGCCCAGGCTGGAGTGCAGTGGTGCGATCTCGGCTCACTGCAAGCTCCGCCTCCCAGGTTCACGACATTCTCCTGCCCCAGCCTCCCGAGTAGCTGGGACTACAGGCGCCCGCCACCACGCCTGGCTAAGTTTTTGTATTTTCAGTAGAGACAGGGTTTCACCGTGTTAGCCAGGATGGTCTCCATCTCCTGACCTTGTGATCCGCCCGCCTTGGCCTCCCAAAGTGCCGGGATTTACAGGCGTGAGCCACCGCGCCCGGCCAACCCCAAATACTTCTTGAGCATTTAATATCTTCTAGGCTTTCCACTTGGACTTGGGATTCTAAAAATGAGCACACATTCAAATATAACTCTGAGAACAAAATGATACTCTGCTTTTTAAATAATAACAATAATACTAGAGACAAGGTCTTGCTCTGTTGGCCAGGGTGGTCTTGAACTCCTGGGCTCAAGTAATCCTCCTGCTTTGGCCTCCCAAAGTGCTGGGATTACAGGTGTGAGCCACCATGCCCAGGTTACTCTGGCTTTATAAACTTTCATTTACCTTCATTCTTCTTTTGCATTCTGTTGGAAGCGTACAAATATTAATTAAATATTTAACCTTAAGCTTTCCCCCAAATTCAGCAATTATGGGCTTCTAGTCAAATATTAGGGTGCATTTAAAAAATGCTTATAAAGATATTGACTCAGGCCGGGCACGCTCATGCCTGTATCCCAGAACTTTGGGAGGCCGAGGCAGGTGGATCGCCTGAGGTCAGGAGTTTGAGACCAGCCTGGCCAACATGGTGAAACCTCATCTGTACTAAAAATACAAAATTAGCTGGGTGTGGTGGCACACGCCTATAGTCCCAGCTACTCAGGAGGCTGAGGCAGGAGAATCACTTGAACCTGGGAGGCAGAGGATGCAGTGAGCTGAGATCATTCCATTGTACTCCAGCCTGGATGACAGGGTGAGGCTCTGTCTCAAACAAAACAAAACAAAACAACCAAAAAACAAAGAAACAACAACAACAAAAAGATATTGACTCAGAGAATTGCAAGGGCTCTTAGGAATTGTCTAGTTTAATGCTGTTCAAGAAAATATGTTACATATGTAAGATTCCATTTTCTAGTAGCTACTTTATAAAAAAACTGGTAAAATTAATTTTAATATTATATCTTTTTTATTGTCTGTGTTAGTCAATTCTCATGCTGCTAATAAAGACGTCTGCAAGACTGGGTAATTTATAAAGGAAAGAGGTTTAATTGACTCACAGTTCACCATGGCTGAGAGGCCTCAGGGAACTTACAATGATGCGAAAGGGGAAGCAAACACATCCTTCTTCACATGATAGCAGGGAGAAGAATGAGAATCAAGTGAAGGGGGAAGCCCCTTATAAAACCATCAGATCTTGTGAGGACTTACTATCACCAGAATAGCATGGGGGAAACCGCCTCCATGATTCAGTTACCTCCCACTGGGTCCCTCCCATGACACATGGGGATTATGGGAACTACAATTCAAGATAAGATTTGGGTGGGGACACAGCCAAACTGTATCACTGTCTTTGAAATCCAGTGTGTATTTTGCACTTATAGCATACCTCCATTTGGGATGCTAAATTTTCATTGGAATACTTGATCTCTTTTGAGATTTTATAAAATTTAAAGTTAAAAAAGTAGATTCACACGCCCAAGTTGTCCCAGGCATACTTAACATTTTTCCAATAATTGAAATTAAATAAAATTTAAGTTTCTCAGTTGCACTGGCTTCATTTCAAGTCTTAATAGCCACCTGTGGTTAGTGCCTGCCATATTGGACAGCGCAGTTATAGAACATTTCCGCCACTGCAGAAAATTCTGTTAGACAATTGAGGTCCAATTCAATTCACTGAAGAAACTGAACAGCAGTTAATGGCAGAACCAGGACTAGAAGCTTGTTTGTAAGGAGTTTCATAGACAAACAAAACAAAAACAAACCAACCAAAAACTCAGGACACCAACCTTTCTAAAGGCAGACATTCAACTAATTTGAAAACATGGAGGACAATGTTTATAGACATTTTCTAGAAGGAATTAACTTTGCTTATATGTATGCTTATATATGATCACAAATAAGATTTAAATCAAATCGCTTACAATATGGAAGTGTTCAGGTTATGTTTAGTAAAGGACTTCTTTATCATGGTAAAATACACAGAATATAAAAAATTTTAACCATTGTAAAGCATATAGTTCAGTGGCATTAAGGATATTCAGATTGCTGTACAACCATTACCACCATCCATCTCTGGATATTTTTCATATTCCCAAACTGAAACTCTATGCCCATTAAATACTAACTCCCTATTCTTCCTCCCCCCTAGCCTCTGGCAACTACCGCTCTATGAATTTGATTACTCTAGGTACTTCGTATCAGAGAAAGTATACAATATTTGCCCTTTGGTGTCTGGCTTATTTCACTTAGCATACATCTTCAAAGTTCATGCATGTTGTAGCATGTATCAGAATTCTCTTCCTTTATGAGGCCGAATAATGTCCCGCCATATATATAGGCACCACATTTTATCCATTCATCCATCAGTGGACATTTGGGTTGTTTCCACCTTTTGGCTATTGTGAATAATGCTGCTATGGACGTTTGTGTATAAACATCTGTTGAAGTACTGAGAATTTTTTTTCATCCTTTATCATAAACCTATTCATTAAGCTTGCACAATTTACAAATAAGAAGCAGTGGAAATGCTGCTTCACTGGAAAACCCCAACTCAAGATCCTTGAATAGGAAAAGAGACTCTCAGTTCTATCATATTACTGAAAAATTACAAAAGTCTGCTTTATTTTCTTGTACTAAGACATTTTAGATGTTCATACTATATTAGCCCTTCTCACCATCTGATATACCACATATTACTCTTCTGGTGTTTATGTCTGCCTTTAGCCCCCTCTACTTGCTGCCTCTACCAGAATGTAAATTCTATGAGGACACAGGTTTTTTGTTTTGTTTTGTTTTCTTCATTGCTGTATTCTTGGTGCTTAGAACTGTGCCTGCTACACAGAAAGCAGTCAATAAGATCTGTTAATGAATGAATGAATCAATGGTGTCCAAGTGTTCTCTACCTCTGTGTTTATTGGGTATCATTTTAAAGGGCTCTAGATTTGGCTTCTTTTGAACATCTTAGTATTGTTTTTACTAGGCTGGAGTATTCTAGTACAAGGAAATGCTTGTAAGTTCTACAGACCTTAAAAATGTCTGGAACAAGGTATGAAAAATAATTAATTGGTACTGGGAGATGAAAGAAGCTAGAGATGTGCTAGACAAAATATATGAAAGGAATTTTGTCTCCCTCTAATGTGACTGCATTGGTCCCAAAGTGGTATTGTATAAAACATCAGAAAAATTTCTACTTTGATAACCTAGATTTAGGGAGAAATAACAAAAAATCCTTTGAGTTTTACAGTGGAGTCTGAATGACCAGTCACATAAAAAAGAAACTAAGTCATCACTGTCTAAAGTGAGAACATTTCATTGTTTCCACTCAGTGCAACTATTTCTTGTTTTTTACTGTAGTCAATCTAGATACTACTTTGCGGACTCTCAGTCTCTTTGTCTGAGACATGAATTTCAGTTTTTAAAATAGCAAGAACTTTAAAACATTACTATAACTTAGGGGACCTGGTCCCTTTTCTTTGGAAGTAGGGAAACTTGACTCTGTGAGGTAAAGTGATGTCCGGAAGCATTTTGAGCCTCTGGTTTTGTTGAAGTCATTTTCCTTTTCTTGGATTTTAGTAAGGATATAATCTCAGATCCAGTTAGAAAGGGAGATCACAATGCCAGGTGTCAAATCCACAAATCAATCCTCTTCTTAATTGCCAAAGTTTGACACATCCCCATGTTTGTCCCAGAAAACTCTAAATGCCCTTTTATTAACAATGGGGAATTAAATTTCCCATATAGACAAATTAACTTCTAAATTATAAGAGAAACACGTGTTTAGAAACACATGGGGTGGGATGGGGGTGGGAGGGACCCTTGTTCCAACTTGAAGGTTTCCCAAAGTAATCTCTTCTCTTCTCTTTCTCCTACGTATTTTCCAGACTTGTTTTTTTCTGCTTGAACTCATCACCTGGTTATTACCTTCTCTGAAGAATAGGTTTTGGTCAGCAACTCTTTAAAAAAGATATCTCTTTATACTAATTACAGTGGAATAGGTTTAAAAAAATAGGTGACTATTGAAATGTATAGTGTTTTAAACCATGTAGCTATTAACTTCATATTTGGGCAGTGTGTGAAAAGGAGGTGGGGAACTCCTTAGCGGGATTGAAAACTTTATTGTGTTTTAAATAAAAGACTAGCTTAAAAAGAAAAAGATGTGAATTGGCTTACAGTAAAAAAGATAAATTAATACACTAATGAAAGGAGAGGGAAGACTATATTTTGTAGATAAGCCAAATTTATGGCCTTGCGCATTAACTTTACACACTAAAAACCTACTTCCCAGTTGGTTTAAAGCTTAGTATCTTCCTCTTGAATTGGTGACAGCAACCCTTGGTTTCTGTCTCTCTCTCTCTCTCTCTCTCTCTCTCACACACACACACACGTGCACACGTGTCTCCAATTATCTCAGAAGTGACAAAATAATCTCAAAATAAGTTTAATTTTGATTCAAAATAAATATGCACACATATTCACTTTATTTTTTATGGAAAAAGGGGGATAATGCAAAATAGCAAAAATTGTAAACAAAGTTAAAGATTATCTTCATCTAAACCTTAAGCTGACAATTTAAAACACCTTGTGCATAATGCAGAAAAAAACTGTCCGTTTGACTTCACTTTCATTCACACTGCTCCCTACGCATGAGAAAGACCAGATGTCTGGTTTCCAGAGTATTAAGCTTTTTCCTTAATACTTCTTAATTTTTTTTCAAGTTTAAAGAAAAACTGTAGCTTCTTCTGATCTTTAGCATTCTACAGTTTAATAATTTCATATACCAGAAGTGTTTCTGCAGAAAATGAGCTTTGAATATTTATGCATTTGCAACAGTCCACAAACGGCTTTGGAAAAAATTATTTGACTTTCATTTTGAAAACTCCATTTTTCTAAAAAAAAACCATAAATTCATAGTTTTCATGGAGAAGAGTGGTGGAGTACAATGGAGCATATGGAAAGAACACTGAATTTGGAGAGAAAGGTATGAATAGATGACATTTCCTTTTCCTTGTCTGATTCCTACTAATTGTAGAAAAAATATACATTATATATGGTATTCCTCCCTTCTTAACAGAAAACAATGTTTGGAAATTCCTGTGTAAAGCTAATTTGCCATGAGGAACATAAAGCCCATTAATGGGATATCCAGGTCCCTATGGGAATTTTTTTTTTTTTTTTAAACAGACACCATGTGGTGCAATCTGTTACAGTCTACAAGGTGGGGGTGGGGAGGGGAGCTCTGCAGGGGCCAGGAATAAAGTCATCTCTGGGAGTTTTTGAGGTATTAACAAAAATGGGAAAAACACTACAGCAGGAGCCTTGGAAATGCCTTCCCTTCTGCCCTCGATCGTAACCCAGGGTGTATTACGTTTATGCTTTTCAAAAATTATTTAGCAAGTTCTCAGTTTTAGGGAGAAAAAAACCTGAACCTTTTCTGAGATGGTTAGATTGCCATTTGTTTTGTATTTTTATCTAACCCACTGGTGATTTAATTTACAGATCTCAAAGGAAGTGCATGCTCAAATATTTGAGGATGTTAATGTATCAACCACTGTGTAATTTTGGAATTTGCCTACTCGCTTGACACAATATTTTACCATCTAACAAATGTTTAGCCTTTTTTTCACTTGACTAAAGAGAAGTAAGTTTCACATTGCTTCATTCACCTTCTTATGTGCATATGCTGGGAAAGATTGGATGTTAAAAAAAAAAACAACTTCCTCATGTTCCTTTCTACTACATCTAAATCTGTTTACCAATTCAAAGCTGCTAAAAAAACCTGCATTCTCCTGCTAAATCAACTGGATGGCTAGAAACCAAACTGTAATGTAACAGAAAAAAATTATCAATTTATTTTCATGACAGAACATTCTTGAGAAGGTATAAAATTGTTCTGGTTGCTATGCCAGTTTTCTTTTTTCTTCCTTCCTCTGTCTTCTTTTTTCAAAGGCTTTTAGCTTTTAAGCTGATACTTTTTATAGTTATATAACAGTTCTAATATTTTGTGACATTTTGTATTGTGACACTATAGATGAAATTGTCATCGGACTGACACCCTGTGCTGTTTATTCCTTAATTACAACTGTTAACACTGTAGAGAAGTGTGCTAATCTGCCAGCACATATTATGAAAACAACATTATTGTTACCCACACCAACACCCACTCAACAGGATATTTCCAAGATGGTAGTTTAAAGGAACTTATCGGCACAACGGACGTTTCAATATAGTTGTTGTTGTTGCTGTGTATTTAGCTTTTCCTATTGTCTTCTTTTAAAAACATAAACCAGTTTGAAATTTAAAACATTTCATTGTAATATAGCATAGGTACCCTTTACTAGCAGAGGCTGCCTCTATAGCTGGAAAGTTATATATACATATTTTTTTTTTCTTTTTTTTTTTTAAGTGCTCAAGCAGTGGTGGACTGAGGAATCTCAAAGCTGTTTAGGGTTGTGACCCAACGCTTTCTGACTGACAGTTTTTTCAGGAATAATGAAATTAGAAGGAAGCGGGAAGGGGAAGTTTAAAGATGAAAAGACAAGAGTGGGGTTATTTGCATTCACAAGGTTGGCAATCTTTAAATAACCAAGTCAAAATCCAATAACCTTTCCCAGCTCTAAAAGGCATCCTTTTTCAAAACCAAGTCTGAGTCTTCCTGAAACTGGCTACTTATTGACTGCTTTATAGTTCAGTTCTTTCTGTCTCCAGAACTTGCAGAGCTTTGGCTATCTGTGAGGGACAAAATCCTATGAATTTATTTTCTCATAAGTTATTTTGCTAGAGCAGTTTAGGTGTCATTGTCTTTTAATTTGTTAAAAGAAACAATAATGGTTTAAAAAAAAAAAAGAACCATGTTGATCCTATACCTTGTCCCTAAAAAGTAAGGATTCTAAAAAACTTAACTTAAAACCAGAACCAAGATACCTGCTTAGAGGAGAATGATTGTAAATTTTTTTTTTTTTAAAGCAACACACTCACAACACTGACAATAATTTAATTAATAAAGAGTCCACCTTTTAATATTCGTGTTTAACACATCTATGGGTTTGGTAGAAAGCAAATTCATGACCTTGAAATAGTAGTAGGTGATAACATGTGACTTGCCAGTAAATTCTCATATCTTCACTGTCACTTAGGAGATAATCGAAGAATATGAACATATTTAATTCCTAAAGTTCCTGCAATAACCTACATACACCTTAACATTCAGCTTTATTAAACAGGCTTTTTGAAATAGCATGTGAAGAAGTTATCGCTGTGCCTCATTTTGAATGGTATTTTCTGCTTCATTTTGATTTTCAACAGCAAAAGGATATGGTGCTCTTCCTAAAAGAAACTGTTCCCATTTGGGAATATATTCTTCTACTGATGCCCAGTAACGAGTCTGGAAAAAAAAATCCAAAAGTAAAAAAGCATATCAAGCAATTGAACTTGGCTCTTCATAATAGTCTAAATGTTTATTCACTTAAGAGTGTGTATGCGTGTATACACACACACACACACACACATATATGTAGAATGCATTTCCTCTACAGAATATTTTATGTTAATTTTAGAAAAAAATCTGGCTACTTACTAGTGTTAATTTTCAAATTTCTCAGTAAAACCAGAGCCTGGCAGAATTACAGGTTTTAGAATTTTATTGTGATTTTACACGCCCTCTTGTGGCCAACTTCATGATTATTGCTAATAGTATCATTTATGGTGATATAATCATTAAATGTTTTTGTTTAATATTCCAAATCCCATACCAAATGATTACCCCATACTGAAATTATTACAATGAAATTATCAAACATAAATCATGCTTCAGGATTAACATCAAAAGATTTGACCTGGGATGAGATCAGGAACTGAAATACAACTAGTGTGTTATAGTACAGGAATTAGAGATATTGGACCCTTAATTGTGTAGGAAATATATATCCACTATAATTTTTCCCCATTTTTGTGATGACAAAATGTCAATATAATTTAACCATTTTTAATACAAATAGCTTGGAAGTTGAGATGCTGTATTATTGGTCTGACTGTAGAAGTCTATAGGCTTTAGAAGCTCATGAAACATTGCTGTGTTGTGTCTAGCTTTGGTTTCTTGGGTGACTGCCCTAGGGAGGTCAAAGAGAACTAAACTGCCCAAAGCCCTGTGTCATAGGAGGGCAACTGATATTAGATCATCACTATCAATCTCATTTTTGGAAATTCAGCCAATGAGATAGCACTAGAAACACAAAAATATTCACTCCAAGCATTAAATACAGCAGTTCTGAAAGTTGAAAATGGTGAGGGATTCTATATGTCTATATATCCATGCATGTGGTCTGAGAAACAGCCTGACATACATAAAGTAAAGGTCATCCTGCTGTGAAAGACTAGTTAAGAAAAATACCATCTGAGGCCCGTGGTTGGGAGTTTCCCTGACATTCACAGCTGGAGTAACTCCCATTGTGTGGGTCCTGTATATGCCAGAGTAAGGTATAGGAGAATCAAACAAAGAAAAAGCATGTCCAAGACACAACTTTGTACCAGAGTTTTTTGTATCCTTGATCACTGCCTTGTTTTATTACCCTAGATGACACAGAAAATTGAGGGGAAAATTCTCAGCCTCTAATTTTGAGTCTATTTATCCCCAGTTGGGGAGAAAGCAAAACTGTATTTGAGAAAGGTCATTAAAAATACAAAATGAAACTATTCCATATGTAGTAAATTCCCATTCATCACAAACATATTCATATACCAAATATAGTTTATTTTTGCTAACCATCTTCCCAATCTCTTCTTGAACTGAACAAAATAAAACAGACAAAAGCCATACTATATTGTATGATAATATGCATTTAATTAGCTATGGTTAAATTTTTGGTGAAGGGACTAAACTGCTACTTCTAACATCAGCAAGCAGCAAAAGCATTTGAGTTAGGCGTGTTGTCATCTCATGATTTAGTGCATATTGTCTGTTATGGTTTAACAGGATAGTTGTTTCTAAGTGACAAGGTGAAAAGATCCCTATCTTTATAAAATTTCCAACTGCTAAACTTTTTAAAATCAAGATACTTCTCAGTTACCTACTATGTATAAAGTACAGTACTGTGGACATAAAAAGCTCAAACAGGCATATCTTCTTTAATTTACTGAATAAATATATCTGGAAAATACACATAACCATTGTTTAACTTGTAGTGCACTACTGATAGATAGATAGGGTCTCTCTTTTTACATTTGTTCCTTAAGATGCTCACCTCAAGAGAAACCACCTCAGGCCGTGGAAGTGGGTGAATCCTGGTCTGTAGTGACTTTTCTGCTGCTTCTATATCCTGTAACAGATATCGGCATTTTATATTAAAGTGGATTTACATAAAACAAATGGCACCTGTACTAGCAATATCTGTATCCCAAATCTCTCACCTCAACTCTTCTCTGGATATAATCTGAATGGATGGAGGCACACTATGGTAGGAAAACTGATCATTGTTCAATTAATCCATTTCAGATAAAGAATACAGCATTTCTTATTTTGATAGGGGTGGGGGAGGTGGTACTTCTAAGTTCTGCCTTTTCACTTTTGAATAGCTAGTAAATGTCAGTAATTCATGCACCAAGAGTGTCTTATAATACTGCTCAGTGCATTAATTTAGCTCTTACATCACTAAAAAACAGCCAGAAAGATGATAAAATAATAAAATATTCAGATACAAAAATAGTCAGATACTCAGACCCACCCTGTGCTAATCTTAAAAGTGAAGAGTTCTAGTCTCTCCAGATGATGTAAATAGTGTATCAATGGCACACATTTCATTTATTCAATGTTCAATTTAAAAATTTATATATATGCAAATATTACATATATTTATGGAAGCTCAGTAAGATACCTCAGTACTTAGTGACAAGAACCTTTTCATTATACTGTCTAGATTTTTTTAGTACTAGCTTTCTAAGCTAATTTCAATAGCAAGTTTTATTGCTAGCTAGTATGTCATTCAGCTGAAAGTATTCAAGCACCATGCTTTAATGTGTAGTTTTACTTGTACATATGTGTATTTTCTCTTATAGCTGTAAAAACACCAAGGTAACTAAACTTCATTCATACCCTGGTAAAGATTCTTATCTTGATATATACATGAAGTAAATGCCCAGAAATGCAGGACTCCGCAAATTTTTAGTGAAACATTTGAGCATTGTCTAATAAATGCTCCCAAAATCAGCACCCATGTTGTCTTGTTCCCACTTATGTCTGTCAAGTTCACAGTGGCCTTGGTCACAGGCCATATAAATTTTGTCTCTCTTTTGAGCTTAGTGAGTTGATAGAAAAGAGAAAGTTCTCTGATTCCTGTACAAGCATTGGAGCAATCTAAGTAGAGGGCTGTTGGACAGACGGAGAGAGATGGAAAAGGGCGTGGGAGTGGGGTGTGAAGGAGCCAATGCTGAACAGGAGAAAAGAGATAGCAGATGGTAGCGGCGGGAGCAAGGAATGGGTGTGAAATGTAAAAGGGAAAAACAGGAAATTCCCTAAAGGGACTCCCCAAAGTTGCACAACCATTAATGCACCTGCTGTCTAGAGGAAGGTGATTTGAAGGAAAAAAGCCATGAATTTAGGGGAAAAAGCTGATTTTTAGCATGTCTATCCCATACCGGAAGTTAATAGCTAAGATGCCTGCTAAAGAGCTTTTGATGCTGACACTACGACAGATACAGAAGCCTAATAACATTTGTGCGATTATACCGAGATTTTACAAGGTCCTGGAAAACATGTTTTTTACCTTTATAAATCAAATAAACACAAATAAAATAATCACAAGTCCAATTATGGTCATTATTCTAAGAAGTTATAAGATTATTGTTAGTGGCAGATCTTGGCGCCACTTAGCATTGTAGACAATATTATAAGCATTTTTCTTGAAGACCAGAAAATAAGGATACTTATTATCTCTCTTACAGGAGAGCAGATTTGTAAATGGAAAAGCAGATACAAATAGGAGACATGTGGCCTGGTAAAGCAGGCCTATGGTTAGACACTTGACTGTTACCTCTGCAGCATTCTGACTATAAATGATCAGCCCTCTGAAAAACTTCTTCCTTAGCTTAAGAGATATTTGCTTTCTTAGATGACATGCTCACCTCTGATTACTACCTTTCTTCCTCTTTAGCTCGCTAATTTTTCTCTCCTTGTTCCTAAGTGTGAGCTTTCTTAAGATCTGTGGCAGCTGTCCTCTTATTTTTACCTTATCTCTCTCAAGACTGTGGTCTATCTAGCTTTAATAACTTTTACTGTAGAGGCATGGCTAACCTTTCTTCCTAGCCCTTACTTCTCAACCAAATGAAACTAAGCTCATCTTATTCCTACTGGATATAATGAATGAACAATAGTGGGAATTCTCTTCCCTCAGATACCTATGCTCTATACTCTATCTTTAACTCTTCTTATACCTGCCATTTAAATTTTCAAAGGTTTATAAATTGTTCTTTCAGGATATCTCTCCTAGCCTTTCCATTTCATTCCCAATGCTATGGCCTTATTATTACACTTATTCATTCAACAAATACTTGAGGAGTACTTACTCTATGATGCATGCCTAGAGTATGTCTTGTTTTACTTCCAACTATACCTAAGAGGGGATCAATTCATTTTTCTAAAGAACTACTTTGAATATGTCTTTCCCTAGACTTAAAAAATCATCAGTACCCACTACATAGAGGACGAAGTGTGAATTCCTTAGCCTGACTGAAAAAAAAAAAAAAAAAACTTCGCAATTTGATCCTAGCCTTCTGTAGCCAGTTATACCCTAATACTTCCATATAAGAACCTTTCCTTTGATTATATACTACCAGAAGGTAAGGACTGCGTCCCATACAACCTTTATGCATCTGAGTATCTAACAAAGTGCAGGGCATGTACTAGGCATTAAATATTCATTAAATGCATAAATAAGATGTCAAAGTTTCCTGATTATAAACCAAAACTTTTTTTAAAAAAAGGTATCCAAGGCAGGCAGAGGCAAAGGAAAAAGGGGGGCGAAAAGGGAGGCAATGCTTACTTGACTATACTTTGTTTCTTTGTCTTATAGACTTGCCACTAGAACATTTAAAATTTTATATAGTTATAGGACAAATAAAAAAGCAATTCCCCCCAAAATGGAAACCAAATGTGACAAATCTAACTATTATGTAGTTGGTGGTATAACCACACAGAGAAGAGCTACATCAAGTGTTCTTAGAACACAGTATTGACTGGACACCCCTAGTGGGGGTACACCCTGGAGACAAAAAGAAATTGTAAAAATTATCTTACTGAAAACCATTCTCAGTAATCATATTATTGGTGATAGCTATGCCTGTATCATAGAATAATTCTTTGGAAACAGATTTTTGGTGTTAGAAAAAGAAGGTTAGATGCATAAGATCAGCGATTTTAATTTAAATCTGCAATCGTGCAATTGAATTGGAGATACTGTTATGAGCTCTTGATGTATTTTATCTTAACAACAACAACAAAACAAGTTGCAATAAACATTCCTAGTGCCCAGATTGAGAGATCTAAATATATTTCCTGCCAAAAGGAACCAGGGCTTCTTGGAGCAATGGCCAATTCCAGGTCTGGGCAGCAAAGGCACACAATGAGCCTGGAATAACTTATCACATCATAAAGAAAAGAAACTATCAAAGACTGTTAGGATCATGTCAAAGACATTCAAGAGTTAACTTGAAGAGGCTTCCCCATAGTAAAAATGGGACACATCAGGCATAAATAAGAACAAAAATTGCAAGGGATCGAAACATTGCAAATCCCAGATAAATTAAAAACAAAATACCACCTCATTCGTCACCATTAGAGGATGCCAGAGAACCAAACTATGATTTTGAAAGCTATAGAGAAAGTGTTCACCAGTCATCATACCTTTTCCTACATGAACTGTATGTACTTCAGTGTAATCAAGTAAGTGATGAGGGGAAGATTCTCTTCATATAAGTTACAAGCTATTGAAAGAGAAGGAATAAAAGAATTTGAATATTCTTTTTGCAACTTCTAATGAATATATCTAGGCAATGATCATCAATGACTGCCAACGTTCCAAAATGAGAGACAGCCAGGAATTATGGAAATGTTCTTCCCCCAAACAATGAACCTGAATCTGATCCAGCCTCTAGAACTTCTCATGTGGCTACTGAGCACTAAAAATGTGGCAAGTCCAAACTAAGATGTGCTGTAAGTGCAAAACATACACTGAATTCAGAAGGCTTAGTAAGAAAAAGAATATGGGATATTTAATTACGAATTTTTGATAGAAACATTTGAAATAATATTTTGTACATGCCTCATTAAAATGTTATTAATTTCATCTGTTTCTTTTGACTTTGTTAAAAGTGGTTACTAGAAAATTTTAATTACATATGTGCTCACATTATATTTCTGTTGGACAGCACAGCTCTAGATCAATTTATAGGAATTACGGAGAATACAGGAACATGCAAAATGATACGTCAGAGATGTAATTAGCAATATCCAAACTGGGAAACGCATAGGACAAATGACCTAATTCCTTTACACATAAATTAAAAGTGGATGAAAAGGTCAGGGGATACTTTTAGAGACTTATCAATCAAGTACAATGTTAGATTTTATTTGGAGTCTAATCCAAACAAATGTAAACATGCCTACAGATTTATCAGAGAAATGTGAACTCTGACTGAATACTTGAGGAATTAGTGGTAATTTCTTATTGATAATAGTATTGTGATTTTGCTTAAAATAGTAAAATAGTCCTTATAATTTAGTGATATACACAGAAAAAATACATATATTCAGAAATAGCTATAGGTGAAACAATATGATTTCTGGAGAATACCTTCAAAATAATCTGAGTGGTTGGGGAAGGGGATGAGGTATATAGATGAAGCAAGATTGGCCATGTTTCGATAATTATTGAATCTGGGTAATAAGCACATGCAAGTACATTCTTCCATTCCCTCTTCTATATAGGCTTGAAACTCTTCATAACAGTTAAAAAACAAGTTCCCAGTGTGGATGATGGTATAAATGTTACTCTATGGCAGAATTGAGAAGGCTATATTTAAATGAGTTGATTCATGATTAGGAAAGGTGAAATATGAGCACAGAAAGTCACATGCTGAGATCTCTTTCTCTTCCCATCCCTATACATGCCACTTCCTCCAAAACTTGAAATCTAATACCTCACTATAAATATATACAGTGAATCCAGCTATGGCCAGGCTGGTTTTAATCTTTTAATCTGCTGGAGGGCCAATTTCTGGGATAGAAAAAATAAGATACTAAAGCATGAGATACAGGGTCATTGGTACAATGTAAGCATTTATTAAACATATTCTTCAAGGAACCGGAGGTGAGAAATGTAAGAAGGAAAAAGGAGAGATAGGGTCCTGTAAGTCACCGACCATCTTGGATGGCAGTTTGTTGAAGTCTCTGTTTAACTGCCAACTGCCCCATAAAGGCTTCCAGGGCATTCTTCAGTGGAAGGATTCTCTCACCGGCTGCAGCACTTTCTCATTCTTTCTCACCCCGGAGTGTTTGTCCAGCTTACTCATGAGCTTACTCTTGAGGTGATGTTTACTTACAGAATTGCCTTTTTTTTTTTTTTTTTTGAGACGAAGTCTCACTCTGTCCCCAGGCTGGAGTGCAGTGGCACAATCTCGCTCACTGCAACCCCCTGCTTCCCGGGTTCAAGCAATTTTCCTGCCTCAGCTTCCAGAGTAGCTGGGACTACAGGCGCGCACCACCACACCCTGCTAATTTTTGTATTTTTAGTAGAGACGGGGTTTCACCATGTTGGCCAGGATGGTCTTGATCTCTTGATCTGCCCGCCTTGGCCTCCCAAAGTGCTGGGATTACAGGCGTGAGCCACCGCACCTGGCCCTACTTACACAATTGCCTTTCTAGATAAAACTAAATTTTATGGTAGGTACGTGGGGAGAGATGTCAGCTTACAGTGTGGCAGTATTTATAAAAAACACAATTTTCTCTTTCTCTTTCAAATCTATACCAATTCTGTTATGTTCTTAAAAGGCAGATAAATTCCATTTTACTAATACTAACAGGGAAAAATCACCCACCCTGTGTTTTCAAAGTTCACTATCTTTTATGATAGTTACTGACTGAAGCCTATTCTTCACTACCTACATTCATATCTATTCATTTACTAATATGCTCAAATATTTGATGGAATTGGTCTCTTCCTCACTGCTCCTTTTTAAAATACATTCTTTGATATTTTATATTCCTGCTACTTTCCAAAGGAATTTACAGAAATTTTATTGAGTTCAAGGCAAATTCTGTTGGAACTTATTTAAATCTAAAAATAATTTTGTGATAGCTGTTTTTTTATTTTATGTTAGTTTTTACAAAGACTCAATTCAGAGGGTATGTGTAACAGCTGACTTTAAAAAAACAATAGTCTTCCTAGTCAGGATTAAGGCATATGTTTCCTTGTAAGTTTTCTTTTAAATCTTCCATTTCAGTGTAATAATTGTCTTCACACCAATCAGGCAAACCCCTTGTTAAGATCATTCCCAAGTATTTTAGAATTTTATTGCTAATGTGAACTTCATTTCTTATATTTTCCAGTTGTATACATAGAATTACTATTGATTTTTGTATCTTTTATCCATCAGTTTTACTTAACTCATATTATACTACTTTTAGAACAAATTTGGCTTTTTAAAGTATATAACCATATCATTCCAAAATGCTAGTGTTATACTTTCCTTTTCAAAAGTGAAAGCTCATTCCTTTTTAATGTTTATTATATTGGTCAGAAGATCTAAATAAGGTCAAATAATGGATGTTAATAGAGGTCATCCATATTTTGTACTCTTATTACAGAAATGCTTTCAAGTTTTATTGGAACCATTTTTAAAGTGTAGGCTGTACTTCTGAAGTACCTGTCCTAGATGTAACTTAACTTGTCCTGAACAAGTTTATCAGGAGTAATTGCCCTATGGTTTCCTCATCTTTAAATTAAGGAATTAGCCCAGATCAGTGGTTTTCACAATTGCTTAAAGCCACAGCTGGGCAGTCAAGGAAAGACTGAACAGTGAGGCTTTGACCCAAAGCAGGTCCACCTCTATCTATTTTAACATGAAAGAAGTTTTAGTGCTAAAAAAAGTTAAATACCTTTACATGAGAATCAAATCTAATATACATATTTTTAAAGTGTCTACCAACTCAAAATTCTGCAATCAAGTCTTATTTATTTATTTTTCCCCAGACACAGAGTCTCACTCTGTCACTCAGGCTGCAAGTTCAGTGACTGCAGTGCATGATCATAGCTCACTGCAACCCTGAACTCCTGGGCTCAAGGGAACTTCCTGCCACAGCCTCCCAAGCAGCTGGGACCAAAGGCATACACCACCACGTCCAGCTAGTTTTTTAACTTTTTTTTTTAGAGATAGGGTCTTGCTGTGTTGCTCAGGCTGGTCCTGAACTCCTGGGCTCAAGTGATCCTCCAGCCTTGGCCTCCCCAAGTGTAATCCAAAGATTATAGACATGAGCCACTGTGCCCGGCTAAGTCTCATTTATTTTACTTTCATAATGACTTCTATGGTAGAGCCACTAAAATTCTTTCCAAAGTTTAAAAACATACGAGGAAAGTAGGATTTTAAAAATTGCATATGCAATGACTCAAAGAATGCAAAAAAAGAGAAGAGGCAGCATCTCTAGCAGCAAGCACTGTGTTTGTGATATAATAGATGCTCAATAAATGTTTATTGAAGTACTGAAAGAAAATATACAAAAATGTATTAATTTTAGATCAATAGGATGATATGGAAGGTATGCTATTTCGTCTACTTTACACTTTAAAAAATTTTTTTTACAGTAGGAATATATTACTTTGATAATCAGGGGAAAAATCATACCAAATTGAAGTTTCTCATAACTATGAAACCAGGTTCATTATGTTCCTTATATATGTATGACTACGATTTCTTAGCTACCCTTCTGAACACTGTTCTCTCCATTTTTGAAATCATCTTGCATCTAAATAGCAAATGAATCTTTCTTAAATACCCACTCATTTATTTCTTATATAAGTCTATATTTTCCTTTTGCTTAGTCATTTTCAGTACTGAATTATGTCTATATATCAAGTCTCAACTTCTTTGGTCCCATAACACATATCCAACCTTGTTTCCTGTGAATTTCTAAGCTAGTTAGTCACGCTCCCAGGATCATTAACAAGGTCAGTCTTCTGGTCTTGGCTCTTTTGTAAGAATCCAACAGTATGCCTTGCCTTCTGCCTATTGAAACACAGGCTAGGCTTAGCTTCTTCTCTGAGACCTTTTGGAATATTCTAGCTCTCAAAGATGTTTTAACTCTTATTTCTGTAGTCCTGACTCCATTCCATGTAATTTAATGTTTGATCACACAAAGTTTCTGGGTTCTTGATATCAAGAGCTCTGATTTATACTTATTTTGTTGTCCCTACTTTCTGCCCAGAACTAGCTCAATAGTAAGGACCCTCTAAGCATTCATCAAATACTTGCTCATTAAAAGGAAAATGCTTGAAAACCAAATATCATATCACGTGCTGCAGGTAGGTAGCAATTAAGCCTTCTAATTTAGTTTTTCTAACTTTTCAGAGCAAATTCCAGATTATCCTATATATTTCCATTTAAAAATAAATATTGCTAACACCATTGGGCAAGTAAGACATATGGCAATATAGAATGCTTTGGTAGCACTATGGCTGTGACTTAAATTACTGTGGATCAAACTGCCAGAAGCTGAGAAGATAACTGAATTTTCCTCTTCCTTTATCCTCTAGTGAGGACAGAAGATAACTATATCATGCCTATCGATGAAAATATTTAACAATAAAAAACTGAAAACACTGCTTTATAACTTAAATAATATAGTCTTACTACCAAATGTTTTAGTCATAGGATCTCTTGGAAGCTTGAATGGAAGCAAACTTTAGGGTTTTAATTATGGATGAAGCCATACAATTCTGGAAGCAAAGTATAACAAGCAGCCAAAAATGTTACACATATGATTCTACTCCAAATGGGCACATTGGCCAAATGGTGAGGCCCCGCACAATCATACACTTTGACCACTCCTCCATATCCATCAAGAGGGAGCTGGGAAATCTGTTATCATAGATATGAATTCTGTGTGTTTACCTAGTCAGACAAAATCAAATTGTTCTTGTTTTTATGATGTTTGATAGTTGTGAGTTGGCTCTCAATATCTTATAGGTACTTTATGGCCTTTCAGGATTTCCTTTCAAATAAAAGAAGATGAAAGATGGAAAGGTACATCTTCTGTTTCTTACTTCTTGCAAAAGGGTGACCTTACAATTCCTTCTGTAGTCATTGATTTTCTAGTTGATTGCAAACATTTAGCTTAAGCAAAGTTCAATTTTTTTAATTTAAAAAAATGAGGATACATATGCTACTTATCTAACTGACATGGGCTTTTAAAAAAGATGCTGCTTTAGTAATTCTACTTATTACTGAGAACCAATAAGTTATATAAATCAATTTTATGAAACTTACCTAAAAGATTTTTGAGAAGGTGGGATAAATCTCTATATTCAAGTCATGGAAACTTACCTTTAAAAGACTAAGGTTCCTTTTAAAAGCAGTCTCAACAGTTTGGAGTTGAGATGCCTTTTCTGTGTGTTGATCACCCAATTTATTCTCCATTTGTTGAAGTAACATTAATCTTTGTGATACTCTAGAAAAAAAACGAAGATTATATAGAGTTAAAAAAGTAAAAGCAAACATTTTACTGCTTGACCAATATAAAAAATTCATTTCTTAATTGCACCTCACTTCAACTCTAACCTATTCTGAAAGTCAATTACTATGTCGACTAATAAGACAGTGAAAAATCTGAGGTAGTTCAATAAGTCTTAAGTCAATCTGGTTAAAATTATTTTTATTTTCATTAACATATTCTTTATATATGCCATAAGTACATGCTTCTGTTTTTTTAGCCTCTCTGGTCTTTTGAAATTATTTTAGAATGTTGAAGATATGTTTTAATTTTTGGTGAAAATGCAAACTGTAATACATATCCCTTTGTACACATAGTTATATATACCTCCCGACACACATACATTGATATAACTTGCTATATGAAACCTTCTGCTTAACACTTCAGTACCCCTGAATCTCATGTTACACATTTAGAATTGTGCTAAACTTCCATATGTTTGAAGAAGCAATAAAAATATTTTTTCCCTCTTTTTCCAAGAGAAAGATGATGGTTTGATATATGAGTGAGAGGCTGTGTGTATGTATGCATACTCACAACAAGGTAAAACAGTAATTGAAGAAAGATGTAAAAAATTACAAGTAAACATCTTCAAACTACTTCGTTACATATAATATACTTTAAAAGTTTCTTGCTGGTCAAATGCTTATTTTATATGTTTTTGTTCTTTTTAGGACAATATGTAAGATGATTAAAAGATACATACGTTGGTATACATAACAGTCAAACTGTTTCCCAAATAGTTGTGGAGGTTCTCAAGAAACACTGTGTTTCATCAGGCTGTCTTAAAGGTGGAATTAAAATCTCAGGTCTATGAACAGTCAATTTTTTGGTAAGGAAAGTATCTTAGGAGCCAAGGAAAGAACGTCTGGTAATTAATTAAAGAAAAGGAAAACCTGAAAGCCCACAAACAGAGGAGGAAAAGAGTGAATAATACAAAGCAAAGAGCAGGACTGGCTACACAATTTGCAGGGTCCAGTCCAAAATGATGCAAGACAATGGCATGAGAGCATTAAACCAAATGCAGGACCTGTGACTGTATATAAGTCACATACCCAAGAAGCCAGCCCTGTGTAAGAGGTTTAGAGAAGCCCATTAAATGCCAATGTGGAGCCTAGAAAGGGTGGGAGGAGGGGCAAATTTATCTATATATTACTTACAAAGAGTAAAAATACATAGAACATACCTTTTAATCTTGCTTATTCATAAGAAACAATGAAATTCCCTAACACTAAAACCTCTTAAGTGTCAGAAAATTAAAATGACATGCTTGCAAATTTTTAAGTCATCCTGTGTATACAATATTTCACTAACAAAGCCAGTCCAATTTCTATATCTGAATCATCCCTTTAAAAAAACTTACATTTCTTCATGTCTTTTAGAAAGGCGAATTTCTTGAGCAAACAAGGAAGTCATCTTTAATCAAAGCTGTCATAAAGAATAAAAACATTTAAAGTTACTTCTACCACATGTCCTCAGCTTTGCAACATTTGATTATTTTAGTACCTTAATCCATTGGTTCTCTCAGAAGAGAAAAGAAAACTTAAGATGTAATAATGTATAAAATGAAAGGATGCAATTAAACACATTTTTATTCAGCATGCCAGATACATCTAAGAATACTATGAATTAGGTAAACCCAACATATTTCATATTGTCTTCTCTTTCTAGACTCTAACCTTAATCAGAATTAAAAACAAACAAGCAGCTGGTACTAAGACTACTAAACGTTTTATTGAATCAACAGAAAAAAAATCTGCTCTGTAAAATTCAACACAGGAACACCATCCCTTATGCATGTGCAAACACACATAGACAGAAAGGCAGGCAAACAAGTATGAGAACCAACTGGAAATTCAAGGTCTTTCCTTTATTGGAAGAGTGCCCAGTTCTACCATCTCTCTTCTAAATAGGAAAGTACTTTTCATGTGTAACTGCGAGGAAAAGCACAATTAGATAGATACCTTCCCCTTCCCCTGGCTGCTAAGCACTCTCATTTGTGGAGTGCAGGAAAGCCCATTTTCGTGGCACACTTCACACCACGAGCAAGCTCACCTTGGCTAAAGACACTGGACCGACACAGACAGAGGTCTAGTGAAATGCTCTGAAGGCCTCCAAAACTGCAGGCAACTCATCTGGTTGGGCTTAAAAGGTTAAAGTGCTTGCCCTAAGGGAGAAAAAGAGGAATAAAATTCCTTCCTGAAATGAAGCTTTCCTAAATTTTATGAAATTAAACATCTATGCACTCTATAAAGATTGTCTAAAGATTGACACACCGCCTGAGTGTCCAGTCCTGCTAGAAAGCCCACGCTTATTGAGTGTAGGGTGCTGAACCCGGCCAAGGAAAACGGAAACACCGCCCTGCCCTCATTAGGTTTCCTCCTCTGGGCGTGGCTGCCTTTCCTTCAGCACCGCGGACAGCAATCGCTCACAGGCCCGCCCTCCGGGGTCTAAATTACAGATATTTTCCGCTAACATCACCCGCAGGCCAAGTCTTGCCGCCTTCCTCTCGGTTTCCTTTTGCAACGAGGCCAATTAATGCAGCGCCAAGGGAATCCCGGAAAGTCGGTTCATGGTAACTTTTCTGTGAGGCCCACTATCAGCACTTTAGACAAAACCAAATCACATTCTCCCCTTAGAATCGAAGATCCGCACCTTCTCAGAGTCATCTGCCCTCCGGCCGCCCCAACTCCCGCTTATACCCAAAGGACTCATGAACCTTCCTCATCAGCCTGGCTCTTTACGTTAACAACATCCTCCCCAGCGGTCCTGCAAGGCCCTGCGCGGCCGTCAGGCAGTCAGGGCACCCACCCACTGTCCGACTCCACTCACCGAGCCCGCCTCTGAGCCCTTCCGGGAAGGCACCAGCTACTGCGCCGACGCCGGGGCCTTAGCGCAGGCCAGGGCGTGGTCACGTTACCATATTTGCGCACGCGCGGCGCGCGGTGACGTCACCGCATCTTTATAAAGGGCCGCCTTGGGGCGCGAAAAGTTCGTGAGGTGTAGTCGCGGCAACCAGGAGGTGGGCGTGTGGTAACGCGGCGCGCGGGAGGGTGGCTTGAAAGGGTCTTTATGAACCCTAGGGAAAGGCCGTCTGGTAGGAACTCCATTTCAAGACCTTTTAAAGTGAGACCTGCATATGTTGAAAGAGTTTCAGAGAGTGAAGCTGGGTTCTTAGAAGCTGGAATGTCCCAGCAGAATGTAGAAATGCGAAAAATTCGGCACAGTAGTCTAAAGTGAGTCGAGTTTACAGTCGGTTTATTCAACGAATGCCTGTGGAGCAGTTTCGAGGTGCTTCGTCCTGGGCGTCTTATACTGAGCAGAGCAGCAAGAGCCCCTGCCTGCTCATAGTTGGTAGACCCTGTGTTGACAGTAGTATTGCTTGATCATGCCTTGCGGGGTTTCTGAGTGTCAGTCGACATATTTACGTTGGTTATCTCATTGAGTCCCCGCAAAGCCCTGTGAAATGGGCACATTAGCTTCATTTGACAGCCAAGGAGACAAGCTTGGTTGTTAATTTAGCACTTTGTAATATCTCGTTTCTGTAAAGTGCGTTTCTTAATTTTCGTTCCTTGAAATAAGTATATGGTAGTGTCAGTCCTCTAATATACAGAGGAAGAAACAGGTTCAAGAGAGGTAAAGTTGTTTTCTTTATAAATTATACTCTGCTGGTAAAAGACAAAGAGCTAGGACTCCAAAATCCAAGGTGTTTTTTAAATTTTCTCCTCGTAGAATATTTACATAAAACGTAGCTCTTGCGTCAGGACTTCTGCACTTAATGTTTCCTTTGCTTGGAAAGCCCCTTCTGACATTTATAGATTTGATTCCTTGTATCTTTCGATCTGTCACCTCACAGGACCATTCCTTCAATCTCCAATATAAGAATATCTCCACCTCCTGGCTCCCTATCCTCCACCTGCTTTATTTTTTTCCGTAACACAGTAACATTGCATATATTGTGTAATCACTCATTTATTTGTTTAGCAGGTGCACCCACCACTAGAATTTGAACATCCTAAGAACAGGTATTTTTGTCTCTGCTTTGCTGATGTATCCTCAGCAACCGGAACTGCCTGACATGTAAGTGCTCAGTAAATATATTTGAATGAACGAATGAAATAATTCCTCCCGTTAACATTCATCATAATTTCAGAGTACTCTAACTTCACTTGATAGGAACTTTGATTTTGCTGTTCCTTACCCTTACCACTTAGGAAAGATGAAAAGTAGACCCTTGAGTGGTCCTCTGTTCTAGGAATGAAATAGAGCTTTTGCATGGTTATAAGGAATTCTTGTTTATTTTTTATGTACATTTACAAATAAGGATTTTTCTTAAGTTGGTAATGGGTTGCATGAAAATAATAACTGTAGGCTCATTACAGCATTTGTATGTTGCTTGACAAACTGCTTACCTCCCTGCTTTGTGTAAGTTTGCATAGTAACACAGTTGGGACAAATCCGGCTCTTTCAACTTTGAGCCCAACTTTTGTAGGTCACCATCCGCCTTAGCTGTGAACTAAGGAATACCTTGGGAGTTTTCTTGCAGTTTTTAAGAACAGCAATCAGGAATATATCACAGACACTTGGGGGTTATCTAGATAGACTTTGATAATTTATTTTATAGCATCCAATAAAGGTGGTTACTTTCTACTTAAAGGTCTGTGATAGCTGCCCTTCTCATTATATTGCCCACAGCTGATCCTTTCTGTGAGACACCAGGCTGTTGAGGAAGAATCTATGGCAACATTGTATCTATTAATATACAGCTTCTGTATTTATCAGGTAAGTTTGGATACTTTCTGGAGTGAGGCATTCACAGCCATGAAAATTATTGCAACCTACTAAGTAACAACTGACCCATAATGAGATAATCTGCAAAGGTGGTGTGAAATTAATGTTTCCTAACCCCTGGACTAGTTCTATGCACCAGCATGCGATAATTATCTCCTCAGCCTCATATAATGTTCTATAATTGCCCCCAGCTTCATTATTTAGAAAACATTGTATCATTTAGTCATACATTCTATAAACATGTATGTATTAAACATCTGTAAGATGTAATCTGCCCTTAAGAGCCTAGAATCTGGCTGGGCTTTTAAAGTATACACAAAAAGCTGGAGGATGATGGCTGACAACATAAAAAATGGTTTTTATTGAATGTTTATTCTGTACCAGACACTTTCCATGAATCACCTTATCCTCATAAAAACCCTATGAGCAAGTGTGCCGAAGTCTTAGTATCCTCATTTTTATAGCTGAGAAAATTGAGACTTAGAGAAATTATTTACTTAAGATCACACTGCTAGTAAATGAACTTCAAAGTGTTTGATGTTAGTATTCTAAATAATTCTGTATGTTATCTTGAGGTTATAGAATTAAAAAGTATGCCGATTATGAGGATGATAGGGAAGACAGGAGAGAGCACTATGAGCTGGAATAGTATAGACAGCATTTTGAAAGACTCAGGTGGACCTTGAAAAATGGGCTGATTTGGAAGTCATTTTGTGATTGGGTGTATCAGGTGGCAGGAGAGTGTGGTGTGGAGTGTTCTAAATGAGGGAAGCAGCTTGCATAGAAATGTGTGCATGTGAGTACATCTGGTGTGAGGCCTAATGGAAAGGAAGCATTGGGAAGAATGTTTTCTCCTCATTTTCCTTAATTTTGAAGATTTCATTTCTGATGCCATATAATTTGAAAATGGAGGTTTGATAGTAATAAAGAGATGAAATTATTGGAGGAGGTAAGACTGGTGAGTAGAAAATAGAAATGAAGACAGAAAAGGAAGGCTTGAGGATGGAAAAGAAAGGACAAGCGTTAAAGAGTAAGAAATAAAAAAATTGCAGAATCCTTGACTATTTCAAATACTCCAAGTTATTAACAGTAAATTCTGTTATAGTTTATATAAAGGCCATCTTTTTAGACCCACTTTGAGTTTTCTCTGGATAGACAAGTACTAAAAAAATAAAGAGCTCATGACTGACATAGTTTTTCTTCCTATTTCAGGAAATCCTGGGTGAAATTTGGTAGTGGGTCCAATTGCCTGCGTACTTTACTTTGAAATAAAATAATCAGAAATTTACCTTGTTCCATAATTATAGTCTGTTCATTTTATTATGGTAAAATATTCTATACTCAAAATATATCTGAAATGCTTTAAATTGGCCCTGATGGATATTGAGTAGAGAGAATTTATAAGCAGATACTTCTTTAGAGCTTTTGTTAGTGAACCAGGTATCAATTTAGGTTCAATCAGATAAAATGCTGCAATAGAGAAATCATTCTGACGGTTGATGTTTATGTTCTAGACATTCTCAGCGGAGATCTTGCTGATAAAACTATGCTCAATCCTAGAGATTGCCAGTGAGAATTTGCATATGCCTCTTCCTTCCTTGGAAAAACAAAAACCGCAGTAGTTGTAAAATGCACTTGAGAAAACATTAGAAATTTTAAATTGAAAGCACGCATGTTGATTCTTAGGAAGTCATTTGTTTGTTGTATTATAGCAGGAGAGGGAAAGTGTCCCTTCTACTCTCTTTGAACCTTTGTGGAAATGACTGACAATAAACAAATTAATAAGAGAAAAAGGAATATGATATGGTTTGGCTTGGTGTCCCCACCCACATCTCACCTTGCATTGTAATAATCCCCCTGTGTCAAGGGTGGGACCAAGTAGAGAGAATTGAATCATGGTGGTGGTTTCCCACATACTGTCCTCGTATAGTGAGTTCTCAAGAGATCTGATGGTTTTATAAGGGGTTTCCCCCTTGGCTTGTGCACTCATTCGCTTTTCTGCTGCCCCGTGAAGAGGTACCTTCTGCCACGATTGTAAGTTTCCTGAGCCTCCCCAGCCATGCAGAACTGTGAGTCAATTAAACCTCTTATCTTTATAAATTACCCAGTCTTGGGTATGTCTTCATTAGCAGTGTGAGAATGGACTAATACAGCATACAAATATACTTAATGTGCATAAACACAGGAGCCATATAAAATATGAGGCTCAAAGAGGGGCCGGATGGTTGAGGCTTAAATACTCCAGCGGGGAGAGGGAAATGGTGAAGGGGGTGCTGTAGACAATTTTTAGAGAGGTAATACATGACTTTAGGGAAGATGAATGGACCTGGGAGGTAGAAATACTAGCTTGTAAATGTTTTTCTTTGTAATTTGAGCCTAACAGGCAGAACAAAATCCCTTCAGGTGTGGTTACATGCCTCAGTCTTCTTTCCTGGTAATAAAATTTCAAGGAGGGGATGGAAGGCAGTTGTGTTCTCTTTGGTGGGCCAGGTCTTAAGGCGGATAAAGGAATATTAAGAGTTAAATTTCACCCTGTTCTGGGGGTGGGGAGAAGGGAGGACAGGAGAGATTAGAAAGTCCTTGATTCTGGGATTATAGGTGTGCTGTGGCTCACGGCTATAATCCCAGCACTTTGGGAGGCTGAGGTGGGAGGATCGCTTGAAGCCTGGAGTTCGAGACCAGCCTGGGTGACAAAGCAAGCTCCTGTCTCAAAAGAAAAAAAAAATAAAGAAGAAAGTCCTTGATTCTGAGGTAATTTCTAAGGCCTTCCTATTATGGTTCAAAGTGTTCAGCATGCCAAAACGCCATTCATTTTGCAGTGTTGTTTTCTAAGCCCCAACAGTATACATAGTAAATGTGTATGCACATGCTCCTTAATGTGTGATGAGGTTACATCCTGATAAACTTACTGTAAGTCAAAAATATTGTAAGTCAAAAATGCATTTAATACCCTATAAGCCCATTGTAAAGTCAAGAAATTATAACTCGAACTGTTGTAAGTCAGGGACCATCTGTACTTTTTACTTCACAAATTTCAGTAATTTAGAGCTCAGACAAACCCATTGTCTTAAATGGACACTTTTCCAGACGTATAAAATTTATAGAAGGTTTTATTTTTTTTTTCAGTCCTGTTTCCATGATTTTCCAGTGGCTCTCAGTACATTCACTAGTCTCTATGACTGTTAATCCAGGCTTTTCTTGAGGTAGGCGTTTTCTCGTTCACGGCCTTCAGGCTTGCTTATTTTTTTTTCTCTCTGTTTGTTCCTCTTTGATTCTTATAATCCTGTAATAACTTTATTAGTCCACAATTGAGCAAGCAATTAAGAACCTTCTTAAATGCGTACTTGAGTACTGTACTTGATAAGTATTCTGCTATTGCCATCTTCTTGTAATGCTACAGTTGTGTTTATTGAAAACATTCAAGGCTCTTTGCACTAGCCTGTTTTTCATCATCATTGTTTGCTGTGTGCATCCACTTGAAAACTTGCATATAATTTCCTTTGAACAAGAGTTGCAGTTTTACTGGATTGCAACTTCTTTGTTTCAGAATCTAATGATGTATAAAAATATTGTTAGAAAAAGCTGTTGTGGTTTAATGCATTTGGGAAAGTTAATTTAAAAAAACCTATACTCTATTTATATGAGAACAGTAATATTTTACCTAATTTTTGGAACACTTCATGTGAATACATTTCTTCTGTGCTAGGGCATCAAGTCTTATTTTGAAATCTAATTTCATTTTTCTCTTCAGTATCCCTTTTTAAAATAGATTTTTAATAATGCCTTTCTTAAATTGAAAGCTGAGTAATTGTACTGATGGCTTATTCTTACAAACTCCCTGCTGAAATTGGGATTTGAATGCCACTTTTAACATAAGAATAGTAAAAAGTTTAGTTAGTTGAATATGCAGTTGGGATTTAGTTAATTTTTCTTTTTTTTTTTAATTTTTTTTTTGTTTGTTTGTTTGAGACAAAAGTTTTGCTCTTGTTGCCCAGGCTGGAGTGCAATGGTGCGATCTTAGCTCACCTCAGCCTCTGCCTCCCAGGTTCAAGCGATTGTCCTGCCTCAGCCTCTGGAGTAGCTGGGATTACAGGCATGTGCCACCATACCTGGCTAATTTTGTATTTTTAATAGAGACGGGGTTTCTCCATGTTGGTCAGGCTGGTCTTGAACTCCCAACCTCAGGTGATCTGCCCGCCTCAGCCTCCCAAAGTGCTGGGATTTCAGGCGTGAGCCACCGCACCCGGCCTGGGATTTAGCTAATTTTTCATAATCATATTTTTCATATGTGAAAAAAATGAAGTAACTACTGAATATCTTTTTATTTGGGTCTGCTTTTCTTGGACTCAAAAAAAAAAAAAAACAAATTGTAGGTCATGAAATAGACTATAACCTGAAGTTTTTAATGTATTTCCCAAAGTCCAGATGTGTATTAGGTTGTTCATTGGCTTGTTTATATCGTCAAAAATAGCGTTTTAACTAGTGTAAATGTAAGTCTTAATTTTTAGTCAACTTAAAGTATTTGCAGTAGGTGTAATTGCTAACAGTAATTTGAAAAATTGCATGAAGTTATCCTTTTACAGTTTTTTTGTCTGATGAATATTTGTTTGATGTGAAGAAGTGAAACATGTTTGCCTGTATGCCAAAAATTTTGAAAAGAAGTAGAGGGGAAAAGAAATGGATTCATTTTAACTCTAGATGGCAGTTAAACACAACTAACAAAGACCAACTTTTTTGAAATAAAGAGAAAAATAGTAAAACACACACACGTTCTGTTTTACTATCCAGTTAATTATATTCTCAAAATGATGTCTCAGATTGATATTACTAAATAAACATTTATAAGATGTAATTACATAAAGGTGAAATAAATAATGAAAGCCTGTAATTGCAATAATTTTTTTTTCACCTGGTAATATGGCATACACCCATGCAACGGTTTATATTGCTAGTATTTTATTTTGTCACTTTTACTAACATTTAGGTCAGTGTAGTTTCATTTTATGTACAATTATTTACCACTATCAATTCAAACCATATGCCATTGGGAAAACTATTACACATTTAATGTTTTGAAATGTTTAAGTAGAAGCAAAGCTTATTTTCATGAAGTGTGTTCCATAAAAGTAGACTTCAAAATCTGCCATAGATATCCATGCATGTACATTTGAGATCGCATTTTTCTTTCCTTTGCTTTGCATTAAAAATATATTTTTACATCTGTTTAATTCACAATTTTAGCTTGTTGCTTTCTGGGGTGCTAAAATTATGTTTCTGATGGTATTTATGAGGGAAAAGAAAAGCTTGTTTGATTATACTTTGTTCTCATCTCGTGGTCTCAGCTCGTTGTGTACTGTCATTTCTATAGACTTGTAGAGTGCAACTGTTTCTTGTTTATGAACACCATACATTTATGTGGTATCTAGCAAATAGTACAAAAATAACTTAAAGTAGACCTAAGGAGTCTCATCTGACTTGTCAGATAGCTTAAAAAAGGAAAGGATGTGATATGTTTTAAAAATGCTTTATTGTAGATTTTATATGAAATAACTTAATCCTTTTGAGAGGACTAGTTGATTTGATTCTCATTTCCTATATATAGCAATTTATGCTCTGAGTATCTGTCTGAATAGTGGATTAGCTCATACATGGCAGCTGATGCCCTGGGTGAAGGGACTTGCTCTCCACTTTTGTAAGCCCTGTGAAGTTGTAAGAAATGTTACTGTCATGCATAAAGGTGTGGAGGTGCAGGTCACCCTACTGGAAACTAGGACCTTATTGGACACCTCAGATCTTGGAGTCAGCATTTGCCTAAATGTTCAGTAGAATCTCCAAGAGTTCCTGTGCCTTTAGAATTATTTACCTGGACTCCAAACTCTTCATAGCAGTTATTGTTTCATAATGGGTTCTTCATGGATGCTAGTGGAATATATTTAAGTTGGCAAAAGGATAAACACTTTCTTTTCTTTTTAAAGCAACATAAAAAGTCCCATGTTACTCAAAAAGTAACGTAAAAGAATTTATCCATTTATTTTTAGAGAAGCTTCTAGTAGAATTCTATAAGAATAAATAGAGTTGCTCACTTCCAAGATTGTTGCCTTGCAAGAATAAAAGGTGCTGGAGATGCTGATTTTTTTTTTTTTTTTTTTTTTGAGACAGTCTTGCACTGTCACCCAGGCTGGGGTGTAGTGGCACGATCTCGGCCCACTGCAAGCCCCGCCTCCTGGGTTCACGCCCTTCTCCTGTCTCAGTCTCCCGAGTAGCTGGGACTACAGGCGCCCGCCACCACGCCAGGCTAATTTTTTGTATTTTTAGTAGAGACGGGGTTTTACCGTGTTAGCCAGGATGGTCTCGATCTCCTAACCTTGTGATCCTCCCGCCTCGGCCTCCCAAAGTGCGGGGGATTCCAGGCGTGAGCCACCGCGCCCAGCCTGGAGCTGCTGATTTTTGAGGTAAAGACAGAAACCTGGATTTTCATATGAAGTCATCTTACTTCTCAGTGTTAGCAAGTCATTCAAGTAAAAAACTACAAAGCAAATAACTTAAAACATACCAGCAGACTGAGAGTTTGTAATCTTTAATGTATAGCACTCTCATTTTTTAGCTCATTTAAAAATAACATATATTGTAAAATTGATTGCTTAAAATCTTTTAGTTATTGGATACAATCTGGTGATATGTGAGGTTATACTTTAGTTATTTTAAAATCAGATTTTGGGGTTTTTCTAAAAGACTTCTATTTCGTATCCACCATGAGTGTCTTGAGTAATATCTTTGGATATCTGATCCTATCCTTTACATTTTTCTTCCTAATTTCATGATCAAAGAATAACCTTAAATTAAGTTATGGGAGTGTGTTGTTATAGGTACAGTGTGCTACCTACCTTGTGTCCAAACATGCAAGTACTAAAGAAATGTGACACCTTCATCATTAGTTTTCTTTATCTTACATTTTTCCTTCTACAGTCTTCTCTATGGTCTTAGTGATTTTTTAAAAACATAAATCAGAATTTGTAACTCCCCTCCTTAAACCCTATAGTGGCTTTCCATTGCCCTTATAAAATACACACTCCTTGGCATGGCCTCTAAGGCCCTGCTTGATCAGATCCCTGCTTACTTCTCTAAACTCATTTCTTACCAGGTTCCCCTTTCTTCACTCTTATCTTGCTGATGTACACCAAGCTTAGTCCCATTTCAAGGACTTTTTCACCTGATGTTCCCTTTGCCTGGAATATCTTCCACAGAGCTTTATGTGTTCTTTGCTAGTCACTTCCCGAGTGAGGCTTTCCTGTCCACCCTGCCAAAAACAATTCCTTTCACCATCATTTTCTGTCTTCTTACCTTGCTTTCTTTATTTATTTAAAGTAATACTTAACCTCTGTCTGATATATATTTGCCTACTTGTTTGTCTTTCCTCTCACTGGCATATACATACATTTCATGAAGACAGGAACTTTGTCTATCTTGCTAATTGCTATATCCTCAATACCTAGAAGAGAGCCTAGCCCTATTCAGCTGAAGAGAAGTGTAAAATAAATGAATAAATAAAGTCTAGGTAACCATGGTGACACTGAATGGTAGAAGACAGACCTCAAATTGGAAAGGGCTGCAGAAGCAAAACTATGAAGATACTGTAAGTATGATGCTGGTACCTCAATGCTGTACATTTGACATATTTACCCATCATGTAACCCATCTCACAATGGCTTTTTTTCAGTTTTTGTTTTAGAAATTTGACTTTCTATATGATAGAATTAAAAACTGGTATTTTAAACATGCTTTCTAGAACTACATTCACATAAATGATTTACTAAATTCATAAAGTGTGGTTTTTACATGTGGACTACTATAATAATATGAAATGTATTAGAAAGTTATCCTTTCTGAATCAACGTAGTGTTGACATTTGAAGGTCACAGTAAATCCTAGGGATGTGTTTTAAATGATACAGTCATGCACTGCAAAACAAAGTTTCTGTCAGTGAGATTACTTGTAAGAAGGTGGTCCCATAAGATTATAATGCCATATTTTTACGGTACCTTTTTAATGTTTAGATATGTTTAGATACACAAACACTTACTATTGTGCTACAGTTGTCTACAGTATTCAGTATGGTAACATTTTGTACAGGTTCATAGCCTAGAGGCAATAGGCTGTACCATATTGCCTAGGTATATAGTAGGCTATGCCCTCTAGGTTTGTGTAAGTAACTCTGTGATGTTCAAATAACAGTGAAATTGCCTAACAATGAATTTCTCAGAACATATGCCCATCATTAATGTAAGACATGACTGTACTTTGAATTGCTATCAGATAACTAAGGATTCTGAGAAATAAGATTAAATAATTATTTGTATGGTATTTGCTTTGCTTTAAATATCCTTAGTATGAGTAAGTTCTTGGTAGAGAAGTAATTCACAGTAGACACAGCACAGAAAATATGTTATATAGTTAAAGTATTTTAGCATTGCTGAAAGATTTTTTTGAATAGTTTTTGTTACAGTTTGTTTTGCATGTGAACTCTTTATGTGTGTGAGAAAATTCTCTACAAAAGATGTTTTAGGGGTATAATGATGGAACATTCACTTATTTCATGTGCCCAAAATATTATTTCTCTCTCAAAAATATATAATTTTATGGTTCAGATGAATTTCTGACAGCTGTGAATGCTTTGTAATTCATTTTAAGATCACCAGTTCTTATTGATATTTTAAAATATAGTCTGTTGAGAGTACTTATGTGACTTTATGGGAAGGTTTGTGAAAAAAATTGGTTTATATAAATTTACGTCTCTGCCAACTTTGCTGCATGTAAATATATCCCTATCAAATTTCTACCTTCATCGGGTAAGGGTAGCACACCCTTAAACAAAGTATGTACAGGAAAAGAAATAAAAAAAATCAGTAAACTTCATATCCCAGGCATATTCCAGTTTATGCTGTGAATAGAACTAGGGAGTTTGACCTTTACAATTGAAATGTGCTGAGCCCTTAGACTTACATTTGCTAGAGAGGCAGTGTGTTGAATAGCCATCTTATTGAATGAGAACATGTAGATTCCAGCTCTAGATTTGCTACTGATGAACTGTTTCATCATTGGTAAGAAAGGCAAAAATTACCTTCTTTCTCTACGTTACAGGATACTTGTGAGGGCCAAGTGAGATAATGGATATGAAAGTGCTTTTGGAATTGGAAGACACTATGAAGTGTAAGGTTTTCATTTTAGAGTGGCTTTAACAGTAAACTAGATCTATTTTCTTAGACTGTATCACACATAGTCTTCTTACTAAGGTGGTGTAAAAACCTTATAAATTGTTTAACTTAGTATATGTGCCTATCTTATGGACTGAGTTTTCCTTGATAGCAAGACTGTGGTGTATTTTAGTCCTGATTTATTCTATGAATTTCCAGCCCTTATCTTTTCAAAGATAATATTTTCTCTCATCTTTGTAATAATATGAGCTGAAAAGACTGATAAGCTCTAAAGTTTACTTAGCAGGTGAATAAAGGTATTTATACATTGATTTGACATGCAAATAAAGGGTTGTTTTTTTTTTTTACAGTAAATCTTGCAATAGTGTTCTTAGCTTTATTTATATTTTTCATTCAGCGTTGTTAACTAATTTTCCCATGTCTTTTAGACTCAGAATTACTGGGTATTCGTTTTTCATCCTGAAACTTACACAAATGAATTCTCAAAAGTCATTGACAAGTAAATAATTTAAACTTAATTTTAAAACGTTTTAAACTCACAGAGCAAAGTTTCTCAGAAGAGTAGAATTAACAAATCTTGGATTTTGAGGTATATTTTGAAAGCACAAAATTATAATACTATTTTATCTCCACATGCGTGGAATAGATTTCATTATTTTTGACCTATTGCTTAAAAGAGAGCTGTACTATTTGTATTAAAATTTCATGTTCTTGGGATACTTTTAAGTAGAGTGAGCTGTACAAGAAAATTCTGATCTTTGAGAAGCAGTGTTTTCAAGGAAAATGTAAAAAAACTGTACTGACTCAAATGGTCTGTTTTATAGTCTTTATTTTTTTTTTTTTTTTAATTTTACTTTAGGTTCTGGGATACATGTCCTGAACGTGCAGGTTTGTTACATAGGTATACATGTGCCATGGTTGTTTGCTGCACCTATCAACACATCATGTAGGTTTTAAGCCCCACATGCATTAGGTATTTGTCCTAATGCTCTCCCTCCCTTTTCCTCCCACCCCTCGACAGGCCCTGGTGTGTGATGTTCCCCTCTGTGTGTCCATGTGTTCTCATTGTTCACCTTCAACTTATGAGTGAGAACATGTGGTGTTTGGTTTTCTGCTCCTGTGTTAGTTTGCTGAGGATGATGGTTTCCAGTTTCATCCATGTCCCTGCAAAGGACATTAACTCATTATTTTTTATGGCTGCATAGTATTCCATGGCATATATGTGCCACATTTTCTTTATTCAGTCTATCATTGATGGGCATTTGGGTTGGTTCCAAGTCTTTGCTATTGTAAATAGTGCTGCAAGAAGCATACGTGTGCATGCCTTTATAGTAGAATGATTTATAATCCTTTGGGCATATACCCAGTAATGGGATTGTTGGTTCAAATGGTATTTCTGGTTCTAGATTCTTGAGGAATTGCCACACTGTCTTCCACAATGGTTGAATTAATTTACACTCCCACCAACAGTGTAAAAGCATTCCTATTTCTCCGCATCCTCCAGCATCCGTTGTTTCCAGACTTCTTAGTGATCGCCATTCTAACTGACATGAGATGGTATCTTATTGTGGTTTTGATTTGCATTTCTCTAATGACCAGTGATGATGAGGTTTGTTGGCTGCATAAATGCCTTCTTTTGAGAAGTGTCTGTTCATATCCTTTACCCAGTTTTTGATGGGTTTTTTTTTTCTTGTAAATTTGTTTTAAGTTCATTGTAGATTCTGGATAGTAAACCTTTGTCAGGTGGATAGACTGCAAAAATTTTCTTCCATTCTGTAGGTTGCCTGTTCACTCTGATGATAGTTTCTTTTGCTGTTAAGAAGCTCTTTAGTTTAATTAGATCCCATTTGTCAATTCTGGCTTTTGTTGCCATTGCTTTTGGTGTTTTAGTCATGAAGTCTTTGCCCATGCCTATGTCCTGAATGGTGTTGCCTAGGTTTTCTTCTAGGGTTTTTATGGTTTTAGGTTTTAAGTCTTAAATCCATCTTGAGTTATTTTTTGTATAAGGTGTAAGGAAGGGATCCAGTTTCTGTTTTCTGCATATGGCTAGCCAGTTTCCCAGCACCATTTATTAAATAGGGAATCCTTTCCCCATTGCTTGTTTTTGTCAGGTTTGTCAAAGATCAAATGGTTGTAGATGTGTGGTGCTATTTCTGAGGCCTCTGTTCTGTTCCATTTGTCTATATATCTGTTTTGGTACCAGTACCATGCTGTTTCCGTTACTGTAGCCTTGTAGTATAGTTTGAAGTCAGGTAGTGCAATGCCTCCAGCTTTGTTCTTCTTTCTTAGGATTGTCTTGGCTATACTGGCCCTTTTTTGGTTCCATATGAAATTTAAAGTAGTTTCTTCTAGTTCTGTGAAGAAAGTCAGTGTTAGCTTGATGGGAATAACATTGAATCTATAAATTACTTTGGGTGGTATGGCCATTTTCATGATATTGATTCTTCCTATCCATGAGCATCAAATTTTTTTTTCCATTTGTTTGTGTCCTCTCTTATTTCCTTGAGCAGTGGTTTGTAGTTCTCCTTGAAGAGGTCCTTCACATCCCTTGTAAGTTTTATTCCTAGGTATTTTATTTTCTTTGTAACAACTGTGAAAGGGAATTCACTCATGATTTAGCTCTCTGCTTGTCTATTATTGGTGTATAGGAATGCTTGTGATTTTTGCACATTGTGAGACTTTGCTGAAGTTGTTTATAGTCTTTCTTTGACAGTAACATTATTGATATATCTTCCTTGGTTGTCACCTTCAGGCAAAGTCAAGTCCCAACTCTTTAGGTTGATATTTAAGGTATTCCATGGTGTAAACCTTATCTTACTTTTCCAAGTTCATCTTATTTATTAAGACAAAAAGTTTTGTTTATGCAAGTCTGTTTCCAACATTCACATGAACCGAATGTCCTTCATTACCTGTTTTTTTTCACTCAAGATTTATCTGTTTTTTAAGGTCCAGCTGAAGTATCACATCCTTCTTGAAGCTTTTCCTCTGAACTCTTGTGGCACTTATTTATGTTAATAATACCAGTCCATTTGTAATTTATGTAATACTAATCTATTTGGAACCTAATGATAAATTGTCATGTAGTGTTATTTAACTTTTCAGGTCTGTATATATTTTATTTTATTTATTTGTGAGACAGAGTCTCGATCTGTCACCCAGGCTGGAGTGCAGTGGTGTCATCTCTGCTCATTGCAACCTCCACCTCCTGGGTTCAAGCAATTCTTATGCCTCAGCCTCCCAAGTAGCTGGGACTACAGGTGTGTGCCACCACACCCAGCTAATTTTTGTATTTTTAGTAGAGATGGCATTTTGCCATGTTGGCCGGGGTGGTTTCGAATTCCTGGCCTCAAGTGATCCACTCACCTCAGCCTCCCAAACTGCTGGGATTGTAGGCATGAGCCACCATGCCCAGTCCAGGTCTGTATACACTTCGTGTGTGTGTGTGTGTGTGTGTATGTGTGTATCTTTGTATAGAAACTGCATATTATTTTACATTGTTCCTATCTTCTACAGGGCTTGGAATATGTAGAGATAGGTATATAAAATATGTTCAATAAATGTTAACATGGTTGTGATAGTTACCTTACCAACTATTGTAGTTCTTGGTTGGAAGACTGGTTTAACATTTAAGATGGGGTGACCCCAATCCATTCCTAGAAACTAAGGCATAGACTCTTAGCATAAGATTTCTATCTCTGAAGAACAGTACTCTTAGAAAAACTTTCATAAAAGTGTTTAAAAGATTATTTAGGAAAGTGAACAATATTTACTCATTATGCATTCTCTTTTTATAGCTCTCAGTTATTGAAGGCCCTCACCTCACATAGTCATAATTGGGAGGTCACCTTCCATGTCAACTTATAATGTTAAAAGAATACCACCCCATCCCAAGGCTCTTTGGGAGTGTTGAGCATTTTGTCTTTAGTAGTGGTTTCATATCTCATGTCCTCATTCACCCATCACCTTTTGTTTCTCAGAGACAACTCCTGCATAACAAGATGAAGAATAGACTTGGGATAATTTGTCATAGCAGGAGTATAAAACCAAGTGGCTCATCTTACTAAAAATAGTTACAGGTTATCAAGTCAGAAATAGTTTCAAAGAGAAGGTCATCATCTGAGCATTGGAGTGAAGGGGATAGCATTTCAAGTGAGGGGTGTGACAGGTAAACACCTCAGTGTAGGGATGAAACAGTATGTGAATGAATAGATTGGACTTGGCTAGAAAATGAGTGTGAGTTGAAGAAAGGAGGAAATGCAAAGTTGGATAAATGGTAGTAGTAAAGTGAGGAATGATGATATCATTAAAGAACTATTGAATGCTCTAAGCAGGATTGACAAGATTAAATTAGTTGGTTTTTAAGGGAGATTAATTAACAGAACTTTATATTTGCATTTAAAAAATGTTTTTCCAATACATCCGTTAAACATATTGGCTTTTTTTGGGAGGCCAAGGCGGGTGGATCACGAGGTCAGGAGATCGAGACCATCCTGGCTAACAAGGTGAAACCCTGTCTCTACTAAAAATACAAAAAATTAGCCGGGCGCGGTGGCAGGCGCCTGTAGTCCCAGCTACTCGGGAGGCTGAGGCAGGAGAATGGCGTGAACCCGGGAAGCAGAGCTTGCAGTGAGCCGAGATTGCGCCACTGCAGTCGGCAGTCCGGCCTGAGCGACAGAGCGAGACTCCGTCTCAAAAAAAAAAAAAAAAAAAAAAAAAAAAAAAAAAAACCATATTGGCTTTTATCCGTTTTGCTCTGTATCTCATGTGGCTTACACATAGCCTGCATGATGCAAACTCAACAATGTACTTGGATTTCTTTGCTGTCTGCCAAAGTGTTTTTTGAAGCACACTGGTTATTCCCTAAAGTGGCTTTAGTCTTGTCTTTTTGATTTGTTTTCCTGCTTGCATAATGTGGATGTGAATCTGAATGTATGTTTCTGTCTTCATTTGAGCTTTATTAACAAAGCAACATAAGCATTCTTTCTGCTAATTCTAGCTTAGTACATAGGGATTGTGCTGACTGCCTAAGCTTTTCCCTAAATAAATACCTTAATGACAACTAATTAGGCTTTCATTAAACCATATTTGTGGAACATCACCTTGAGTACAAAACATATCTATTCAAGTATTGACTTTCATTTGGAAAACAAAAACAGTCTGTAAGAATATGGCTCTAAATAGAAAATATTTTTACCTGTTCACATAAATCATTTAGAAGAATAACCTCCTATTCACCGGGTATAGTATTCTGAGTTGACAGAAGTGAACACAAATATGTCGCTCTGTTGTCTTCTGGCTTGCATGGTTTATGACAAGAAGATAAGTTCTTATTTACTTTTAGATAAAGTGTTTTTTAAACTCTCTCTGGCTGCCTTCAGGATTTTTTTTTTGTTTGGTTTTTACTATTTGAATATGATATGCCTAAGTGTGATTTTTTTGGGGGGGGTGGGAGGGGTAGTCATCCTGCTTGGTGTTCTCTAATCTCCTTGGATCTGTGGCTTGATGTCATGAATACAGGAAAACCTAAGTCATCATTTCCTCAAGTATTTCTTCTGCCTCTTTATCTCTTTCTTCTCCAGTTATACAGTATGTACATCGTTTGATATTATTCCACAGTGTTTGGATTCTTTATGCTGTTTTCATTCTTTTCCTCTCTGTATTTTATTTTGGGTTATACATATTGACCTGTCTTCAAGTTCACTGATTCTAATATGTGTATTACATTGTGGTTTCATTTTGCATTTACTTAATGACTAAATATATTGAGTATATTTTTATGTGTTACTTGCCAGCTGTGTATCTTTGATGAAGTATCTGTTCAGCTATTTTGCCTGTGTTAAAAAATTGGATTGTTTCTTCTTTTTAAATGGCAGGAAATAAGGAGAAGTCAAGGAAGACAGCTAGATTTTTAGTTTGATTACCTGAGTAGATGTTACTACTATTAGAAGACTAGGGGAAGAACAGGTTGGGGGAAAATTCCAGTTGTGCTTTTGTCATGTTAAGTTTGGGATGCTGATTAGATATACAAATGGAGATGATAAATGTTCAGCTGGATATAAATCTGGAGTTCAGGGCATAGGTTTGGACAACATATGTACTTTGGGAGTCATTGGCATATAGAAAGTACATAATTCCATGGATTTGGATGGAATTACCTGAGGACAGAGGCTATACATAGAAGAAAAAAGGGCTACTTTAACAGAAGCTTGGGGCATGCCAGCATTTAGATGTAAATCCAATAATGAGATTTGAAAAGTAGCAAATATTGAGGTAGTGAAAAATCCCATCAAACTTTTTGAGTAATTTTCACTCTGCAAAAGCACCTAAGGGAGTTGCATTTTTTGGACCCCAGGTTGTTCTTAGCATGTTCCTAACCAGTGAGATAAGAGAAACATTACATGAAAATCTCAGAAAAGAACTGCTAACCATGTTGGAATGTTCTGACACAAAATCCAGTTCACATATTCTTAAGCAATGTGTCTTAAGCAAAAGGTATCTTAATAACAAATATTAATGATAAATTATAAGTTCTCATGATTATTGCCCATCTTTCTATGGAAAATGTTGCATTTCTAATAATCTATTGTAAGAGCCCATCCCATATAGCTATTTTTAAATGGTCAATTTTGAAACATTGTCAGGATTCCTGAGTCATGAAAATGTTAAATATTGGCATATATTTTTAAATTTACTGTTTAAACACCAAGTGTTATAAGAAAAATAATCATAACTTACTTAGTAAGTCAATAGTGTTGACACAGGGAACAGATAATATTATTTATATAGTGAGATACTTTCACCATATAAATACCAAAACATGAAGTGCCTCTAATTTATGGCCACTTCTTCATAATACAATAATGAATCGCTAATGAGGCCAAGTAAGCCTAGGTTAAGGGATGATGATGGTTATGATAATGACAGTGATCTACTGAAAGTAGCGAGAGATAGAGGAGATAAAAATTGGCTGAGGAGAAAGGAATTATCATTGTTTGTACTGGCTTATAGAGTTTTGGGGCAGAGATAGAGCGCTGCTGCTAGTGAAGGAAATAACATTCACCATTTTCGTAGTATTGTGCAATATTCTGTGCTTGGTCCTTGACATTAACAAATATTATTAAGCCTTCTGTTCCACTTTTCTGAAATTATGGAGCTTTTTTCTTTTTTGAAAAAAAAAAAAACTTTCTTAGAAGGCACAGAGTGACTTAAATGGTTAGAAGAGAAATATTCAAGCTTTGGGGCATCATGTGTATTTATCCATTCCCTGCTTCTGCCACTCTTGTTTCTGGACAGTAGGGTATATGTGTTGCTTTCACTACCTACCTTCATCCCCATTCACCTCTCTTGGATCTTACTTGACTTTGTTTTTGTTTTGTTTTGTTTTTTTGAGACGGAGTCTCACTCTGTCACCCAGGCTGGAGTGCAGTGGCATGATCTTGGCTCACTGCAAACTCCTCCTCCCAGGTTCAAGTGTCTCTTGCCTCAGCCTCCTGAGTAGCTGGGATTATAGGTGTGTGCCACCACATCCAGCTAATTTTTGCATTTTTAGTAGAGACAGAGTTTCACCATGTTGGCCACGCTGGTCTCAAACTCCTGACCTCAAGTGATCTGCCCATCTCGTCCTCCCAAAGTGCTGAGATTACAGGCATGAGTCACCACGCCCAGCCTTTATTTGACTTTGTGAGCTCCCTCATTAGTGACAGAAATTTCTCAGTATTTCTATTTAATTGGGCAAGCTTAGGTAGGTTGACTCGTTATTGACAAAAGGTCTGTCAAGCAATTAAATAAAGCAGGGTTATATGATACTTAAAATGGCTAGTATTAATTGAGTACTTACTGTCTACTATCCCAAGATCTTTGCATGCATCATCTCATTTACTCCTCAGAGCAGTCTATGAGGTAAACATTAGTTTCTGTATTTTACAGATGAAGAAAATGGCACTTAGGAAGCTGAAGTAACTTGCCTCATAACACTGTAAGTGGCAGAATTGACTGGCACCCTTGGCTTTTTGACCCTGTTGTAGTCCTTATCTTTGAACATTTTTTACTGTATGGAAAAATGTTTTCTGAGTTCTAGTAACTAATATAGAATAAACAGAATTTTGTCAGCATACTATGTAATACAGAGTGTCTGTGATTACAGGTTTTACTTGTTTGCTCACATTGCTGCACAATAGTCTTTTTTATTCTTTCCCTAAAAACCATCTCTACTATAGTGCCAACTAAATATTTTGGAATAAATTGAAGACCTAATTTTTTTAAGACTAAATTACCATCTTTGTCTCATCTGACTTGAAATGCCTCTGCCAACAACTCTACATTCTATATAGAGTATAACTAACATGTGGTCTGTAGTAGACATGCAGGAAATGCTTATGGAATGGATCCTAACATAGTGCTAAAGATGTCTCTGGTTTAGAATGTTCTGCTAAGCTCTGCAAGGCCCACTGGATATTGCTACAAAGCCTGCCTTTATACCCTGCAAGTGTAGGGTGTGGGAAAGGGAAAATAGTTTATAGGCCAGTAACTACAAGTCAAATGATTTGAAATTACCACAAATTAGATAAAGTTAATTTCTTCTTTTCAACTTTTGAGGAACATAATTGTTATGTTCAGATAAACTGCTGGTGTAATTATCCTTTTCTGCCAAACTTAACTTCGTAATCACAAAAGCCAATTTTAACTTGCTAGTAACCAACTTCTGGTTCCCATCTTCTAGTGCCTTTATGCGATTTTACTAACATAGGCAGGAATTTAAAGCCATTGTCTTCAATCCTGTCTCTGAATCCAGGCATGGTCAGTAGTGATTTGTTTCTAAATCTCAAAGTTCCACAATTAGCTGTTTAAAAATAGAGTTTTGGACCAGTAGCTTTTTTACTCTAGTTTATTTCTGCCACTTGTAGTAGCATAAATGAAGCTTCCTCGTCTAAGGTTATGTCCTGGGCAAGTAAAAGTCATGGAGTAGAAAATTGATTTTTTTTAATGATTTTGAATAGTCATAACTGCTGCTTAATGGAATCATCTTGGGTGGACTTAGAGGTAGTTAGTAATGTGGGAACCCACTGGGCTGTGTGCTGGTTGTCTAGGATTTTCATGATGAAAGACTTAGAGATACTTCTACTGCCACTCTTGGTTGTTGGTTTACTAGCCTGAGATGGAAGATGGTGTCAGAATTCATATTGGATGTCTCAGAGGCAACTGCTCACAGGATCCAGGCAGGTTAATTAAATGACTGATGATGGCTAGACATAATGTGATAGGGAGCAATGTAGACTTTGGTGAACTGGAGAGCATATGTTTCCCCTAAATGCAAAAACTGCTGTTCATTTCCATCTTGTTACTGTCATGGGAGAGTGTGAGCCTGTTACACCAACACCCAAATTTTTTAAAGGAGTTTGAAACCTGAATCTTATTGCAAAAGTTTTCATGTTTTAAATATTGGTAACTAATACAAACTTTAAAATTATGAGCCAAATACAATATATCTGTGGACTGAATGCAATCTACGGGCCATCAATTCGTGGACCTCTGGTGTATCCTATGATATAGGGCAGTAGTTTCCCCATGGATATAATTTGAGGAAGACTAGGATTATATCCTAAGAGATTTCATTCTTTTGTGCTAGAGTTGTTCTTCCACATACTCTTCACACATTGTTTCTTAAATTCCTCATGACAGCGAGAGTGAAGTTTCAGCTCTTATCTATATGGGAAGAAAAACTGGGGCCTTGGGTAGGAAGAGTTGAGCACCTGATATGGAGCCACTAAAAGTTAAGACAGAATGGTAGGCCAAAGCTGCCAAGTTTGGGACTTGTATACCTGTTTGGAAATGTCAAAAGTTCTTGTTAAGTAGAAGCAATTGTACTGATCTTACACATATAGATTCTCCAGAACTCTTGCCAGGATATATCCTTCATCCTACCTCGTAAATATTAAGAGAGTTGTTACAAACCTAGTTGATACACTAGAGAAAATAGTAATTCTGTTCACAACTTAGCAGCAGAGTCATAAACTGAATAAAGTTTGATTCCTTAGATGAGCAGGTAAAACTGTCATTGTTTACTCTTTAAAGGAGAAAGAACGTTGATAAATCAACCCAGCAAAGACCATTCTTTTTGGTTTGCTGCCTGTGTAAAGACGACTACCAATGTTCATTTTACTACCATGAAAACTTAGACCAGAGGGTTGGTGGGTATTAATGTGATCTGTTAAGGGAGACTAGTAACCTATTTTATTGGATATAGACATTTTCATAGAAATGCTCAACACTACTGAATACATCAAAAACCATACTTTATTTTATGTATAGCAATACAATTTACATATTAAATAACACTATAATAGAATGATTTGATATAGTTTAAACAGAAGAAAAAGGGAAAAATTTCAGGTTACAAAACCCCTCCCCCTGAACAAATTTAAAAAAAAAAAAAAAGCACACTTTTTCCAAATGGGTCAATGTGACGAATGTTTTCAGTGACTAATTATGTCTAATTCCTATTGCACAAATGGTCAATGGAATTAAAAAGAAAACCCAACTTTCACAATCACTGCCTCAAAGAAATAACACATGTTGGATTCTTTTGGAATGTAAAGATGGTTTTTGCTACTTCAATACACAGAAAGTTGAATTCACATATCCACCACAAAAAGGAAAAAAAACTATGACGGAGTTGAAACTAGAAAAAAATTAGCTTTATATGAAAATATAAAATTCTATGATTATATACCATAGATACAAAGTTCCCAGAAGATGCTTACCCAAGCAACAAAATATTTACAGTTTTAATGATTTTTAGCTATTTCAAAATGGAGTGAAAGAAACATGAGTCAATGTGAAGCCAGAATTCTTTAGAAACAATGGCTGCTTGCTAGTTTCAAATGTCCTAACAAAAAAGGAGTCACTACCCCAAATGTTGGAGAGTTGCGACATTTTATAAAATCGACTTTCTCCTTTTCTGGAGATGTTTATTTCTTAAAACTCAAGATATTTTTCTTGAAATTAATTATCCTCTGTAGAAAATGCTTCCCTTTGCAAATATTTAACAAAAATACTAAAAACAGTTTAACAGCTAAGACAAAGTAGAGGCCAAATATCATTATTACAATTCCTTCCTATTTGTAGCATGCCTTCTTCTTTCTAGAGATAAGTAAAGCCAGTATTGTATGTTAAATGACAACTAAGGGAAAGCGCAAAGGGTTAAGTGAAATTACATCTGTTAAAAAAAAAAAAAAAGCAGGCATTTTCCCTTCATATAAAAATTCACTGGCACCATTTGAACATAAACTTTAGAACATAGGAGTTGAAAATGCATTTCCAGTATAACCACTAAATTCTTAAGACAAACTACATTTTGATTCTTAAATTATGATGAGTTGGGTTTTTTTTTTAGTTTTGCTTAGAATTAGTAATATGTATCTTTGGTAAATTGGTATCTATATTTTAATTTTAAATACAGTATATATGCATTTAAGAAAAATTCATAACAAGGCAGTTGTGCTGTGTCATTATAAAATAATTATTTACTGATTTCAGTATGTCACTCTGGGCTAAAAACTCCAACAACCAGAACTTGAACACCGTAACCCTTCTTTGGCCTCGCTGGACTCTTCTACTTGAATAGACTAAAAACTCTAAAGGCATAAAAATTAGGAAGACCAATTAGCTAATCTTACTCTTTTTGAAATTCAGAAATTAACTTTTTTCATATTAAAGAAGATATCTTGGCTATCGCATATAAGAAAGAGTTCTCCTGATGGCAACAGCATGTCTTTTCTTTGATGTCCAGCACAGCCACTTGGTCTGATCATTGCAATTTATTTTTATATGATGTGTGCATTTTGCTTACCTAGAGCTAAATTCATATACACAAACAGCTTATTTTATTAAGTTGCACACATTAATTTGCAATAGCTATTTCCTTTCCCCTGAGTGCAAGTGTTAATAACCTTGTTATGTACTTAAGCAATGTGCTTATGTCTCAAAGAAAACCCTGTCTTTGAAACTCTGCCTCTGGAAAGATGCAAGCTATGTTTTTGCCAATAACACATGAATAATAATAGTGAGGATATGCTGTCTCTTGCAGGGGTGAGGACCTGCTAAATATAACTGTCCTCATTGAAGTGTGTTTGGACTACTTTGGCAAGATGGGCAAGTAGCAATTGCTTATAATTCAGTGGGTCAGGATATGAAGACTTTGGTTCAAGCTCGCTGAAGACACACAGATTGCTCACAGGGAACTTCTAAACTCTTTCTTTTATTGTTTCTATCCTATTTACTAGCTGTTTTTTCGTGATTCTGAAACCACTGTAAGGGACAGCCACAGAATTGCATTGGAGGGTATGCCTTTCTACGAATTGAGCCCTCTATAAATAGCACAGGAGGGAATACTTGCTATTTGTCTTTGAACCAGTGTTTACTTTTATTAAGAAAAAATTACTGAGAAAGGGACCATGAACCCTAACTCGAACATTACTTTTGAACATCAAGCCCACTTTGCCATCTACTAAAAAGTGTTAACTCATATCAATACTCTATACATCTAAAACAACCCACTTAATTGACTAAAAAAAGAGTCTAGCTCATTGCTTTCCTGATTCTCCTCAGCATCTGGCAGTTGTAGTGTTCCTGTGTTCAAGCTTTACTTGAACTTTACAGAGCTTCCTGTGTCACCTCTGGTTGGAGCGGAGGGGCTGTAAAGGTGTCTCTCATCTAGCACATGCAACTTAGCATGCTCTCTTGAACATCTTATCTCAGGACTAGCTTACGCAGCTCTTGAAAAGCAGAGTATTCCATGTTGTTAAATCTATGTATTGAGAAGATGAGATAAACCCTGGTAAATTATGTAGTTTATGAAAACTCCATTGACCTGGCCTTTGCATTCAAATTCTTTAACTTGGCCCATAGCTTCTTTCTCCTTAGCACTTCTGGTCCTCCAGCACCATTCTGACAAACTTTATGAAAGCCAAATCAAGATAAATAGAACCTCAGTGCTGATCATCATTAATGTTTAATGCATACCCAGATGGCATGACAGCAGCCAGCGTGGCCTTTTTGTTGAAGTTAATTGACATAAAAAGTAAATAAAACCCTATTCTTCCTAACAGGCCCAGTTCTGGTGATGATTTCACTTTTGACAGAAGCTGTCCCTCAAAAGCAAACATGCAATAGAAGAAACAGATCTCAGTAAGTAGCTTATTTTCCTTACAAACACTACTGAAATTTCTTATTAATGCTCCTAATTTTCCCATTATGCACTGCAGCGTGAGTATGGCTCCAGAGGCTGCACCTAATAACTTCCTTGAGCTCTAATGATTATTGGTATCTTTTACTAATGTGTATCTGTTCTAAACTACACAAAAGCATACAAAGCCATCTCCCTCTTTTAAAAACTTGAAAATGTGGGTATCACCTTTAATTAAATATTTTAAATTTCTCTCTCCAAATCAGATTTATCTATGTGTGGGAGTTTAGATAGTCCCAAGACTTTTGCTAAGACAGTATTTCCAATTTAATCTTAAGTAGAAAAATGTATGTAATTAAGAGATTTATTATAAAACATTTGGCAAAGAAGGAAAGAAAACAGTAACTATGTAGGTAGTTTTTATTAGATTGCTATAGGAGTAATAGGGAATTTTTAGAGGACTAGTTTCAAAATTACACACCTGCAGAAGTTTTCATTCTTCTACCTACTGTGAGGTATGGTATTACAAACTAAGAAGCATTAATGGAGAATAACTAAAGGGTCTCATAACTGAGTTGTATATAATATTGCTATCTTGCTATTGTTAAAGATAGCCCTGATTTTAGGATGTAGCTATTTTAGAGAGTCAAAATGGAAATAACACATTGTCCACATAGCTACTGTGAAAGCTGTAATACAGAGTTATCCTTTATTTTGACACATTTTTAAAAAACTGTGAATATAACTTTGTAACTAATAAGGGATGTTCACATGAAGCAGTTCTTAAGCCTTCTAACTTCTTAAGGGATCTCTTAACCAGCATAAATGGAACTGTTTCAAGGCCATGACATTAACAGACCTTTTTAGGTCCCAGTAGCCTGCTAGTCTGTAAAAGAAAACAATGCTATCCACTCCATTAAAATACAGAAGGCATACAGTATTGAACAGTGCCTAAAATAAAAAGGAGAGGAGGACTGAAGAAAAGTACAGCATTGCCTGCTAGTAGAATGCAACCACTTCAGCAATAATAATAATAAAAGCAATATTCACTGTCATAACAAAGACCTTCACTGTATTGAACTAAAAAAAAGTAGCATGTATGTCGTCATGGAATGTCACATCAGGGTTTGCTGTTGTATAAGATTATAGGCAGTAACACTGATCATATAGTGCAAACTAGGTAAAATTGCGTTTCACTGTGTGAAATGAACAGAGGTGCAAATGCTCAGTAGGATACCATTAAGACATAAAATGGCAAAAAATAAATATCAAAACTTTTATCAGTGTAAAAAAGTAACTGGGTTATTGTATAACCTAGAGTCTGGCAAAAAAGGCCTCAAAAAAGTTCTCAGTCTTCAGAAGTTTACAAATTAAGTGCCCTTTCAGGATTCCAGTCACACTAGGGACTCCATGCTCTCAGCAGGGTCTGATTCATCTGCAATAAGAACAGCACCATTTTTGTCTACTGTCATGGGACCATTTCCATTTTCTTTAGTGCTGACCAAGCTAAGCATTGCTTTATAGATGAACTGGTATTGTTCCTGAAAAACAAGAGGAAGACAGTTTGAGCCAAAGAACAGTTTAGTGATTTCACATAAGGTGGAAATACCAATTAAAATGGTAATTGTGAAAAACACACTAGAGAAACAGCAATAGCATAAATGTTATCTAAAAAAACTAAAAAAAAAATCATTTGAATTTATTATAGTCAAGACCTATACCTTCTTCATGTCCTTTTGATCTCTGTTAGCTTGGAACCAATTCTCAGTGCTGATTGTTAATGAACAATCATTATTGGTTAATGAAGATAACCAATATCTGGTTAATATCTGGTTAATGAAGATAACCAGAGAATACTATCCTCTAAAGCAGGGCTTCTCAACCTGAGCACTACTGACATTTTGGGCCACATAATTCTATGGTGTTGAGGGCTGTCTTGTGCTGTGTAGTTTGCTTAGCAGCATCTCTGGCTTGTATCCTCTAGATGCCATCCATCTGCAGTTGTGACAAGCAAAAAAGTCTCCAGACATGGCCAAATGTCCCCTGGGGGGCAAAATCACCCCCAATTGAGAACTACTGCTCTAAACTGTGAGTCTGAGTTTCAACTGATGTAGTACAGGTTTTACACATAAGCAAACTACTTACAATGTCTGTGAATACTCCAGGCCTCATAAGATTGATCATTTTTGCAACCTGGAAAACATCCACAGCATTTTCATTCTCCAGTTGCTGGGACAGGGTGGTAAGGGCACATAACATTCCTGCTGAAACTGCTCCATACCTGGGGGAGAAAAAAAAAAGATACGATTTCAGATGTACAAAGGGACCAAATATATTGAAATGAAATTACTGTCATGTATTTTCATAGAAACTAAGTAGACTGTTTTGACATTTACTCTAAAGACACGACTGAATGAAATGCTGGTGGGGGAGGGATTTGGAAGCTAGCATAAAGGTGAGATTTGTTTATGAAAGTGGAGTATCCCAAATTGGTTCATGAGACGTTTAGCTTGATATCTAATAGGAAATGAGAGGTTCAGAAGTAGACTTAGGAGAGCTAAAGATGATTTGGTGTTGGTGATGAGTTGGGTGGTACAATAGAAAAAACAATAAAGAGAACCTCTTAACTAGACGTTATTGGACAAGCAGCCAGTGATGAAGGGCTCTGAATTTTTTTTTAACAATTCCAAACAGTTAAATTGAACTTACAGAATATGAAAAATTTAAAAATGGAATTATATGGCTCAAAACAGACAATTTCCAAAATTAATTTCATATGAAATAATTATTTTGGCACTGAAGTGGAACTTTCCTAATGAGAGCACTTTCTATGAAATCCTTGGAAAGATAAATGTGGTTCTCTTTGCCTCACAAAAAAGTCTTAGAAAGGTAGTAAATTTCCATCAGGCCAGGTTGGCAACTCCACTTTTCACAAGAATCTGTGATGGCACACAGTTTCCACATTAGTGATGAGAAAACAGATGGATTAAATGAATTGTTCAAGATGATGTTGCTGGCTGGTGGCAGAAATGAGACTGGAGTTCAGATGCCCTGTGCCCATTGTTTTTTGAAAAACTTAAATGTCATTTCTGAATTGTTACATAAAATTAAAATATTACATGTTTTATATCTTTAATACAAATAAGACCAGAGTCCCCCTTAGCCACCCCCCAACTTTAGAGGTAACCTCTCCAGAGGTAAAAATTATTACACGTGTAGATACAGCCTTCCAGATTTAGGTGTATCACTACATTTCAGTTCAACTCATTATTTCATCTGCTACATGCATACCAGGTTTACCTTCTAGATGGACATTTAGCTTGTTTGAATTTGTGCACTTTAGCATAGGTACTGAGTAGAAGGGCTAGGGTCACAGGTATGCCTGTTTTTAGTTTTAAAGACACTGCCATATTTCTTTCCCAAGTGGCTGTTACCTGTTCATACTATTCCCAGCACGAGAACACTTGCTTCTCCTCATCATTTTAAACTTGAAACACTTTTGCCAATCTGATGAGTGGAAGACTGTATCTTACTAGGGTTTTAATTTACATTTCCTTGATTACCAGGGAGGCTGAATGTCTTTTTATGAATACTGACCATCTATATTTCCTCTTCTGAAATCGCCTAATTAACACTTTTCTACTAAGTTTGCCTCTTCCAAAATGATTTATATAGGAGTTATTTTTATAGTGTCTGTAGTACTTGTGAGTTTTTTTGCCCCCCGATCTGTTTCTCTTAACATTGTTTGTGGTCATTTTGTTATACGGAAGTACAGTTTAGATGTAATCAAGTTGATACATCTTTTATTTTTGGCTTTTTTTGGAATCTTGTTTGAGAATGCTTTCTCTAACCTTGTATTTTAAAGATACTCTCCTACATGTTCTAATTTTACTTTTTTACGTTTAATTGTCTAATTCATCTGAGTCTTATTCTTGCTTTGATGTAAGGAAGGGGTCTGATTACAGTTATTTTATTTTTCCATTGGATAACCAGTTGTCCCAGCACTTCTTATTTTACAGTGTGATCTTTTCTCACTGACATCAGCTTCCTTTTTATCATGTACTACATTCTTATATATGCAAGCCTATTTCTGAACTCTGTTTTGACCTTTTATTCTGTTTGTCTATTTTTTGTACCTCCCCACGTGTATCCCAATTCCTTAATAAGTCTTGATATCTGATAAAGCAAGTTTCTGTAATAGTCTTGGCTGTCTCTACATTTACTTCGTATTGTTTTTAGTGATTCAAACATATAATTTTCATTTTTTACTGGTACACTGATGTCCAAATAACTCTGACCTTCCACCCGACTCCATCGTGTTTCATAGTAATTTTGAAACCAGATTGTTAAGGAACACAAACAAACATTTTTGTTGGGATTTTGATTAGGTTGCACTGAATATATAGATGGATCTGAGGAAATTACCATCTTTTCAATCTTGAGTTTTTCTCTTCATGAACACAATGTCTTTTCTCCATTTATTCAGGCCTTTTATAGCTTTTAACTAGGTTTTATTGTTTTCTTTATAGTCTTTGCCAATTCCATTTTTGGTAAATTTTTAGGTACTTTAGAGTTTATTACCCCTATTAATGGCCTCCTTTTGTGATAACATTTTCTGTTTGGTTTCACTTCATGCATGGGAAGGTTACTGATTTTCACATGGTGAAATTGTATCCGGTCAAACAGAAGAACCCTGCTTAAGTTTTAATAGTTTGTGGCTTCTCTAGGTAGTTGACCACATCTTTATCTGCCAATAATGCGAACTTTCCCTCTTTTTATCTTTTACGCTTCTTCTATCTTCTGCTTTTACTGTGTTGGCTAGCACCTAGATAGGCTTACGTGCTAGAACTGAAAGCAAGTATCATGTATCTTAAATGTTCAAGCTTCTAAGTTTTTAATATTAAATTTAAATGTTTGCTAATATACATCTGGTAAATAACAATTATAAAGGTAAAGAGGATGCTTTCTATTTTTACTCTAAGTGTTTTTTTTGGGGGGGGGGGATCATGAATGGGTGTTGTTTTATTGTACGCTTTTCAATATCGATTTTTTTTTGAAATGTCTCTTAAAATGTCCTGAATTCACTGATAAACTTTTGATAATATATCAAAAGCTTAACACCAGCTCTACATTACTAGGATAAGTTTTTCATGATGTGTAATTCTTTTAATATACTGGGTTTTATTAGACAGCTTTTTATTGTCATTTTTGCATCAGTGTTCAAATAAGCAAGACTTGGCCTATACATTTCCATTCTGGTGCTAAGCCTTGTTTGTTTAAATCAACATTGCATTAAATCTTCTGTGTGTTACTGTTCATATGTAGCCTTGGCCAGGACTTGTGGGCCCTAACAGGTGGAAAACTCATTCTTTTATTCAGTTCTTAGTGATCACTAACGTGTGTTGTACTTCATGTGCCATGTTCTCTTATAGGTATTTACATGTACTGACTTAGTCCTCACAGTAACCCTATGGTATGGGTACCAGTATTATCTCCATTTCAGGTTGAATAAATAAGGCACATTCTGAGGTTGAATAAATAAGGCACATTCAGGTGAAGTAACTGGCCAAGATCGCATAGTGAGACTAGAGTTTAAAATTGAGCTGATACTTGTAAATGGCTCAGAACAGAGATTGGCACACACCACATACCATGTGTTCACTAAATGTTATTTTACTATGCTTATTTATAGGCTTAAACATTTATTAGTATAGAGTTATAAAGTCTTAAATGCTTATTTTCTTTCTTTTAAAATATGTATTATTTTTAGCTTTTTATTATAGAAAATGTTAAACAGACACCAAAGCCCAATAGTACAGTAGCATTCATGTAGTCATCATTCAGTTATAATGATCAACAGCTCATGGCCATTCTCATTTCATTTCTGTTTCGTCCCCAATATATATTGAAGCAAATCTCAGGTGTTTTAGTCATAATTTAGTATCAAACTCTAAAAGATAAGCATTTAAAGAAAACACACTATCACACCTAAGCAAATTAACAACTTTCGAATTTTTTTTTTTTTTTTTGTGACGGAGTATCACCCTGTCGCCCAGGCTGGAGTGCAATGGTGCAATCTTGGTTCACTGCAACCTCTGCCTCCCAGGTTCAAACGATTCTCCTGCCTCAGCCTCCCGAGTAGCTGGGATTACTGGCGCCTGCCACCATGTCCAGCTAATTTTTGTATTTTTAGTAGAGACGGGGTTTCGCCATGTTGGCCAGGCTGGTCTTGAACTCCTGACCTGGTGATCTGCCCGCCTTGGCCTCCCAAAGTGCTGGGATTATAGGTGTGAGTCACCGTGCCCGGCCAATTCTTGAATGTTTTTAATGTAGCTACAGATATACGGTAGGTTTTTTCCTTCATCATATTTCCAAAACTGTATCTCTTACTAAACTATTTATTGCTTAAATTTTACTATCGCCTTCTATTTGCTTTTAATTCCTTGTACTTTTTGTTGATTTCTCTGGTGCTTTTTCTGGCTTGAGCTGAATGCTTGGTTTGTTTATTTTTAACCTTTCTAATATGTAGAGTTTACACAGGCTGTTTTTTTTTTTTTTTTTAAGTACAGTTTGGCTCCATTTCACCAGGTTTTGAAATGCAGTGCCTTCATCATCATTTAGTTTTAGACACTGTGAAATACTTATTTTGGTTACATCTTTGATGCATGAATTATTTATAAGCAATCCTAGATGTAAGGATTTCAGTTTCTAGTTGTTTCTAGTTATAAGGATTTGGGATGTTATTTCACTGGTGGTTTCTAATGTAAGTGGGTTGTAATCAATGAATGTAGCCTTGTATGGTATCTGTTTTGGGGGAATGTATTGAAATTCCATTTATGGCCTATGTATATAAATAAACCATTTGTGTTTGAAGAGACTCTAGGTCTCTCTGTGCAGTCTCTCTTGGGTGCGAACTTCTCTATATCACTATTAGATCACGCTTGTTAACTGTGGTATTCAAATCTCTCTGAATGCTACTGATCAAATGTATCCTGGTCGCTCAGTTTAAGAACTGAATACTTTATTCTGTTTTTAGAAAACCTCAGCTGTTATTTCTTCCTCTTTAACCTGTATTTTATTGCCCCATGGATAACTTTTTAGACATATGTTAGAACTTCTGTATGTGACTTCCACATTCTAGTTTCATTTCAGTTCTACACTCCACTAGTATCCTATCTTTTAAGTTTTTAGTTTCATGAATTAATGTATTTTCTCATTCTTAGGCCGAATTTGTTCCTATTTCATAATAAATGTTCTTCATTTCATAAAATCTTCCTTTAGATCTCTGAGGATATATTTTAATACCCTATTATGATAGCTCTATTAACTCTGATTTATTGTGGTTTTTGGTTCTTGTTCAGCATGTTGTCTTCCCTCAGATTCTAAATTGTACTGAGTTGACCTCATTTTAGCATGGTATTAAAAAAAAGTCATTTGTACTGATTTTGTTTAGGAGGGGAAGAATTTAACATTTGTTTAATCTGTTCTAGTGAAATGGTTAAACTTAAGAATCTCCCCTTTTTTCTTAGCTCTTTCAAAGCTATCTGTGGCCAGCCATATAGAAAAGTCAGGTAACATGTATGTTTTTACGGAGTATGCATGCACTCCATGTGAGATTATTCTCACCTTTCCATGGGTTGCCTTTCCTGTATTTAGCCACGGTTAAATAAGCAGTAAAATTAAAAGTATTTATACAATATGGCTTAAACATGACAAGAAACTCGCAAGTCAAATCAATCAAATGCACAGATACTTTTAAATATCTTCTGCATACCAAACATAATGACAGAGCAAAGACAAAAAGGGCCATTCTCTTTCAAAAGTTTAGGAACTAAGTGGGATTAAAGAATGCTCATCGAGTTTCATGGATTTGCATTTAAAACTACAGGGACTTGGTGCAAAAGTGGTATAAGTAATCTGTAACCTAGGTAAAATGACAGTAGTATATAAATTCACTGGCTTTGATATTTTGTTTGCCACTTCCTCTAAGGGCTCCATTAAAAGTAATGCTTATTTAACTAGTGATGTTAAGAAAAAAACCCTATTTTTTTCATCTTTCCCTGCCTTTATTTACTTCAAAGATTTTACAAAAGAAATGAAAGTACTTTAAGCTCCTGAAGTACAGTAATGTTTTTTTTTAAGTGCTCTGTCTATATTCATTTTAAAACACATTGTGATTCCTTGTATAGTCAGGATAATACCTGTGAGCATTTAACCATTTTCACTATTTCATATATTTACTTATTATTGTAGCTTTTAATACGTTGTTTTTAAAATCATAACCAAGATTGCTATCCAGAGTTATAACCCTGACACTGTGAAGAAATGCAGCTTCCTTTTGAAATCAGTAGGGCAGAAAGGAAAACAAAAAAATTGAAGCTGGAATAAGTATCAATCTTAGGGAAGAAGACAACATGAAAGCCTTCCATAAGGCTCTCAATAAAAGCGAAAATACTGGAATTAGTTATGATTTGTGGGTGTCTTTGCAGCCTTTGCTATTGAAAACAGTCCATATGCCTTGTGTCACTTAAAGAATATCTCAGCAGTCTTTAGACTCTTTGATCTCAGGGCCAAATTAAAATAAAAAATTATTGAGGACCTCCAGGGGATTTGGGCTGTATATGTCAATATTTACTGTATTAGAAATTAAAACTGAGAAAATGTTAAAATACGATTAGCCCTAAAAGTGATGTTATCACATGTCATGTACTTCTGGAAAACTCTTTTTAATTGTCCACTCATGACAGAATGGGTATGAATAAGGCAGATAGTATTTTTATATTATTATGCTATCCAGTAGGGTGATACATGTATCTCCAGAGTGAGTAATTAAGTATTTGCAAAGGGAACTCTTCTTCAGTCTGTGAGTGAGTAGAGTAATTTGGGTGAGGTCTGATCTACAGCTGTCTTATAAGACTATATGAGAACCATGCCTATGTTCTAAATATCTATGGGAACCCAGCTGTTTTTAAAATTTGACAATAATGATGTAGATCAGCCTCTGAGCAGAATAATCTTGAACAGTTGACAATAGAATGCTGAGAATGAAGCAGTTTGTCTTTAAGCTGTGCCTGTCCTCAAATAGAAGCAGTTTACTTTTTGGTTAGGAATTTTATTCTTAGCTCACTTATCTAGAAATGTCATCCACCTGGGACACACCTGAGACCCCCCCCCCCCAACAACCACCTGCCACCCCCAAAAGTAGGTGTTAAAAAGATCTCTATGAAGACCAAATAGATGTCACAACATTTGCACACTAAAAGTTCAACTCTCTGCCTCACAGATCAAATGCGTGCAGGCCTTCTCTCCAAGCCTGTTGACTCCTGCTTTTGACAGAGCTTAAAAACACTTTGAAAAGAAGAATTTAAGCAGCCAAAATGACTTTGAACAATAAATGAGACAAAAAGCAAGGCTTTCTGGGGACAATTTGTTATAGGGGTACATATACTTAATAGTTTGTAAGTTACCACAATTTAAAACACATACCCGTTCGTGCAAATACTTGTCTAGTACCCACGCTGTCCCAGGCATTGGGTTTCCCCCGGTGGAGACTGGGATGAATAAATTACCATTGCTGGCCTCAGCAATGTGAGAGTGACAGTCATGTATACAAATAATTATGGTGTGACATGATAAGCAGGAATGACATTTATCTGGTATGGTTGTCATGTTAATGATTTTGCTTAGCACCTCTGGGATGAATTAGAGTCTCAGAGAGTGACTTTTGAACTGTGTATTGAATGAAAGGGTGCTCAGAGGAAAGAGGATTTGCAGGGGCAAGGTGGCATGCAGGAAGTACTTCAGTGGCAGATTGGGATGACAACTGGAAATGTAAACTTTACACTAGATTGTAAAAGATTTTCAAAAGTCTACTGAAAGAATCGATGGCACCAAGAAGACTTGGTGGCCAATCAGACTTGGAGGTGAGGGAGACTCAAAAATAACTCTGATATGTTTCTGGTCTGTACAGTTAAGTTGATTAGGGGCAGGCAGTGAAGATGAGTTTGGTTTTAGCTATGCTGAATGTGACGTGTTTGTAGCCCATCAGGAAGTGATGTTTAGAGGTACAGAAAGTAGGTAAGATGGAAACTGAAAAGGAACTGGTGTTCAGAGTATCTCACTAGAGCTAGCAACTGTTCAAAAATTTTAAAGTTTCTCTTCAATAATTTCAATGGAATTAACTTATCCCCTACAGATAGTAGATAAATGAATTAATACATTTCTACTGGTGGCTTTTAAGGCATCTCACCTATATGATATTTGCAGATCTACTGGTTTAGGATTAATTTGCTCTTTTTGTATACAGGCCTAAGAATGAGGCCTGTATACATCTGATTAATTCTGGAGGGGATATATTTTCAGCATGTGACATAAAAATCACTAAATAAGACAAATATACTGAAAAGTTGAATGAAGATAAGTGAATCAAACACTTCTGTTTAGTATTTAACTGGTGGTTATTTTTCTTTTCCTCTTTCCTTACCCTAAAATATAAGATTAGGTGCATTACTGACTTCAGGACAAAACACCTCGGAGTACTACCGTAACAGCAAAATCAGTCATATAACTGGGCAGTAACGTTAGAATTTGATGACAAGAGATGATAAGAGCTGGTAAAACCCAGGAATTCTAGAAAATGCCCTAACTTTATGCTGTAACTGTATACCACAAAGTTTTAGTTCAGTAGCAACTCCCCAGTTATTTTGAGGCTGTCTGTGCTATTTAAACACTGTTGATGGTTGTCACATTTCCATTGATCTTATGCTATTTAATTAATGTTTCAACTGTAATGCTTTTCAAATCTTAATTTTTCACCTTACTAATCAAGAGTCAGGCCAACATTTTGAAAGACTGTAAAATTTTTTGGAAGCAGCTAGTACACATTACTTCAAGTAGGAGAGTACTATGATTTGAGGTGAAGGTGCTGAGCTCTTGTGTACATCATGATACAGCATTAGTGCCAGGAAAAAAAGCCTTCACAATAAGCTTCACTTTCAAATTTATTAATACTTTATGCTACTTGGGTAGCTAGTTGGTAATTTAATGAACATAATGAATGCTGCTGACCAAGAGCTACCTTGGAACTGAAATAAAAATGGGAATGTATAATTGATTCCATATTGGCTAAAGGTTTGTGATTTGAAACGATTCAATTATACAACTGACTTACAGGCCATGAAGTTTGGCTCCAAATATCTATATACAATAAGATATATCTATGACCCTTTCCTTCTTATTAAAGTGGAAAGGTGCTGGGCTGGGATACCATTGTGACACTTAGAAGCTTTGAGACCAGGTGCAAGTTATTTTTCTCTTTGAGATTCATATTCTTTAAATCCCAAAAGACAGTACTGAAGACTTTAAAACACATCATGAACTTTAAATATTATCATTAATACTAGTAGTTTTATCTCTACTCATCAACTAAGTCATATTTTTAAAGGTTATTTCCCTAACAAGTGTTTGAAATTCAGTGTAAGGATTTTTAAAAAGTATTTAATTAAGGTAAACAGTTATTAATTTACTCATTTGTTACTAACACATAACACCTCTAAATGCATGCAGATCTACCTCTGTAGGCTAAGATATAATACTTTCCCCTTTCTAGAACATATACTCTAGAAGAACCTGGAGTCTTGGAAGAGTTTGACATATTAAAATGTAAACAGAGCAACAACACTTTGTACATGTCCACAGTAGAAATAACATGGAGTTGTCACAAGCTGAGGTTGTTGATAGGTTTTAAAATTCTGGCTTCCTTTTCTACTGCTTTCAACAAGAAATTAAACAAAAAAACGGTCTACATTTTAAAATTAAGAAACAGATACATACTCATCATGAACAATGGTGGGACCATCCCTTGTTAAGGCCTCTTCCTTGATGACGTTGATAAGTTCAAAGGTACTACTTATGGGGGCATCTGGGTTAGGCCATTTGGGACACTGAAAGTGCCGAACTTCTAAGACATAGTCATCCTGTAACCAATACAACATGGGTCAAATCCCTTCCTTTATTTCACATATCTACAATCTAATGACTAGAACTTGCTCCTGAGAAAGCCATGTGTTATAGGTAACTCTCAACAATGTTGTGTTAACCAAACCACAGCTGGAAAGAAGAAAAATACCAGGAAGGTTTTTTTTTTTTGTTTTTTTGTTTTTTAAAAAAAGCATGGCTAGGCATAGTGGTTCATGCCTGTAATTCAGTACTTTGGGAGGCCAAGGTGGGAGGATTGCTTGAGGCCAGGAGTTCAAGACCCACCTGGGCAACACAGGGAGATCTGTCTCTAAAAAAATTAAAAAAAAAAAAAAATTAACTAGTCATATGGTACATGCCTATAGTCTTTGCTATTCGGGAGGCTGATGTGAAAGGATCGCTTGAGCCCAGGAGTTTGGGGTTACACTGAGCTTTGATGATGCCACTGTGAGTGAGACCTTGTCTCAAAACAAACAACCAAGTAGGTCATGCTAGTGAAACAATTCATTTGGCTTAGTCAAAAATTTCAAGTGACAATAAATTATTAAAGACCTTATATCCTACTCTATTTTCTTATTTATAAAATTAAAGGAAAACAAGGAAGGGGCTCATCCTTTAAATTACTAATATAAGAGCCCCCCCATGCTTACTCATCCCACAAGAAGGCAGCAAAATATTTACTTAAAAAAACTTAGTATTATCATCTGTGCAACACATTGCAAAGCTTACATTTCTGATGGCAAAGAAAATATTGAGTTCTAGTATATTGTTTTTATAATTAGGTCAACAGACCTATTTGTATGCATGCTGAATCAGAGGAACTGTTACATTTCATCTAGCCAGCTGGAAAAAGCAAATATTTGAAGGAAGAAAAACGGAAAATGTACATATTTAAAATTAAGTCTTACTCAAATGCCTGAGCCTGGCTTGAGGGTGGTAAATTATTTCATTATTACTTAGAATGATGATCCAGGGCCCAGGTATGGCTATTAGTGAGGAACTGAGGTTTAGGTTACCTGTGTAGCTTCAAGGATAAAGTCATGGATGATAATTTGTTCTTCATTAGAGAGGCACAGTCTGTCTTTGCTGATAAGGGTGACGGTAAAGGCCTCACAGTTCATGGATTCTTCTCGACTTGGCCAGTACACAAACTCATCTTCTGCCTTTGGAATCCAAAAAAAAAAAAAGCCTCTGCAGTTCTGTCAAGGATTTGTTTTCTATTTCTTGCATACGGATTTTGTCATTTCCCATCCCTCTCAAGCCATCGTTTAAACTGAATTCATAAGAGTTATATGTTCCCATCGAACTACACCAAGTTGAATGGTTATTGTATTCTATTGTAAAATATATTTTGATAATCATTTTCTAGCATCTCTCACCTGTTAGTGTAGCAACCTGAAACACTCCCACTATAGGGGACTTATTACAGTTGAGAAGTATTCTGTAATATTGACATAGTAAAAAAGAAAGCAGGATCTAGGTCAGTTAATTTTGTTATTTCACAATTGCTTAAGCAATCAAGACATGCTAATTATTTCCTGTGGATTATGTTAATAATTCTGTAGTTGAACTGCATTTTGCAAAGGACTTTCATAAACACTGTAAGTTTTCTTGTATATTTTCAGTATGATGTTGGATACATACAGATAGTAAAAAGGTTACTATAATTAGGAGCAAATTAACATACCCATCATCTCACTTTCATTTTTGTGGCAGGAACAGCTAAAATGTACTCAATATTGGCATGATTCCCAAATACAGTGCAATTTTATTACCTGTAGTCCTCATGTTGGATATGAGATCTCTAAACTTGTTCTTCCTCATCTGTTGTTTTGTATCCTCTTGATTTATTTTACATCTTCCCATTTCCTCCCTACCCCACAAATTTCTTTATCCATTTATCTGTTGATGGAAACTTAGGTTGTTTCCGTATCTTGGCGATTGCTAATAATGCTGCAATGAACGGGAGTGCAAATATCTTTACGAGGTGTTGATTTCACTTCCTTTGGGTATATGCCCACAAGAAGGACTGCTGGGTCTTATGGTAGTTCTATTTTTAATTTATTTAGAAACCTCCAGACAGTTTTCCATCATGGCTCTAGCAATCTACATTCCCACCAACAGTGTGTGAGAGTTTTCTTTGTTATCCTCACCAACATTTGGTATCTTTTGATTGTTTTTAATAGCTATCCTAATGGGTGTGGGGTATCTTGACTTACATTTCCCTGAAAATTAATGAGATTGAGCATCTTTTCATATACCTCTTGGCCATCTTTATGTCTTCCTTGGAGAAATGTCTATTCAGGTCTTTTGCCCATATTTAAATCAGGTATTTCATGATTCTACTACTGAGTTGTATGAGTTCTGTACAAATTTTGTATATTAACCCTGAGGAGATTTTGTATCACCTGTCTTTACAGATGAGGACACAAGGCCTTGGGGAGGGGGCCCATAAATTATCTAAAATCACTCTGCTAATAAATGGTAAGGGATAGAACTTTTTTGGAAGATTGTGTGTGAGTAAGTAGGTTGGCTGTATGTACAAGGCAGTTTTAAAAGAAATCTGTCAATGTTATATTTCAAGAGGGGATAACATAGAAAGTCTTTCAGCCTTGAATCAGGCAAGCTTTAAATGTTCATCCATTTTAAGATTAAAAATAGATATGCAGGCTTGGTCCTTGAATTCTATCCCTAAAAACTATGGATGCCTAAGAGAAAGTTAATTGTTGCATAGGTTGGAGACTGTGAGAAATATGATTATGATGTACACCACGTATCCTAATCAATCAGCTCCAATGGCAAACTGTAGTTTTCCTGTAGTATATAGGTTTCTACGGGCATTTTCCTGAGGATGCCTAGCTACTATCATTGAAGTCAGAAATAATTCTGAATAATGTTCAAAACAAAGAAGGCTTTGTTTAATCTTACATTGTTGCATTAGAAATGAGCCAACGTCCAATGAGACTTATCACCCTTTCAAGTTTCAATATAGCTTATTGCCAAGTACATTTTTATTTTTAAAGCTCAGCATAAGGGGAAACAGATTAGCAACTGGGTTTAGTCTATACAAAAGAAGTCTGTAACTGTCGTGGGTTTTAATAGGTTTTGTCCAAGGACACAGATATTAAAGACATAAGGTAATGAACAGGGCATCTAAATGTAACAAATATGCACAGATTAAGCATAGGATTTATGAGTGGATGTGATCCTGGGTAAATTAATCTGAACCTTAATTTCCAGATCTGAAAAGTGGGAATAAAAACTACTTACTTTAAAGAAATACTATGATGATAACATGAATAGTAAATTAACTAGCTTAAAGGCTACCAAAGGGATTTGAGTTATGGTAGAAGAAAGGTAGAAAAATGGTTCATCTTGAAAGTCTAAGAAAAATAAATGCTGCTTCTTAATTCAGCAGGCACACTGGTCTCATGACTGTTTTGCTTACAAGTATATTTATAGGTCAAAGATATCTGGGCATCTATATCCGTACTTTGTGAGTTAGGAAGCAGTGACTTTTGGGCTCCTTACAGAATTATGACCTGGTAAAGGTATAGCAGTAATAATACAACAAACAAAAAGAACTCAGAGATATCAATCTTTAGGAAAAACTGTGCAATGATGAAACTCTCCATCTCAGAACTGAGAGGTCAGTTGTATATGATTCTAATCTAGCCTTCTGAGGCCTCAGAGAGACACTGAGATGCCATGTTCCTATATCCTCAGTGTCTGCAGAACATGTATCCACTTATTTGGTCCAGTCTCCCTCCAGCCTCCCCATACAAATGAGCTGCTGGGTAGATGCTTTATGGTGATTGCCCTCTGTTAAGTGACAATAACAAAATACTGATTCATCCAACAAATGAACGTTTTAACAACCCTAAGTGCCTCCAATTTCCACATGCCAAACAGAATAGACCCTATTGCCAGCTAATTTGAAAATTTACACTCCAGCTTTTAGTTTAAGATTCTCAACTTTGTTGCCATTCCATCATACAGAAGCAGTCTTGGTATCCTGAAGCTGGAGCAAAATGCGACAAAGTGAAGAAGTTCCTACTGACTGGGCACACAGTCAAATGCATGTCACCAAGACTGGGGGTTCAGTCACATGCTGTTCTTCCTTGATTAAAAAACTCATTAATCTGACTATCATAAAGGCAGATCCTCACTGTTTTTTGTTTTTACCTCATGGGTTCACATGTCCACACAGTAACTTTTATAGACCCAGCTAATTCCGAAACTTAAGTATCCACAAGATCTAAGCAGAAACATTTAAGTCTGTTTTATAAACTTGCTCACCCTTCTGTATAGTTTAGAGACTGAAATAGAGAAGGACTAAGGGAGGGAAAAGTAGTAGCAGCTCAGTCCTAAAGACCTTTAAGTGGGAACAAAATAGCCTATCCCTGCAGTAGACCTGACTTGCCTATGGAGTGGGAAAAAAAAATTCACTATTAGTACTTTTGATACAATATTTTGGGGTAAGACATACAGTAAAATGATTATATAAGCATGGTCTCTGGAGACAGATGACTCAGGTTAAAATCCTGGCTCCAGTTACTTGTGTGTGCTCTCTTGAGCAAGTTTGTTCTCAGTTTTCTCAGCTATTACATGAGATAATAATAGTATGTATGTCTTAAAATTGTTGAGAATTAAACAAGTTAATGCATGTAAACACAGTTACATACTCAGTACCTGTAAGCTACAATTATTTACTTTTCAAAAGTGACATACAGCAGGGAAGAGGTTGGTGTAGTCATATATTAATGAGGTTACTAAAAACATTTTCAAAACCTTCTACCACACCGCCACAGACAGTACAATTGAAGGGTGATATCAATAGCATCAGAGACTCAAGTAATGGAACTGATAGGGACAGTATTGTGAGACTATGAAAGGAATCTCCACAGACTTCAAGATGAGAATTTAAAAATTTTAAATTCCCTCCCTAGCATATATGGATACTATAGCCCTATGGCAAAGTATCAAAGTAATTTATGCTTGTAGCCTCATGGGCTCATTAATATATAGCAGATGTGCTTTACTTACCAAGCTCTGGTTGTCTGGCAGCATGACAATGATCTGTGCGTTATGATCCCAAATCATTCGCCAGAAATCTTTCGTAGTATGTGGCAGAGGATGCTGAGTTATAATAAATTCATTGCTCCTATAATAGCCCTTCAGTTGGGAAGACAAAAAAAATCAGTGAATATGAGTGTTTTATTCTAACTTTGTGGTAGTAAAATATATTCATGAAATAAGATAGCACTGTTTTGACTACACTAAAATAATTGAGAAAGGCATTCGGTACATTTGGCTAATTTTTAGATGTACTTCTGCTAGCACTGTGCAGACAATTTTCTCTCCATGTGCAGTTCACTTCTAGTTAACCCTGCTGTTTTCACTTAAGGGAAATTTCAACATTTATTCAAAGACTAGATGTGTGAAATTAACAATAAAATTAATTCCTTAAGAAGCATTCTGCTTAATTTAAGCATTTTTGTACCAGCACTGATTAGGTATCTTTTGTTAAAAGTTTCAAGATACAGAAATCTCTATACTTTTCATATTACACATTGAGAAATTATTTCAAAAATGACATCAGTCACACAGGTGGTATCTGCTCTTTAACACCTTTCAGTTTAGTTGACTTTATTTATAATTAACTGTTGACTCTCACCATGATATAAGAAGCATTAATGTAATCTGTTCCTTTCATTCCAGGCAATGGTGCAAGACCCACTCGAGCACGCTCAGCTATCATATGGAAAAAACAAAAACACCACATTTGCCTTATTATACACACAGAACCAACAGCTCTTTCTGAGATTTGCTTGATGAATAACATATCCTCCTGGCTTCCCTTTCTAAGACTTATCTATATTTTTAAACAAGCTAAAGTGTTATCAGCTGAGGCAGAATGTAAAATGAAATTTTGCTGCACATACCCAGAAGGACACAGGCATTGTAGGAATACAGTTTTACTGTGGGAGAGATTTTTACAGCAGATCAATAACAGAATACTTTATATGGACACAACAGAGGATTTTAGATAACTTTTGACTCTAGTTTGTTATTCCTACAATTATACCAACATATACTTTGTCCTTTTACCAACCCCTTTCTCCATGTCTTTCTGCTCATGATGGTCTTAGAAAAGAGTGGCCTTTTTCATTAGAGATAAATCTCCCAAATGATCACCCATGTCTATGCCTACAGCACACAGACAGCATCCTCTGCAATGTCCTTAGCTATTTATACAAAGGTCACCACCAATCAACAGTGCCTTGATCTCAATAGCCACAGTAACTGAATAAGGTAGTTCTAGTTGTACAGATTAATCCAGGATTCTAAGTTTTAGAGGAATGTTAATGCCACAGCAATAACAGCTTTATTATTATTTTTTATGTTATAATATGGTAGAAGTAACCCAATTCTTGCATTCCAAGGTGAAATGAAGCTGTATTCTACGTCAGATAGATGGAGCACTTGCTGACACTGACAACCACCTCTCCCAGTTTCATTAAACTACCTTAGTTGAATAAGCATAACATTTTCCCTTTTGGTAGTACCAGGTAAGAGGCTGGTATAAAGTCATACATTAATGAGGTTACTAAAAGGACATTTTCAAAACCTTCTACCATACGGCCACGTACAGTACAATTGAAGGGTGCTATCAATAGCATCAGAGTAGTGGCTGCCTCTGTACCTAACATACAATCCAGTATAAAAGATCACTAACAAACTGTTTTAAAGTCTTACATGGCACAACTGAAGAGTTTCTGTTCTTTTCTTTGTTACACTCTTTCTGAGCACTGAAACATTCCACATATTTTGCATTACACTGTGTGACCAGCTGAAAAAGAAAAAACATTTTAGTCTTCATTCAAAGATATAATTGATAGCATTTGCTTGATGCTTTGGCAAAAATCCCAATCAGATTACTGATAAACAAGACCATTTCTGTGCCACAAAGAACCTTTTAAGACACAGGGTCTTGCTCTCTTGCCCAGGCTGGAGTGCAGTGGCATGATTGTAGCTCAGTTAACTGTGATCCTCCCACCTCAGCCTCCTGAGTAGTTAGGACCACAGGTGCATCAGCACAACCAGCTAATTTTTAAAATTGTTTATAGAATTGGGGTCTTCCTGTGTTTCCCAGGCTGCTCTGGGATTACAGGTGTAATCTACCATGCCCAGCCCCAGAGAACACTCTTGTGCTTTCCTAGTGGTACTTCTCTCAGTGACCTTGATTGTATCTTTCTTATTTCTACTATCAGGTAGAAATAGGTACTGTGTGCAATAGATATTTCTAGAACTATGTGGATTCTTCTGTTATGTGATGTCACTGCTGCTGTGAATTTTTTTCTGTGATCCTCACTGGCATAAAAGACCTACGTGAGTCTACATTAAAAAAGATTGCTTAATGCTATTGATTACGAGCTAATCAAGTTTCTTGAAGATAAAGGAGTACTTAACTAGTTCTCAGTACATTTCTGTTGAACTGAACTAACATTGTTCTAAGGCTTTTATAAGTAACCAGCCCAGTAGTTTGATTATTATTCCTGTTTATGTAGCTTGGTTGAACCATTTTGTCAATCCTATTTTTTGGGGGCTGGCATCCATCCTAATGGAGTATATGAGATCAGTGTTCTTCTCCAGATGCTTTAGTAAAACTCATGGTCCCTGGATATAATTTTCATTTTCAAGTTTGATTCTTGTTTTTTTCTTCATCTTGAGCTCTAAAATGGTTAGTGCCTGTAAAAGAACCAACTACCTGGTCGCATTTCTTAAATGAAGTTTTAAAGTATGTATAAAAAAAAATTGAAGAAACGAAAAAGGCAGAATTTAAGAAATGTTGGTACTTAATATTTTGTAAGAACTCATGTTAAACATTTAAAATGATACACTGTGTCCTCATTATTAATTATCTCATGGTTTTATAGTAGAATGTTAATGGGGAGCTAAAAATTTTTAATTTTATGACTGAACTCAGTGAAATTAAACTATTTTTCATTTCATATCACTTGGTATAATTTGCTTGGCAGTCTCATTTCTTCAGCTGAGATTCAAATGAAAGTTTCAGTCTATGGAAAGTTTTACCATGAAAACTAAAACTGTAGATTCATCTCATTCTTTGAATCTTGATACAAAGGGAGAAACTATTTACATACAGAACAATGTGCAAAATAGAATTTAAAAGACAAAGATAAATAGGAAAGCACTTGGTAACTGGAGAGACAGGCGATGTTTGAAAGTTAGAAGCAATTTTGATTTATTATCAGATGACTGAGCCCTAATTATTTTAATAGTCCTTATAATCTCTCTTTTTCACCTTCACTTCAGTCAATTCCATATAAACCTTAACCGCTTTTAAGCTTCTTCATGTCCCTATCAAAGAAAAAGAACAACCATTTAGGAAAAGTTAACTTTTCTCTAGTATTGTTTAGTAATTCTTTTTAAATTCCTAAATTATCTTCTGAAATAGTTTTTGAAATAGGCATATTTTTAGGACAATATGTCTACAAGTCATCATTCTTAATAATTAAGGTAAGATAGATTAGTTCAGAAAAAATAGGACATTTTTTGGACTAAACGAGTTACTTTAAAGTACTATGTCATTATGGCCAGGGGCTGATGTTTATATTCAGATAAAGTCATAAATTGCTCAGAAGAAAATACAACACTGTATATCTACTTGAATACCAACAATTCATACATAGGTCAAAACCGTATTTTCTTTTTCATCACATTTAAGGAGTACAAGGAGTACAAATAGTAATCCATTTCGGTGTATACATTAATGCAAAGAAGACATAACCCCCAAACTCAAGGCATTTAAAACATTTTCTTGCTTTATGCCAAAGAAACTTTTTCAAAGCACTACCTTGAATTGCTTTTCCAGTCGTGTCTTTCCTCCTACTCCTGGTATAAGGATGCTGTTAACATAGCTGTGCAGCTGATTTGAAGATACTTCAGTCTCCTTTCCAAGAATGGCTTCCAACAAGGCATCATGGATGAAAATGTACTGCTCCTAAGAGGTACAATACATGGTAGTCACTGAGGGAGTGTTAAGGGTTAGCCACTCATTCATGAAGTGTACCTTAGTTTAATTCTGCTGCTAACAGGGACCTCCCAGTGATTTCCTTCAAGCACTTACAGCTAGGTGATTTGCTCCAATACTCACTTTATCAGTCTTAACTTATTTTACGGTAGAGACTGTGTTAAGTTTAGCTCTGTATTCTATACTGTGCCTGGATCACGGTATTCTATACTGTGCTTATTGCTTCAACTCAATAAGCAAACAAAAAATCGTGTTCAATGAAGGGTTTTAGAACCATCCTCTCCTATGTATTTCTCAGGCCAGACAACATGTTTAACTCCCCCTACCATCTAACACAGCTCTTGAAACAACTGTATCTCTTTCGTAAGTACTTGTGTAGTTATTTAGGAATCCAAATGTTAAGATCCATACAGAAATGGAAAACTGTGATCCGTAGAATAGGATCATTGTCAGAATATCTTCTAATACAAACCTGTAAATTACTGCAAGCCCTAAAAGAATGAATCTGTCTCTTCATTATCATTTAACAAATTTCAGTTACAGCATTTGCCAGAATGTCGTGAGGACGCTGGCAGCTACTCCTTACCTCAGTCTGGACGAGGTAGTTACGCTGTGTCCTGATATGCTTCAGGAATCCCAGGACGTTAACTGTGCTTTTGTCTTTTATCTGTTGCAGCATGCTGTCTATTACAATATAGGTGCCTGTTCTGCCCACACCAGCACTGTAAGAAATGAAGACACTCAACTGGCACTTTTGTTTTATCATACTGTTAACTTTGGATTCGAAAAATTCCAATCTAAACCCCATTTATTTTATTATTTTTCTGAGATGAGATGGAGTTTCACTCTGTTGCCCAGGCTGGAGTGCAGTGGCGCAATCTCGGTTCACTGCAACCTCCGCCTCCCAGTTCAAGCAATTCTCGAGCCTCAGCCTACCGAGTAGCTGGGATTACAGATGTGTACCACTACACCCGACTAATTTTTTATCTTTAGTAGAGGTTTCACCGTGTTGGCCAGACTGGTATCGAACTCCTGACCTCAGGTGATCTGCCCACTTTGGCCTCCCAAACTGCTGGAATTACATGTGTGAGCCACCACTCCCAGCCTAAACCCCACTTAGATAACCTTAGATGACGTACGTTATTCACTTAGCATTGCAACATAAATCACAGAACAAGCGACATGTATTTGAGTACCAAAGTTTAAAACAAACAAAAAAGAGGCAAGAATGCATTTTCAAATGAAACAGAATAAAAGCATTTTTAAACAACCAACTAAAGTCATTTACTGTGGCTGACAAAAAACAAGCTTTATACAAGGATTTCCCAGTGCTTTTGAAAAGGTATTTTATATGGAACATTTAAACTAAAAATTTAAAAATGAAATATTTTCATATATACTATAAATATTGTTATTTAGAAGAACCTTTCAGAAAAGCCATTTACAAAAACACAATCTCTATTCTAGTGTGGAAAGTTCTTGTGTTTAACGTCATATTTTTATTTATTAGGATCAGGCTACAATTTTCCTATAAACAATGGGGATTTTGTAATTTTTTCTTTTTTTTTTTGAGTCATGATCTTGCTCTATCATCACCCAGGCTGGAGTGCAGTTATGTGAACACAGCCCACTGCAGCCTTGACCTACTGGGTTCAAGGGATCCTTCTGTCTCAGCCTCCCATGTAGCTGGGACCACAGGCATGTGCCACCATGCTGGCTAATTTTTTTATTTTTAATTTTTGTAGAAATGGGGTGTCACTTTGTTGCCCAGGCTGGTCTCAAACTCCTGGGCTCAAGTGATCCACCCACCTCAGCCTCCCAAAGTGCTGGGATTACAGGAGTTGGCCTCCATGCCTGGCTGATATTATTAATAAGAAGATTTTATAAAAACTAGGGATTGATCTAGTTTTTTAAAAATCACAGAAGCAGCAGATGATTTCTTAATGTTACAGGAATAGAGCCTCTTTAAGACTATCATAGGTCTTATCCATCCCAGTTTCCAGTGGAAGATTCAGCTTCTAAGTGAAAGCAGTAGCAATCATTGTGGTCCAAGGTCACTGAGGCCTAAGTCCCCTGCCCCATCTATTTCACATGTTGAATCCTAGACCCTACCTGCAGTGCACCAACACAGGGCCCGTTTCTGGCATCCGAGCTGCTGAGGATCTCCTCACGAAAGTCAGTACTGGAAGGGCATACTCGGGAACTCCCATGTCAGGCCACTGTGTATAGTGATACTGGATCACTACCCTTTCATTCTGACGACCCTTGGGATTTCCCTTCTGACCCTGTGAGAAAAGTGAAAAAAGATGTCTTTAAGCGGGGGGGTGGACATTCTGGAAAAAAATAATGTAAGGGTGTCAGGACACATGACCACTGATCACATTCACCCTAATCACTGTTCCCAGGCTAGGTTATTCCCCCTTGTAGCCAACTTTCATGCCATTAAATTGGAGACATTACCAAGCTGGATATGAAGTGTCACTATCACTTAGAAGAGAAGACTGTTTAAGATTGTACTAAGAATGAACATTTAGTATCAGTTTTTTTTGGATTTGGAACTATCCAAAGCACTTGTACTTTTCCTGCAAGGCCTCCATTTCCTGACTTTCTGCCCCAAGTCCAGATCTTAGTACTTTGCTTTCATGTCTCTGTGGGCTGTGATTCCCATTCCTTCTCCACTGTCCAGGCTGGACCTTTAGGAGCCAGAGTGCTTGTTGCTGCTGTAAACTATCCAGGAAGTGATGGGAAGATTTTAAATGTCAAATACTTCTGTCTTTAGAGTCAGAGGCAATGTCTCATTTACCTGTCACTTTCATAAATGACTTTTTCAGAGTAGTTTTCCTTTAAGTGTCTGAACTTTTTACATTTTAACTACTTTAGATGAAATATTCCCCAAATAGATTATTTGCTATGATACGATTTCTTATTATCAATACCTAATTTCTAAATTTTTTTTGGATGACTCAGGGTCATTAACACTGAAGCTTGAAGTGTGTCTGGTCCTGTGCTATTGTACAAAGGCCCATGATGGCTTTAATTTAATTCTTCTGTTAACTCTCATTTTTCTACTTTTTCCTATTAGTATGTAAAACACCTAAAGTTCCTATTTGACTTCTTCCTCTGACTTAAGCTGTTTCTAAAACAAGAGTAAGTGGGCCCTGTTTAAATACCTGAAATATTCTCATCAGTTGGGCTTTGTAAGTTTTTTGCTGGTTATTGATCATCTTGAGCCAGCCAGCAGCTCTATTTCATAGTAGAGAACACAGATGTATTGCTATGCTACTGATATTCATGTTATTTCTGCCATTTTGGGAAATAAACATACATAGAAAGGATAGTTAACCTGGGATCACAGATGGGCTTTGGAGCCACTGAAATTTTACATAAAAATGTGAGTAAGTGTGAATATAAATGGGGCAAGGAGGCTACAGTTTTATCACATTTTCCAAAATGTCCAAGACACCAAGAAAAAAAAAAAATTATCCCATTGCTGCAAACAACTGCCATACCTAAGTTCTGTGGAATAACTACATTTTTTAATGAGCGTCTATTTACAGTTCTTAATACAGTATTTCCTCCTTATCTGCAGTTTCACATTCCCGAGGTCAACCACAGTCCAAAAATATTACAGTATTTTAAGAGAAACAGTATATATTCATATAACTTTTATTATAGAATATTATTGTTCTATTTCAGTATTGTTACTCTCTTGCTGTGCCTAATTGATAAATTAAATTTTATCATAGATATGTATGTATAGGAAAAGACATTGTTATAAATAGGCTTCAGTACTACCTGAGGTTTCAAGCATCCACCGGGGGTCTTGAAACATACCTTCCACAATTAAGGGGAGACTGTGTACTGCTGTGATGATTGATCTAGGATATTTGTTGTGACAGTGGATTTTGAAAAAGAAACTGAGATAACCTGAAAACAGTATTTCCACAAAAATGTGATTCCTAGGGTATTAGTAGTTCTATAGAGAAGGGTATTATTGTTAACACCAGTGCTCTGGTCACTTATGTTCACTGTAAATTTCTAAAATGCTGGGGGGATATATATTATGTAGCATTCATTTCCCATTCTTGAACAGCAGAATCTGATGTTTACAAGAATCTTACAGGACAAGTATTCCTTGGAACATACTTTGGGAAACAATGCTTTATATCTGTCAGAAAATTGGAATAAAAAAGCTAAATCAAACAGATGCTGCCATATTTGCTGAGTATTACCAAAACCTAAGAGGATGATTTTTTAAAAAATGAAGCCTGTTCATGTAGAGATTAAAGGCTCAATCAGGCCAGTTAAATTCTATTAGATGCTTTGCCAATACCTTTCACACCATACACTGATGTCAATCAAAAGAGTTATGAAAAAATGTTTTAAAAATACTTTTTAAAAACCAAGTTGGTTATGAGATTTGGCCTTGGTTGTACAGTAATTTTCATACAAGTATAAAAAGGGGATGCCCTGGCAGCCTACCCAATTCCTTCCATACCTTTTTCACTTTTGTATTTCTGATTGAAAAACGACGAACAGTGTAGCAGGCATGTATTTTTGTGCTCTTCAGCGTGACAATAATGTTTCCATATTCCTCACTGTTCTCTGTTGGCCAATACTGATCACATTTTCGCTGCAGAAAGAAAAAAGTTGTAAAGTATAACTGCAATCTATGCCACAATTCTGTTGATAATGTAATTTCAAACGACAATGTTAAAACACAGGTGAGATTGCCATTTAGTTGACTGAAAAAGGAATACGTGAGTTTAACTGCTTAAAGGCAGGTGTGACCTCTGACAAGGCTGATGGCTTGGGATAAGTTTGTGTGAGACCATGTGAGAAATGGGCCTAGTATTTATGGTCACCTTTCAATATATAATGCATTTTTATTTTTGCATTATAATGCATTTTTAAAAGGGACTAAGAAAGAAACCTCTATGTCTGACCTGTAAGAAATGTGGGTAAGGTTTGTTATAAAGGGAGCTTAAGTATCATTTGGAAGGCCGGGTTGGATTCATGGAAGGTTCTCTTCTAACTGTGAGACTCTTCTTATTGTAACTTGGATCATCAAAAGTAAAACAGTGACTCCACAACATGAAGCAGTGGTGATTTTGAGCAGGGAACCTGAAGCGTAGGTTCTTTTATTTATTTTTATTTTTGTTTGTTTTTAATTTTTAGTTTTAGTTTTGGGGTACATGTGCAAGATTTGCAGGTTTGTTACATAGGGAATCATGTGCCATAGTGGTTTGATGCACCTATCAACCCAGTGTGGTGATTCCTTGAAGTGTAGCTTTTATTCCAGCCTAAATTAGCATCATCTAATGTAAACTCATAATCCAATAAATTCTACAGCACTAATCATTTTTTTAAAAGGTCCTCTTAATGATGGTTAAACTGTTTAGGCAATTTTTGCTTCCCCCAATCTTAACTATTAGTAGTTCCTTGTCTACACCACGCTTCTTTCAATTTCCCTGTTTACTGTTGTCTGTCCCCTGTACTTAGAACACCCTTTCCTTCTCTTTTTAGCCTGTGTAATTCCTCGTAATCATTGTTCAAGTCTCAAGTATTTGCTCCTTTAAAAAATCTCTGTACAGAGGAATGTACAGAGGATACATTGATTCATTTTGCAGCATTCCACTGATACCCTGTTCATCTCTGTCATCACATTTACTCTCATAATGCCTTAGCTCTCTTTCCTTCTGAATCATAAGCAAGATAAAGCAGAGAGAACACTTTTCATTTCCGTAACTCTTTATACCTTGTCAAGTTCCTACCCTAAAGCAGGTACTCCACAAGTATCTTTTGAATGAAGGTGCATTATTAAGATAGTGAGTCAAAAGGCTCTTACTCTTCCTTTTTCCACAAGGTTCGTAATCATCACAATGATTCCAGTGTTTTGTTCCCAAATCATCCTCCAGAAATCTTCAAATGTAGACTTCAAAGGTCCTTGGGTGGCAATGTAGGCTTTTGCTTTGTTGTAACCCTTCAAAATGACACAGCACAAAGTGAGATGAAAGCAGTTATCACAGAAGACCAGTCAATAATTCAAATGCCTTCCATATTGAATGGGCTTTGTTTTTAGTGAAAGCTCTGTACAGTATTAAAATATATTAAACAGTTTCTGCTGCAGTCTTCAATTTCTAGAAACAGGTTTATAATAACAGTTCTGACTTACATCAACATAGTTTGCATTAATGTAGTCGCTGTGCTTAGAGTCTTTTCCTGGTAAAGGTCTTAACTTCACCCTACTGTGATCATCTATAGAAGATAAGAAAAAAAAACAGAAATAAAATGGATAATTCAGAAACTAGCACCATTCTAAAGCACAACACAAGGCAATCAGGTAACATGACATCTCCCAAGGTAGTCTGAGAAAACTTTTGGCAGAACAACTAAATAGAGCATTCAAACCCATCCCAAAATACAGAGCCACTCCTACATCTCCTGCTCTCAGGATGCAAACTCATGTAAAACTATTACAAATTGTAGTCCTCTGTATTTTAAAGCCAAGTTCAAAGGTATTTGCTTGTTCTGTATTTTAAAGCCAAGTTCAAAGGGCTTTGATTATGCCCTATGCCCCTGTTCCCTCCCCATTAATACAAATATAAAAGGGTGACTGATCTGTCAAGTCCAAAACATCTATTAATATTTTCAGGCAATTCCATTGCTAATTCACTTGGATTCCCTGCTACCCTAACAGAACCTAAGGAATTGAGGAAACCAGAGCTTTTGTTAAGAGTAATCTCATTACAGGAATCTGAAGTTAATGTTCAGATTTTAGGATCCACTTAACCTCAGTTAATGAACAAAAGTTGGGGGTAGGTGATGCATGACATGTGTATCTAGTTGCCCAGCAGATTGTGCCTGTTTTTTTTAGGATAGCAAAATAAGTAAAAGGAAGCTGAGGTTATAATTTTATTTTCCCTAGGTAGAAACAGAATGGGCAAAACCCAATTTATGTTTCTGTTTATAGTCATTATCATAAAAGGCTAGTTGAAAAAGAAGTCCAATGAGTGGATCAGCATAGGCATTACTGACCTCAGAATATACCAAGCAATTTTTGAGAGCCCTCTATGTTTTTGGAACTGTGAACTGTTTTTGTTGTTCTGACAAACTTTCAGTTTACAGTTGACATGAAACAGGTGTTGCTTGATATAAATAGGCCCCAAAGGAAAAATTTCTCCTAAGGCATCTGGATCCAAACCGTTATGCCTTAGTAGTCATTAATTGCATATTGTTATTTCTTAGACTGACAAATAAGACATTAATAGATCAATTTGGGAGGTGATTTGGTAACATCCACATATACCTTGAAAGTTGTGATGAATCTGAGAGAAGGTTTTTCATACATCATGTTTCTGGCTCATTCACGGTCTGATTTTACTTGTTTCTATGCTATTCTTTGCTATGAAAAGGCATTAATATAGAGGGTAGATGAAGGCAGGCAATGTGCCCAGAATCTGAGTGGCCAAGAGAACACCAAAACCTAACTCCCTGAATGTTTAAAAATAAAATTACATCTAATTTGAAATTGTGAAAGTAAAATCACAAATGAAGTTGTGAAAGTGCAATTCACATTTAACCAGAGATGATGGTTTTCTAGCAAAACACCATGACCTTTGGGCACATCACACATTAGTTGCTTTGATTTTCTCCTCCTTTTTTTGCCACAATACTTTTAGCAAGGCAGTAAGTGATGTTTGACATTAGAGAAGTAAAGGATGCTCTGGTGGAGAGAATGGTGTGTGTGTGTGTGTGTGTGTGTGTGTGTATATAAGGCACAGATGTATACGTGTGTGTGTGTGTGTGTGTGTGTGTGTATGTATGTATGTATATATAAGGCACAGATGTATACATATCCTTGCCTGATTTCTCTGGTTAGAAAGGAGGTGTATCTGGATAGAGAAATCCTCATAGTCACAGCAGTGGTGAGCCTTGATTGAGCTGGCCAACAAATACTGCCAAAGTCAATCCAAAGACTAGGGAGAGGTTTGACTTTCTTCCTTGTTCTCCCCCTGGCTTTTTTAACCAGTTCATTTTCTCAGAAAAGTAGAACAAACAATCCTATTCAAAAGTAACTTGGAGTTTTTGTAACATTTTATTTAGAAATAAAACTACCTTTGTTTATAGAGGACATCATGTATACAGAAATTCAAGGAATCAAGAAAAAACTACTAGAAAAGACGGATTCAGCAAGGTTGTAGGATACAACCTACAAATGTATTTATATAAACTAGCAATGAGCAATCCAAAAATAAAACTAAGTAAACAATTTCATTTACATTAGGATCAAATGGAATAAAATACTTAGGAATAAATTTAACAAAAGCAGTACAGTAGTACAATTCAGAAACAATTGTTGAAAGAATAGCCAAAACAATCTTGAAAAAGGAACAAATTTAGAGAACTCACATTAAGAAAGTGAAAAGACAATGCACAGAATGAGAAAATATTTGCAAACTGTATATTCAATAAATGATCTGTATCCAGAATATATAAAGAACTCTTACAACTCAACAAAAGACAAAAGTAAGCCAGTTAAAAAATGGTAAAGGATCTGATTAGACATTTCTCCAAACAAGTTATACAAATGGCCAATAAGCACGAAAAGATGCTCAACATCACTAATAATTGGGGACATGCAAATCGAAACTACAATAGGATACCACTTCATACCGGTTAGGAAGGCTGTTTTTTTTTTTTTTTTAAATAGTAAGAGTTGGTGAGGATGTGGAAACACTGGACCCTTTATATATTGTTGGTGGGAACGTAAAATGAATAGCCACTTTGGAAAAGAGTTTGATAGTTCCTCAAAATTTTAAACATAGAATTACCATATAATCTAGCAAATTCTACTCCTACGTATACACCAAAGAGAAGTGAAAATATCTGTCTACATAAAGACTTGTACATGAATGCTCATAGCGGTATTCATACTAGCTGAGAAGCGGAAAAGAAACAATGTCCATCAAATGATGAATGAATAGACAAAATGCTGTATATCCACACATTAGAGTATTATTCAGCCATAAAAAGGAATGAAGTATTGATATATGGTACAACATGGATGAGTGTTGAAATCATTGCGCTAAATTAAAGAAGCCAGACACAAAAGGTCACATATAGTATGAATCTGTTTATATGAAATGTCCAGAATATGCAAAACCACAGAGACAGAAGGTAGATACAGGGTTTCTAAGTGCTGGAGAGAAGGAGGAATTGGGAGTGCCTGCTAACAGGTTTCTTGCTGAGGTGCAAAAACTGTTCTAAAATTAGATTGTGGTGATGATCGTACAACTCCGTGAATATACTAAAACCCCAGAGTTGTATACCCTAGGAAATTTTTTTTTTTTTGGAGACAAGGTCTTGCTCTGTTCCCCAGGCTTGAGTGCAGTGGCACAATCTTGGTTCACAACAACCTCCCCCTCCTGGGTTCAAGTGATTCGTGTGCCTCTCCATTAGCTGGGACTACAGGCGCATGCCACCACATCCCATTAACTTCAGAATTTTTTTTTTTTTTTTCAGATGGAGTCTCACTCTGTCACCCAGGATGGAGTACAGTGGCGTGATCTCGGCTCACTGCAAGCTCCGCCTCCTGGGTTCATGCCATTCTCCTGCCTTAGCCTCCCGAGTAGCTGGGACTACAGGCGCCTGCCACCACGCCCGGCTAATTTTTGTATTTTTAGTAGAGACAGGGTTTCACCGCATTAGCCAGGATGGTCTCGATCTCCTGACCTCGTGATCCGCCCGCCTCAGCCTCCCAAAGTGCTGGGATTACAGGCGTGAGTCACTGTGCCCAGCCAAGTTTAGTATTTTTTGTAGAGACAGAGTTTCACCATGTTGGCCAGGCTGGTCTTGCACTCATGGCCTCAAGTGATCCACCTGCCTCGGCCTCCGAAAGTGCTGGGATTACAGGCGTAAGCCACTGTGCCTGGCCTTAAATGGGTAAATTTCATATGGTATATGAATTATATTTCACTAAAACTTTAAGAAAACATTATACAGTACTGTTCAAATTTTAAGTGGTCCAATTTAAATGCACTATTGTATACAATTCTATGTAATGTCCTTACCATGGTATATGTTAACTATAAATATCTATGCCCCTACCCTTAGTATCAAAGCATATATTATATGCCAGTGAGCCAAGCCCCACATGTCTGTGAAATGTGGTCTTCTAGCCATAGAAGTAGCTTGTGCTCCTAGGGTATTCCTTGAGGCTCTGTATGAAGAATGTCCATTTGTTTGAGTCCCTAACCTACAGAATATTCCTGACCATGGAAATGTGATAGATAGGAGTAAGCACATGGACCAAAAGGCCTGGAGGCTCATCATTTAAGGTACAAGCCAATTATGTAGTCTTTGAAAGAATGCTTTGAAATTCAGCTTGCTTGATTCAATTCCCAATATTTTCATTTGTATTAAAAGATTTGGCCCTTACAGGTTAAAAACAATGTCAGTGTAACCAAGTGACATTCAAATTTTGGCTCCCAACATGTGATATGACATCACTTCATGTGAAAATAGCGAAGCTCCAAACATTTTCTTTCAGTCACCTTATTAAGCTCGCTGAGCCCTGACAGCCTAATGAAAGGCTAAGGGGGAAGAAAATGTCCCAACTTCTACACTGTTGAAGATGGGCTAATGAGAGGTTAGCTTGCAAGAATCATTCTTTCTTGGCATCCTGCTTCTGACTGCTTGGCTTTCAGCTTATACCCAGCATGAAAATTTAATTTCCTCGCAGTTGAAGGTAGTTTAAAGCTTATTACTCACATGCTAAAATGTTGATGTATCTGTTTTTGTGCTTGTTTTCTGGATGATTGGAATGCTCTGCAGTGATGTTCATATCAGCAGTACAGCGCTGGACTTCCTAGTGAAGAAAACAGCAAGATTATAGACACAGTTTAGAAACAAAGGAACACCATATACATTTAAAGGCATAAAGTATTTACTCACTCCCTGGCCACAGCCACCGTTACCTTCTCAATCCCAACTTCGGATATAATTATTGATATATTTATAACGAGTTTATGAAGAATGTGAAAAAGGTATAAAGATTTCATTATTTACTATTTCATCAATCATCTACTTTTTTCTAGTTTTTGACCTAGTCCCTGAGATGTAAAACAATATCTCTTTTTGAATACATCATAGTCTATGGGTGAGAAAAATATTCAAAAAGATAGTCAAACATGATGAATACAAAAGAGGCCTGAGAAAGCTCTGATGGGAGCACAGAACAGAGGAAGGCTTTAGACAGGTGAAAAAATTTACCTAAGTCTTAAAGGAAGAAAGGGAATTTCTAAGAAGTATAATCTCTACCATGATTTGCAATATGCTTACAGGCCTTATAGCCTCATTTTATAATTGTGAGGGTGCATTGACTCTAAAGACTCAGTGCTGAAATAACCCTAATAACAGCCCAACTAATGGTCATATCTCATATATACAGTCTTGACAAATTATTTGTGAACTCTAGTATTTTAAAAGTTATCCTTCTTTGGAAAAATAGCAGTAGCAGAAATAACACTCTTATCCTACCTTGGCCGTGGATTTAAACGTCATCCATTAGCCTAATACAACGTTGCTGAAAAGCCAAATTTTTCTACACTATATGCTTCAAACCCAAGAAAGTACTGGAGCTGACTAATAAGGGAAGTCATTAGCAGTACACAGCTGCTACAAAGAGCCTGAACAAAGTAACACAAAATTATCAGGAGAAATGTTTTACACAGAACAGATGTAGCAGAGTTTAGAAGCATGCAGACTTTTTTTTTCCACAAAGGAGTTGCCTAGTAATTATGCATGTTTTCCATAGTATTTACATTAAACATAATGAAAACAATGAACTGGTTGTCTTTTATATTCACAAAGTACTTCCCCAGGGAGAAGTACACTTCTTCTCTAGAAGGAGGAAGTTACTGTACTCAAAGAATTTAAGGTATAAAAGCAAAGAATTTCTGTGTGTTCAAAGAAACAGTATTCAATGACTCTCCAATTGTTGGACACTGTAAATTGAAGTTTCCATAATTATAGTCCTTCCCAGCTGTCCATTTAAAAAAAAAAAAAAAAGCCCCACAGGCATTAATTCAATCCACCTTTCTGGGAAAGTGTGTTTAATGACAGTTCTTACCCTTTCCTTACTCTTACTAAACTCCAATATATTCTGTTCTAACATAGTTTATAACCTATGGTTTGGAAAACACTGGTTTAAGGAGCTTTAAGGCTGCCCTTTGGCTCTTCTCTAAAATGAGATAATAAAGTGTGATCACAAATCAGTCTACGTAAGAACATGAGCAATGCTAGCCAAACTTAGCACGTTGGGACCTGCCTTTTGAAACTGCCTTATAAGCTCTGAGCCATGCTCTTTTGAAGAGTTTCAAGGGCAGACAACTTTTGAAAATGGATTTGAAACAAGTTAGTCTTTTGTTTTCGGGTTTTGAAGGTCACACCTTTGGCATGTACTTCTTTAGGGTTGAGTTGTTCAGGTATCTTATGCTGAGAGATTTTGGCTTTTAGTACCTTAGTCTGAGATTTACTTTGTTTATTGATTTTTTTTTCCTGTTGTATAGATCTGACCACCCTAGCTATGGACTGAAGTTGGAGCCTCTTTTCTAATATAATGCAATTGACCAAGACTGCTTGGGAGCAGCTGTCAGTATTGTTTAAAGCTGTCATTCAATATGGCCAAACTCTTTGTTATCTAAAACCCCTTGTCTGATCTGTTGCCTCTGTTTCACTTTTCCAATTAGATGAATGACAGAAACAAAAAATCGTAATAAATATTGTCAAATCTGATTTTATTAGAACCCATGGGGTTTGCCTGAGGCCTTCTGATTTTGTCATGTAGATAATAATGTCATCTGTAATTCCTTGCAGTACTGCCTGGCTCATTTAGATGCTGATAATATCATCTGATCTGGGAGTGGCTTTTCTCTATCAGAACTGCCATTTCAAAGTTAACAGGATTTTAGTGTGTTAAAAACCCTTTAAAGAGACACTGGCCAATGGAGTATGCATTGTAAATTTACCTATTCAGAACTTGATAAATAGTTTAAGCTTGTTTATATTTTACTCCCTATGTAACAAAGCTAGAATTCTCAAAAAGAACAGTTTGAATCTTAACAGGCACATAAGCATAGGAGAAGGCCAACATAAAACAGGTGTAAAATAAAGCAAAAAATCGAAGACTGAACAAACCCTAAAAATTGATGTAACGAGAATTTTAGGGAGGTGATGTAGGCTAAATCACTTCCTACCTACAGTCATTGATGCAAGAGGCTATTTAAAGAGCACTTAAAGACCTACTGTCCTACTATACTGTGGCTCAATTCAAAAAAATAATGCAACAAAACTTCTAGAAATCTTTCAGATTGCTCAGTTCCAAAAAGGTAGCTGAGAATAAATTATTTGGATCTGGTTACCAAGTATTACACCAAGTAGGGGTAACATTCTTAGTGCCTGAGTTCAGGCAGCCTACAATTGTGGTAAAGAGACTGTTCTACAGATGACTGATGGGTTTAGGTCATGGTAGTGACCCAGTGCATGTACAGTGTCGGACACAGAACTGGCCTTTGACAGGTGCTGGTTACACTGCATCTTCCAGCCCCTACTCTCTCCTGCTCAGGGTATAAATTGCTGCCAGACTGATTTTCCTCAAACGTTGTGCTGACTTTGTTATTCCCTTCCTCAGAAACGTGTGGAGAGATTCCACATTCCCTTAGCCAGGCTTTCAAGGTCCCATCTTATCTTCCCCACCCTTCCCAATCCCAGACAATATTAACTCCATACCCTTTGAAAAGACCATTTGATTTCCTGCTTATTGCTTTATTGCCATTTACCTTGGTAAGAATGCCTGTTCTCTTCCTGTATCCAAATCCATGTATCTTTATCAAAATGACTGCATTTGCCCCCTAGAAAACTAACCTATCTTTGGAGAGTATAACACAGCATTATTATCCTGCAGCTGGTCTCTAGCATAAGAATTATTTTTCATGAAATCTGGCTATCTCCCTTTTATCTCCCTCTTCACCAAAATCTCAAAAAACTGTGATTTACCTCATAACCGTTTAAAAACGTTTTTCTTAAGATATTTAAGACCCAAACTGGCATTTTTGTCAAAAACGCTGAGGAAACTAACTCTACAGCAAGCTTATCCAATCCATGGCCCACAGGCCACAGGCGGCCCAGGATGGCTTTGAAAGCAGCCCAACACAAATTCGTAAACTTTCTTAAAACATTGAGGGTTTTTTTTTTCCCTGCAATTTTTTAGCTCATCAGCTCTCATTAGTGTATTTTATGTGTGGCCCAAGACATTTCTTCTTCCAATGTGGCCTAGGGAAGCCAAAAGATTGGACAGCCCTGCCTACAGGCTCATTTTCTGCCCTCTTGCAGGCAGCAGTCGGTGCAGCATTACACCTCTGACCAGAGACTTCCCTATTATACATCATCAGCAGCCCTGGACATCTCCCTTCATTTCCTAAAGTGATTGTGGCCACTGGTCCCTCAGAGCATGGGCTCAGGTGGACTAAGCTTTGTTCTTTTGATTTAAGATGAACAACCAGCCCAAATTTAGCACAGCTGGTTAACTGTAATAGAGGCAGTCCCCCAAAGGATCTTGTCCAGGGGCTGTGGACTTCTGGCCTCATCCTGCACTCTTTTAGACTTCTGATTCTACCAGTCCCTGCCTGTTAATTCTTCTGACTCATGGAGCTTTGGAGTGCCTTCCTTTTGAAAGAGTATGCTAGCACTGGTCTTTTGGAAGCCTTCTGCATTATGTTTGTGGGGGCCAAGGAAGAGGCTGTCAATCTTTTAATACTACTCTGGGAAACTACTCCCTGGGAAGGACAATGAGGTTGAAGTTAGCTCAGGTAGCCAAGGTAATGGTGTCATCCAACGCTATCACAAGAAAAGGACTGATGTTATTTCTAGTGACTGCAAATACTGTATGATGTTGCTTTTCACGGTCTCTAGAATTTATTTGACAAGAACAAAAAGCTGGCTTACAGCAACACTTCTAGACAAAGAGTCAAAGGTACCAGTGAATTGTTTTTCTCATTCTCCAAGCAGTAAAGTTCTGAAACTACGATAGTTATTCACCAACATTTTTTTACTTCCGAGATGTTTAAACATGATGGATGAGAATTTTTGCTGAAATCTCCAATGAAAATACATAGATGCCTTTCTCCTTTGCACTTCTTCAGAACTTTATGCCTGTACAATAGCACTTATTTTGCTTTGTCCTGTTTCTGTTTTGGTTGTGTACACTCTGGCCTCCCCCAGTACCAGATTGAACTCTTTGAGGGCAAGGACTCTAATTCATATTTGTATCTTATATTATGTCCAGAGAATGGTAGATCATCAGTAACTGTTAGATGGGTTGTTTTAGCTCCTCTTAATGTCCAGTTGTTAACTTTTCAGTTGTATTTCTCATAATTTTAAGACTAATTTTAGGCCTACATGTTGGATAAGATTTTTATAAGTCGTATTCTCAGCTATCTTAGAAGGCTCGAGACCATAAAGATCATGTAATGGGCAGCTAATACTCCTAGTGGGGGGGGTTCCTAATTTGGCTGCTCTCCCCACTTTTGTATTGTTAAGGCACCGAGGCATGATCATTTCTAGTCACTTGCAAGCTTCCTTATTTCTCCTTCTGACCTTGGCTCATTACAGGACATTACTCTGGCTTTTTGGTGTTTTTTCCTGAGACAGGGTCTTGCTCTGTCGCTCAGGCTGGAGTGCAGTGGTACGGTCATAGGTCACTGCAGCCTCAATATCCTGGGCTCAAGTGATCCTCCTGCCTCAGCCTCAGCCTCTGAATAGCTAGGACCACAGTTGTGCGTCACCACACCTGGCTAATTAAAAAAAATTTTTTTTGTAGAGACAGAGTCTTGCTGTGTTGTCCAGGCTGGTTGGGAACTCCTGATCTCAAGCGATCCTCCCACCTTGTTCTCCCAAAGTGTTGGGATTACAGGTGTGAGCCACTGTGCCTGGCCCAGGACACTACTTTAATGAGAGTCTGGATGGTGTCAAGGTGAACCATGTGGGTTCAAGTCAGATACCCTGGTCTTAAACCCTACTCCTGCCATTTCAAAATGTAGCCACCCACAGCCTCAGTTTTCTCATGGGTAGTTTCGTCATCAGTAAAATGGGGACAATAAGATACACCTACCTCAGGAAATAGAATGATCCATGCACAGTGCTAACTAGTAAATGCTGGCCATCATTATTCCAGGTAAATGGGTCTGGAAATCTGAGACTAAGATTACCTTAACTCTCTTACCATAATACAATTTTGTTTTTAATTACACAAAATCTTTTTCTGTCCTTTCTTATAAAGCCTGTTACTATCTCTGTTTATAAAATAGCCGTAATAGCTTCTTATGTAGCCTATTACCAGTTTTCCCTTTTAGCAGTTACCCAAAAGGAATACTACTCTTTTAAAAGTACTTCAAATTTTCACCTAATTATAAGGTGACAGTAGTATTGGTGAGCTTTTCTATTTTCTTATTCTCCCCTTTACGTTGCTGCTTTGCTGTTCTTTTTAGAAGAAAGCATATTCTTCCTATTGTGAACAGCTCTGATTTTAAACCTTTCAAACCTGAAAAGACAGTGAAATCACAACAGCCCTTTCACCTTCCTGCCTGCCCTCCCCATTCCACTCCCATAAGTATCAGCTAATACTATTTAAGCTCTAAAGTTCAATGTAGGCGATTAAAGCTTTTAGCTGCAGTATATTTTTTTAGGACAGAAATAGGGTACAGATGCCCAGGATTTGTTAAGAAGCATGATTTTGATGCAGCAAAGCCCATTTTAAGTCAGATCAAGTTTACAGAGGTGTAGCTGATTATTTTGAATAATTAAATGGTGTCAAAACCAGCTGTGATGAATAGCACTGGGGTCTCAAATCATAAATAATTGAGAAACTGGAGTTGCATTTGATCATCCTGATCAAATTCGGCTCTCTAGAGGATAAATGTTTGTCCTGAATACCATCAACGTTGTTAAATGCCTCAATATTCTTGCTCAGTCATCCAGCCAACAGTCAATTGAACTAAATCACTTTAACACCACACACATTTGCTGTCCTCATGAATACAAAATGTTTGACTTAAACCATGTTCTTTGTAGTTGAATAGGCACCTTTTTTAGTAAGCATCTAATAGCATTAAATACTTGACATGCTTTTGTTGGTTCCATAAAACATATGACTTCGTAGAATAAATCAGAGGTTCTTTCTACCACCTTTGTTTTCATTCTGCTCAAAACAACAAAAACTAACAAAAAAACTAAGAGAAAGACTTAATTTAAAACAAGTCAGCAATATAACTGCCTTTATGATAGCCTTTTGGGATTCTAAATTTGCATAGACAGGGGCTTTTCATCCTGTTTTTATTTCTCATTGTTCATTCAAGGTAACTGCACCTTCCAGCTGTATGACTCCTAGATGATCTTAAAGTGCTTACCTTCCATTACTTCATTTTGCCCTGTAACCAATTTTGTTGAAAGAGATGGGTAGGTTAGCATCATCATCATCATCATTTCCATTTTAAAGTAGAAATGAGACAGAGAAAGGAACCAACTTACCCACAGAGCTAGAAGACAGCTGAGCTGCCATGAAAACTTGGCCTCCTCGACACAACTCTTGCTGCCAGAGATGTGCCTTAGTTAAGCGCCTCAGTGAAGAAAAGGGCAGTCTGTTTAATAGCTCCTCATTGACACCCTGTCACTGCTGAACTGGCACAGAACCCAGAGTTGGCAGGGTGGTACATGCCTCTCTCTACCTTGTTTCCTACACACCAGTTCTTAAAATCAGAAGGCTGTGTTAACCCAAGTCTTCTCTCCAAGGATTAATAATCATGAAAACAACAACAGTCAACCTTTGCATGGTTCTTAACAATGAACTTGGCACTTTTAAAGATGTTAATCATTTATTTTTCCAACGACGTTACAATGTAGGTGACATTGGTGCCATTTTTCAAAAATGGGAAAACTGGGGATCCGAGATGAGGTGATTGGTCTGAGGATTATGAAGCTCACTACTGATGAAGCCAGCACCCAGTTTCTCAGACACCAAACCTGCTATCTTCACTATACCATGTGCATTGCAGAAAAGACATGGAATTAGGGAGCCTTGTGTTATGACTGCTGTTCCCAGTTAGAATTAGATGTAGCAAGAACCTGAAAAGCAATCCCTACCAGTTTGCTTCTTTTCTATCACTAAGTCGGTTCTTTTGTAGAAATACATATTCAGGACAGGTACAATCAACTCCCCTTTCACCTAAATTTTATTTGGAAAAGAATGCCTATTAAAATAATAGATGAAAAGAAAAACTCCACTTTCCGTAGTTACTGTTTTGTTATGCTTGGAATGAATTCAGTTCAAGTTTACAAAAATCTGCATAAAGTAAGACTTAGGTTTCTGGAAGTTAACTTCCAGCCTTGAAACATACCTCAAAATCCTCAGAGAACCCATGCTGGTTATTAGAATAGAGCTCACCGATGTGTTTGACAAACTGTTTGACAGGAATGGCTTCCATGTCATCTGGGGGGAATAAAATAATATTCAAAGTTACATAGAATACTTCCATAAAACAAATTACACTGATAAAGCAAAGCATCCTTAAGACAAATACTTGATTTTTGCAAAGAGCAAAATAATTGTATCACACAAAATAGATGTCCTGAAGAAAAGTCTCAGAATTTATTTTACATTAGGATCTCATTATGACTTTAATGCCTACAAGCCAGGTTAAATATGGTTTTTAAAAAAAGGTACATAGAGAATTCCCCTTATTTTTATATTCAACGCAATTTACATAGTTAAATTACCATAGCATACTCTTAACTAAAAGTGTGAATTTATCAAGGGTACCCATTTGCCAAGAAATTTTATCACACCAGGGGTTTTCTTTGTTGTTGTTGTTGTTGTTTTTTTTTAATTGCTGTTCAATGGAGTCCAGCTTGAACTTTAAGCAATTAAGTTCTATTTCCAATCTTATAAGTTTTAAGCAATCCTTTATACACAATTATAGATAGATGCCATTGTACCAGCTGGCTCTGGGTACAATGCCATCTATCTTTAAGTGTTCAAAATTTTAGCTCAAGACAGCTGTGTCTACATGATGCCAAATAATCAGTTTGACTGAATTAACTGGATTTTTTTGGTGTTGACAGACTAGGTATAGATTCGGGAAGACTCCACATTCCCATTTATTTCGTGTTGTCACTTCAAAAGGAGACTTTCAGTTCATAAGCCCAAAGTATGTTTTAAGCTTATTTATCATGATACTTGAGTACTGCTATAAAATAGCCACACCCAACTAACTGGAGCTCCCCAACCTCCTTCTTCCCTTCTCCCTCGACCCTCCCCCACAAATATTTCCTTTTAAAAATACTCTGCTGAATTTGAGATAAACAACAGACATGACATTTACTTTATTCAGAGTGAAAGATCTTTGGCAAACGCACAAACATCTAAACTGCCACAGATGCTTTTCTTAGCAAAGGGTATGAAGATCTGTATGTGTAAATGAGGTCCTACTTTGGCAAGAATTTTATAGATCCAGGCCTGACAATCTGATTTCTCTTCATCTGGTGACAGTTAACATTGACTATGTCATTCCTTCTTTCTTTCGAGAGAGCAAAGCTCTAGGGTGGCTTTTTGCATCTATTGACATTTTCAAACTTGAATCATGCTTAAGTGGAAAATAGCATCTCTTATACTTTGTTTTAGGAAGGTGACTTATGTGTTCATAATCCAAGTTGCTTAGCATAGAAATGTTACTTATCAAATAGGTGGTGCTCTGTAAGTACAAATTCTTCCTGTGTGAACAATTAAAGTCCTAATCATGTTAATAGGCAACCTTATGAAAAAAATTGCCAAGTTATTTACAAATATTTCAGAATTGAAGATGTTCATGAATATGCAATCATTTTGCATGCCCAAGAAATCTATAGCTCTCATGATGTAACCAGCATTAACAGAGTAAGCGGAGCCAAAATGTTTCTCCAGAATATTTAGCAGAATGCACAGTTCAAGAAAATTTCCAAAATTATCTGATCACTTCACTTAAAATGTTTAGAAGCAAATTCTACAATAATGATCAGTGGCAATGAAAATGATCTCAAGTTGAGAAAAGGGTTACTATGTACAAAGCTGGAGAGTCTCTAAATGATTAGCCCAAGAATAAACTCATTTTCAAACAAGAGGCAAAATGGGTGAGATGGGACACAACCTAACCACAGAATCACTCTAGTATGTAGACTATAGGACTTTCATATACTTAGAAATGACAGATACAACACTATTTTCAAGGGCAGAGTGACATATTTAGCAGAGTAATAAGTTGAAGGCAACATTTATACGACAATGATAGTTTAGAATTTTAGATTCCCGAGAACTTACAGTGCCGTGATTAGGAACATGGACTCTAGTTCAAAATAAGAAAAAACATGTCAGCTTTAGAACTGTTTTACTCTGTAAGGTAAAAACCACAGCATTTTAAAGGCCATAGCCCACCTCAGATCATTAAAAGAAATGCTTTCAGGTTAACTGCTTATTGTTTTTTTCTGCAAAGTGCTCAACTGTAATATCCAAGCTAATGTCACACACACATGCCCAGAAATCAGTATGCCTGCTGCCACTATGGCTAGAAGCAGCAAAAATCCAGCAGAGTTCAGTGTGATAATCATGGAAATATATGACTCACTAGTCTCTCCAATTTGCATCTTTATCCAAGGACGCCTAACCACACCCTCTGGGTTTCCAGGCACCACCAATAATGTCACAAAAGTACCAGACAGGCGGACATACATACAGATGCATGCTGTACTGACCACTGTCAGCTACCCAGATAATACAGCATTTGCCCTGCAATCAAGATAAATAGCTGAGGAGTCATAAATCTCTTTTCTTTATACTGAGATGAATATAAGGCTATGACTAATTATTCTAATCATTCTCATAATTTTTCTATTACATTCTCTCAACATGAGCCAGATGATTATAAAATCAATGTAACTAGCAGAAGGCCAAGCAATTAGGACAGCATCAGAGGCCTAATCAGCTCAATTTTTATCTGGAAAGGCCCTGTGTGTTTTAAGAAGACATTCATCCAAAACATGCTATCTCCACCTAAATGTCTGAGTTTCATTAAAGATTGAAGGGAATATTAGCAGCATTAACTAGGCCAGGCACTTTCTGTGTACTTTATATGTATTAACATGTACTCCAAGAAATGCATACTGTTTTCATATGCATCTTGCAGCTGAAAAAAGTTTAGAATGGCAGAAGAAGTTGGCTGCAGACCCTAGATAAAAAGTGCTCCGACTCAGAGAGAATGGGAAACCCCTGGATGAAGCCGTTTCTGAGCACCTAGTATTCAGCCAGATATTAGGGAGATGGTCTCTGCTCAAGGACATTTGTGTTGGTGAAGAGATGAACACAAGGGAGAGCAAGAACAGTGTAATTATGTGATAAAGACTACAAGTGCCATTAAAAGGATGGATTTGATGACAGTGGGAGTAAATGTCACTGATGCAGTGGTGGTGGTGGGAGAAGCATAAAGGAAAAAAGGGGCTGGAATCAAAGTGAAGATGTTTTCACTGACAACAGATTAAATGAGAGATTATTATGGTATAACAAAAGCAGGATAATGATAAAGCTGGTAGAATGAGAGGAAAACCACCATTTATTAAGCCCTTACTGGTTACCAGGGACTGTGCTAAATGTTTTTCACACATTTATCTCTGTAAGAACCAGATGAAGGGAACATGGTTATTCTCAAAGTGCACATAAGGAAACCGAGGCAACTTGTCCAAAAAGACTCAGTTAAGTGGCAGAGCTGAGATTTGAACCCAGGTCCATTGAACCCAAAGACTGTATTCCTGTGTACTAGGATACACTGTTTGTCTTCATTCTCAAAGTACTATAATTTCAAGGAATAACAAATTAAACTTTTTAATTCTTAATATCCTGGTTAATCTGATAAATATCACTTGATAATTTTGTGCTAATTTTTTTTTTTGAGACATGGTCTCACTGTGTCACCCAGGCTGGTTGGAGTGCAGCTGCTCAATTGTATCTCACTGCCACCTCAAACTCCTGAGCTCAAGTGATCCTCCCACCCCAGTCTCCTAAGTAGCTAGGTATAGTTCCGTGCCACCATGCCTGGCTAATTTAAAGAGATGGAGTCTTGCTATGTTGCCCAGGCTGGTCTTGAACTCCTAGCCTCAAGCAATCCTTCCACCTCAGCCTCCTGAGTAGCTGAAACTACAGGCCCATGCCACCACACCTGGCTTACATTTTTTGTAGAGATGGAGTCTTGCTATGTTGCCCAGGCTGGTCTTGAACTCCTAGCCTCAAGCAATCCTTCCACCTCAGCCTCCTGCGTAGCTGGGACTACAGGCCCACGTCACCACACCTGGCTTATATTTTTTGTAGAGATGGGGTCTCACTATGTTGTCCAGGCTAGTCTCAAACTCTTGGGCTCGAGTGATCCTCCTGCCTCTGCCTCCCAAAGCACTGAGATTATTATAGGCATGAGCCACTTTACTCAGCCACTATTTGTACTTACAAAATTTTCAGATACCAAAGGTTTAAACTAGGCAAAAGTGGGACCACTACCATTATCACTAAATCACCCGATTATAAAATGACTAATGTAGAGAATCAGTACCTGAAGAGGTGGGCTTATTGTTATTAAATATTATTATTTACCCTTAAGTAAGTTCCCAGATTTTAGCTTTTTGTGGTTAGAATTAGATTATGTACATAACGGGCCTTTTATTTTGTTCAATCCACAACAAAACCTTCTTATGTACTTTTGATGAAGCTTGAAATTAGGTTTGTAGGTACCAAAAGCAGAGCCTCAGAAGAGGGTGAACTGATGACAGCAACTTCTACTGAGAAGAAAACACCAAAGCTGAGATAACGCTGACCTCAAATGCAACACTGTAGGCAATAAAGAACAATGGCATTCGAACATAAAGCTGTTTCCAAAATCTACAGTTATGTATCGGCCGTACTTGCATCTTCAGAACTGTTAGAGGGAAATCACCAACACTTGATGCCTCTAACCTACTCATACACGCTAAATTTCCTTTCTCTTAATCTTAAGGAATAACAGATAAATAAAAAGAGAAACAGCTTTCTTGCCCATAGTTTTTTATTTGATATTAGAAAGGAAAAATAAGCAGCCAAAGCTGTCCCTGAACATACACCACAGGGAGGAGCTGCACAGAGGGCCCAGCCTTAGTACACAGCTCCTGGTAAGGCCATTAGCATGTAACTCAGTAAAACTGAGTATCTGTGATTCTTATCAGCCACCAGTGATGAGATGCTTGCTGTGTATCAGGAAGCCAGAGGCAGCGGTATAAGTGGAAAAGCCAGAGCCAGACTGCGTGACTCCACTTCTCTGATTCCCTTTCCTCATCTGTAAAATGGGAATAACTAACAGTACTTAATTCATAGAGTGTTATGAAAAGCAATCAGGATAACACAAGTACTTATAAGAGTGCCTGGCATTTAGTAAACATTTCATAATTCATAGAGTGTTATGAAAAGTAAACAAGATAACACAAGTACTTATAAGAGTGCCTGGCATTTAGTAAACATTTCATATCTATGATTTATTGTTAGGTGCTACTTGCTTTACATGCACAACCCTATGTTCTAGGTGCTGTGATTAATCTAATTTTCTAGATGAGGAAACTGCCTAACAGGGACCAAGAAGCTTGCCAAGGCTACTGTCATTATCAAGTAATAGGGCCAGGCAGACTCCAAAGCCTGGGTTCTTCCTTATTATATTACCTCCCTAGAGCTTACATTTAAAAGAAACTTTTCAGCAAAAAGGATTGAAATGATATTCTTTGGCTTTGAGGGTAGGCTTCAGTTACTTGGAAAATTCACACTGGTAGACTGGTCACCTTGATGATGCCAGGTAGATAAATTGTTAATGGCATTTACCTTCCTGACAAGATGCTTAGCTGCTGCAGTTGATTGACTTAAGGTCTATTTAATAAAATATCCCTTCTTGCTTACTCTGGAAGTGTGTGAGTATTTATATAAATACCATTAAGATTCCAGAGGTCCTTAAGTCACCCACTCTATGAGCAATCCCTGTAAAGTTCATTTAACCCTTGGCAGATCTCTCAACCCTATCCCAAATTCCGACCAAATCTCCATGGGCAGAGAAAAACAGAGCCCTAGCATAGTACTTGGGTCAAATCAGTGCAGCTCAGACCTTACCCACCCCCTTCCCTCCACCCTGCTCCAACAACTGGCCTGTTAGCAGGTACTGTTAACCACACCTCTAGTGGATAGACCTCATTTTCAGGAATTCAGCCCCCTGCCCCTCCTGTCTGCCCTCTCAGTCTCTCAGAGGCCAAATTCAGGCCTCTCAAGGTGTTTGGTAATACCTTTGTGTCAACTTAGGAAGATAAAGCAAATATGAAACAAAAGGACATTATCAAGATTTCCTGAGTTAGGACACAACAAATAGATTTTTGTCTAAATCCCACTCTTAGGATGCATGGAGTGTTGTGGAGGTTGGAACATTTTATTTCCTGCCATAAAAAGAAATCTCTTTTCATTTATGACACAATGAAGTCAATAAAGAAAGGGCTTCATTATAGTCAAAAGACCAATGAATCTCTTTTGGAGATAATCTCTGTATAAATAAAATATGCCAACAAGGTTGGTTTAATCCCAAGGGTTTTAAACTGCATGTTTAAAACCCCTTTATATTCTGGCACCCTGCTGAAGCCAGTGACCTTCAAATTATTAAGATGTATTTTAACTGCTGGAAAGGCATGAATCATTTCTGAATTTCTAAGCTACTGGTTAGCAGCAACATTTTGTTTTGTAATGCTCTTATTAGAAAGTTAGATTTTCTAATTTCCAGAGAAAAGCATTCGTTAGGACATTTGTGTCTGACAGTATGCATATTTAGGAAAGCTCTTTCAATATGCTCTATAACAGGTTAATTTCATGAGCTAAGTTCTGATTTCTAAAAGTTTATATATAATGAAAGCCTAAAAGAATAATATAATGTAGTGAATGCTTCATTAATAATTGTAATATTCAAGTTTGTTTTTTCAAAAGAATATTCCTGAGTCACTAGATTTTTATAAGTACCTGTCAGTGTTAAGAATATTATGGATCTTAAAGACAGAATTTTGTGACCACTTCAGTATTTTAGAAGATGGAAAGCATATGAGGGGACTGACAGCTGTGTTACTGCATTCAATTATGCTTTATCCTCACACCGAAACAATGGGAAACCAGTAACCAGGGAACATTTTCTTTTGAAAAACCCTTAGTGAAATATATTGAGTCAAAACCCCTTTCACTCTCCTGCAGAAGTCACAGTTTAACGTATCTCTCCTGCTCCTACTTTTCCCATATGTCATGCATGGAACAGGCACTAACCATTCAAAATCTATCTGATAAAATAATTGATACTACCTTTATAGTGATTGGAAGCCAACCTCAAAAGCACTTCTTTCAAGCTGGATAAATACTCTTGCATTTTGAGTTTTTTCTAACATGGCTAATTAACCTCAACCACCATATATATTCACAGTCTCTGTCTAGCATTTCCATATTTTGCATAAGTGTTAGGTGAGACCAGGGGAAAAAAAAAAGTCTTCGTTCTTAAAACACTGTCTTTGCTATACTAAATCAGAAGAACACACTGAATATCCTAAATTCCTGTTAGAATTAGTAAAACTGGTCATTCAAAATTCTTCAAAAACTCCTATAAACTGCTATCTCAAAGGGAGGAGTATCAAAGGGTTAGCAAAGCTTTCCTTAATCATTTACCTATTTTATAATAGTTTCCAAAAGTCAGTATAACTTACTGATTCCACGTATGCTTTGGGATTTAAAGATACAAGCTATTTATTTATGAATTTTAGCCACAGCAGAATCATCCAAAGTTGCTGAGTTAGTGTCTAAATTTGTTCAACATTCAACGTGGCTGTGACTTGTTTCCTAAGTCATTTAAATCACACAGACCTGTTTTTGTGCAGGGAATGGATGTCTTGCTGAGTTGAGTCTTTCTCTCAGGAAGGAAAAGAATAAAAATAAGTAGAGAACAGAGATGAGAGGGGAGATTTTTTTAATATGGGGAAAATGTCAACCCAAGAATTATGAAATTCCCTCCAGGAGGATGAAAGAGAATTTAATGAAAAACCAAATGGTCAGTGCTAGTGAGAGAAGTTAATGATCAATAACTCAGAAAAAACTAAAGAGAATATTCACATGTATTTGAAAATGCCTTGATTTAATGAATCAATATCCAAATGAGGAGTCTGAAGTCTTGAGATATGAAAACTGTTACAGTCGTATGCCAAGAGGTGGCAGAGCCATTTATAAGCATCTGTGCTTTGAAGTCACAGAGATAATTCCAGTGTTAGCTCCACTGCTTAGCTCTGTAACCTTGGGCAAATTAAAAAAAAGTCTCTGAACCTCAGTTTCTTCATCCAGAAAATGGGGGTGTCAACTGTACCTGTCTCTATAGGACTATAGTGAAAATAAACATACTTTGTTGGTAAAGCTCAATAATTATTAGATAACAATTTTTTAAGAGGCTAACTGTAAAATAAGCTCTGGGAACACAGTGTATTGCATATTCCACAGTGATGACCCTGGAGCTCTATTTTTACAACAGCTTGGTACCAGAATTTTCAACTTCACCCTGCTGCACATATTTTTAGCCAGTATAATGATTCAGTTTACTAGTTATGTCTGTTGTCTGCAAATATCTTTAAAAAAATCAATTATAGAGAGTGAAGAGCCCAAGTGGTAAAATAATTTGACAAATCTGGGGTCTGGTATTATTGTTATTTAGGTTTTGAGCAGGGATAAAATATAACTGAGATTGAATGGGTAGAATAAATACTTCATAGGAGCTCTATAAATCTCGTATTATTTTTAGAAATAAAAACAATTGGATAATTTCTAAGATAAATCATTTAAAATGATTCCATGGAGGTCTCCATTAAAGAAAAGTTGTGGTAAAAGCTTTAGTAGAGTGAAAATAACTCACAAGTTTGTTAAAAATTGAATTGTGTTTTTCTTTTATGAGACACCGTTGTACTGCTATAACTAAAGAAGAAGAAATCCTAAAGAATAGAACAGTGAATTGTTTAAAAAGTGCTTTGTGAATTAAAATATTTTCCAAATGTAACTATTAAATAGGACTGTGGGGTTTTATTTACCAAGCTGAGAGATTGTGATCAAGCTGAAAGCTCTTTAAGGAAAGGTCATTTAGGGTAACTCTCAGTTAAGGGTGAAGTAAGTTCATTTGTTTAGGCATACTCCTAATAAGGCTATGTTAGCTATGAAGACCTGAGAGAACAGATGAGCCTCACTCGTCATTTCACTAGGTAAGCCCTTTAACATCACACTGCCTTACATTTAAAATAATTCATCTTTACAAACGTGTTACAGCTTGTCAAGAATGCCTCACCTTGCCAACTGAGGTACAATTGAATACATGGGCTTCTCATTCAGTGGAGAATGTGAAGCAGTCTTCTTTTGATATAGTTATATTACTAGTAGTGAGTATGAATTAGGAGAAACATATTTAAAAGGGAAAAAGACACATTTAAAGAAATGCCCCTGGGTTTTGAGTATTTAACTTCTTAATTAAATAGGTAACTGGGAATGAAACAGAAAACATTCAAAAGCAATTTCTGGTCTAATATACCTACTCAAAGGTGTTGCAAGGCATATTCAGAGGATCCTAGTGAATTGAAAGTTCTAAAGCCTATATCAAAGAAGAGTGATTCAAGGTAGGGCACACCTAGTGGATGTAGTTCGGTGTCAGGGACACAATTTTAACATGAGAGTCATGCAAATGCTCTCTCTCCATGACTGCTGGGATTACCAGTACCATGATTTGGGAAGGAAAGTTGCAACAGCTTACACGTTTCGCTTAATGTATGGTTTCCAAAGTGCTTTTACAAATATCATCTACTGTTGTCTTGACAGTTACCTCAAAAGGCAAGGAGAATAGGCATCCTAATTAATTTACAGATTCTGGAAACTAAGGTTCAGAGAGGTGAAGGCACTGAACAAAGATTTCAGGGTGGACCTAGGTTTTCTGATTCCTAATCCAGTGGTAAAAGAAAATAGAAATGGAAAAACAGCCCAGTAAGTATTTCACCATTTAACTCTTCAAAAATGGATTTCAGTTACACAGCTACCAAACAACTGAGTCTGTGTCAGACAAATCAGGTCAGAGGGGAGAAAGGCTGCCAGGAATTTTCCAGTGGTCAACACATATTGTAGGTAAAGCAAGAGGAAAAAGTATATGCACGCTATTGTGCAAATCCAGTAGATTCAATGAAACTACTTATTTCATGCTGATGAAGACTGATGATTCCTGTCTACCTTCTCTACTCTCAAAGGAAAAGTAGTCTCCTTCAGCAAGGAAAAAGGGGCAGGGTTAGTGGAGAACACACAGTAACACAAAACTTATCCTATCTTTATGAGAATTAGTTTAGCAGCCACAAAATGCTCCAACAGGAAGTTAATCAGAGACTTTCTGTTAATCTTCTTGTTTCTGTGTGGCAAGTTTTAGTGAGAAAAGCTGACTAGAATGTACAAAACATGGACAATCCCAGTAATATCTAATGACTTAGCAATATACAGACACATAACAGGGCAATTCAGTCCACAACCATAACCACACGTAGTGACAATCTGCAAACAATAGAAGCATTTCTCCATGGTACCCAAAGAATGACTCTACCTCTGAGTTTCACAGCCAAGACCTTTTTAGAACTTTAAGGAAATTTTTCTAACGTTCATTCATGTAAGTACTTAAAGAATACCTACTATGTGCCAAGAATTATTTTAGCACTGAGGATATAGCCACTTGCCCTTATAAAGCTCTCATTGTAGTGGGAAGAGAGCAAAGAAAAAAGTAAAATAAATAGCACATTAGCTGGTGGAAAGCATTATGGAGAATAGGGCAGATCAGCAGGATGGGGGAGCTTCAGGTGTGGAGGAGGGGTGGCATTATAATCAAAGTGATGCTTCTGTTTGCAAAAGAGTAATGTCAAGAGGATAGATGTATCTAAAATATCTGAAGATACGTATTTGGAAGCACATAATGAAACCAGGACGTAGAAAGTTAAAATCTGGCAAAGAAGAAGGGATGCCAAATAAAAATGGTGGGTGAGATCTTCAAATCCCACATCCTATTACACCTAACCCACTGCTGAACTTCTAAATGTCTATGGCATTTGCTAGGATTCACTACAGTGTGCACTCCATTATTCCCTACCCCAACACTAACCAAGTGCTTTATCTTCTTACTAGAAGAAAAGTGAAATATCCACCAGACCAGTAATGTATTCCTCTATTTCCACACAACCATCGTAAGAACCAAAACTTTGAACATTAAGATACATTATTTTAGAGGAAAGAATCTTAGAAAAATATCACCTTTAAAAAAATGTGTCACAAATTGTGATTTAAAAATATAAGCACAAATTGCCTATGCAAATGAAATTTAGTCCAAGTAGATACTAAGAATGTTTTTGTACGGTTTTTCCCTTTTTTCTACTGTACTTCCCTTTCCTGCCTATGACTGTATACTACATTAACTCAGTTATTTGTTCTTCTAAAGAGAATTTCTTATACTGGGCAAGCTTTAAAAGGCTATAAAATATTTTGTTGTTTTATCACATAAAACTGAGAATAAAAGAGAAAAACAATTAGCCCATTGGAAATAAGAGCAGTGTCTTACTTACCCGGAATAGGAATAATAGGGATACTTTCATTAGGGACCACTCGAGGTGAACTGCTGTCTTCCACATAGAAATGAGCAGTCTGAAAACATTTTCTGTGTAGAAAAGAGAAAAACATGTCAATAATAGAATATACTTTATTTGAGTTCATCTTCTTTTAATTCTTATTTTATAGATCTTCCCAGCTTTAAACATCACACAGCACTGAGGGTAAACTCATGTAAAAGTAACAAGATACAAGGACAACATTCAGCCTGTTGGAGGGGCCCAAAATTGCTACAGCATATCCATTTTTTTTATCATCACCGCATCCAAACTGATAGTTCAAAGGGAAAGGCTTAGTATTTAACTACTCAAATACGTGAAAACATGGTAGAGAGTAAACCTACCACACAGAGTGCTAGGGTTATCTCACAATATTTCTAAATTTGGTACGTTACAGAGGAATAATTTGCTATTCTAAATCCCCAGCACCAAGTTCAAAACCACACCTTATATCCCCTTCCAACATCGTCATCAAACAGCCCAAGTACACAATAGCACCACATTGTTCATGCAAAGGCCCCCTAAGCCTCAGACAGCTCTTTAAAGGGGTCAGAGGGCTTCAGGAAGGCAAGCACTCAGAATCAGAGGCCCTTGCCAGACAACATCTGAGACAAGGTCTTGAAGCCCTTACGTGTCATCTGCTTGTTTGTTTTTTTTACCTGTATTTCAAGCAAAGCAGAGAGCACACACTGGTCATCATAGGACAGGCAATGAAGAGAAAAGCCATCAGCAGCTCACTCAGCCTCTGCCTCCGATGCTGGCTGGCCCTCAGCTTTCCTGCATCCACGTCACTGCTCATTGCGGCCCTAATGAGCTGCCGGAAGCACAGGCTGAATATTTAATGAAGCTGCTCAGCGTGAATGGCTATTGTGACCAGAGAAGGGTCCCTGTTCATTTGGCGGAGGGGCTTTACAATAGCTGGCCCTACTGCTGGGTCTTTTAGCCAAGCAGGCGGCATCCTTCTGGTGCACAGTGTCACTGGGATCTGTCCTCCTCTGGCGTCGCACACCAAACAACATTTACACACATTACAGCTTTGCTTTTTCTGGGGCCCGTATTCCAACTACCAGATAAGTCAACTTTTCTTCACAGTTGTCTTTGCTCAATCTAATCAAAAATATCCTGGGATGATTCCATTGGGCATACCCTGTTTCTATGAGGCCAAAGAAGGGGCTAGGGTTGGGAAGGTTAGAGAAAAATCAAGAAACTATAAAAAACAAGATCTCCTTGGGAGTGAAGAGACCACAGAGTTACAAAGATGTTTCCATCTCAGGTTTTATACAGGCTATTATAACCACACGCAATCAGAAATGATCACATGTCATAGTATGAAGCGCTGTTCTTTAAGCAGTGCCTATTTTCAGATGGAAAGTAGCTCTAAGCAGTTTCCATTTGGATAGTGCTCTAGAATCAATCTAGACTGCTGCTCCATACCATTAGGAGATTTTGAACGTCAGTTACTACAACTCTTGACACATGCCTCCCAGGACTACTCTAATAGAGCACTGAAGAAAAATGAGCGTGTTTTTTTTGTTTCCTATGAATTGCTCAGCATTTATAATATAAATAATAAAACAAGTTTTCATCACTCTTTGCGTAGCTGCCTTTACCTAAATTTGTGAAGAACATAAGTTAGTCAGACTTAAGCTACATGGATATGAAATGCACATAATATTATAGGGCTCTGGTGCTAACCAAATCTTCTGAATGTAAAGCAATGGAAATCTATGTGAAACAAATTATTTTGATGTTTGAGATAACTTCCTTCTCTCTCTAAATTAGTTATTAAGTTTTCTACTCTTGGATTCCTTCCTCTCCTCCCCCACCTTCTCCAATTTGCACAGATTTCCAGAATGTAACATTAAAGTTAAAACACAGGTTATGGACTTCACAAATGAATGAAAGCCTTAACCATCCAGTATCATAGCTAAGGAAAACCTGCTTTTGTTGAGTTAGAGGACAGCTATTCAACTACTTAATAGCCCAAATAAGTGCTCTAAGTCACTAAGATGAATGGGATGCAATTTACTGGGTTAGCCTTTAACTTGAAAAAAACAAATGCATGCAAGAAATAACTTTGATTTTAAGACCATAATTATTATGGCTATTAGACTTCTAAAATGTAAAGCTATTAGTAAATACAATTGTTATTGGCCAAGTTACTGTTAAAGTGACTTGGAAAGGATATATATATATACTATATTGTAGATTTTTTTTTCCCTACAAGACAGGCAGACAGTTCAGCCAGTCTCAGTTATATGTGGAACTACAGGCCCCACATTATCTTTGAAAAAAGCAGTGTGTACTGAAGCAAATCACACTCTAGTGCCCCATGTGCTGCTGTTTATAATGGATTTTCCCTGGAGCAAAATAACTCCATGATTGCCAGCGAAAAGCACACGACTGGGGATAAGGATCAGAAACCTGGGGGACAAAGCTCCGCATCTGTACCTTGCTGCACATCATGCACTTGCCTCCCACACAAATATATGGGTGGGCAACTAACTACAGAACTTTGTGGGGAATGTCTTCCCGTAGAATAAAGATTTCAATGGATTTGGCAAATGTTTATTCAGCACCCACTGCACAGCATCAAGTATGCAGACAACACATTCCCGCCGCTGTCTGCAATCCTTAAAACTACTTCCTTAAGCCTGGCTAAGCACTGGAGTAATTGATAAAGTATTATATAAGCAACAGATCATCTTTGCAGAAAAATTAGGCAAGACAAATGAACAAAAAGAAAAAAATCAATTAAAAACACCCAAAATCTTCCTCCTAGTGATGATCACTATTAATATTTTGAGGTCTATCCCTGTATACTTTTCCTCATTTATTCACTATTCCTTGATCTATCTGCAGTGAGGAGCTGGGAGCACAATGATAAACAAGACACACAAGGCACCTACTCTCCTAGTATTTATGTCTTCATGGGGAAAAATCCACAACAAGCAAATAAATTGCTTCAAATAGTCAAGAGCAATGAAGAAAATAAGAATGATGTGGTGGTAAATGAAGTCGGCTGAAGGAAGGGACTTCACTGAGGAGGTGGCATTTGAGCTGAGGCCTGATTAAGGAGGTCTAACCCTGTAAAACTCTGGAGGAAGACCATTTTAGGCAGGTCAAGCAGCTAGTTGAAGAGCCTTAGAGCAGAGGGAGCTTGGTGCATTTTAGGAAACTGGAAGGAAGCCAGAGGCAAGGGAAAGGCTGTGGAAAGCAAGGTTGGAGAGGTGGGCCAGAGCCAGATCATGCAGGATCTAGCGACCAAAGAACCTTCACTGGTGTCTAGGAGCAGGGGACAGTCAATGAAAGGCTTTAATCCATGGAGAGGCACCATCTGATTTGCTTCTTTCAGAAAGCTCATTTTGGCTGCTACATGATGAATGGATTAGAGGGCAGCAGAAATGGAACAAGGAGATCAATCTGTGGGCTATTATTATAGTCTCACCCAAATATAGACAGATGGGCTGTTTTCCATTTTTTTTTCTGGGTATTGGGGGAGTATGTATTTTATTTTATTTTGAGATGGAGTCTCGCTCTGTCATCCAGGCTGGAGTGCAGTGGCACGATCTCAGCTCACTGCAACCTCCGCCTCCCAGGTTCGGGCGATTCTCACGCCTCTCGTGCCTCAGCCTCCTAAGTAGCTGGGACTACATGGGGGTTTTATTTTTAAAAAACGAAATGAGATCATTCTATATGCATCTCTCCTTGATAACAAATATAGACTGGCATCCTCTTTATTAATGTTTGCTTAATCTTCCATTTCATGGAGGCATTACAATGCTGGTATTTAATTTATTCCTTTAATAACTATCTATTGGGGGGTCTACTCTGGGCCAGGGACTGATGAAGGTGGTCAGTCTATTGTCAGCTTTTCATGATCCTTAACAATATGAAGATGGTCCCTTTGCATGTACAAATTCTACACTGTGTTTAATACCTAAGAAAAGCAGCTGCATATCACATGACATTGTATTTTAACTTGCTCATTTCAGGGAATTTCCACGAGAAATTATGCTTCTTGACCTTCAGAGGTATCCAGGAATAAAAAAAGCAAAAGCAGGGATTTTGGAGAAAAGGAAAAGAAAAACACAAGTTTTAATGCCTCTAAACCTCTGAACTGTGATCTACTTAAGGAGGCAGTATTGTCTCTAATTTTGAGCGCAGGGGAATGGAGATAGAATTTCTCAAAGCGCTGCCCAGACACAGTGACTCACGCCTGTAATCCCAGCACTTTGGGAGGCCGAGGTGGGTGGATCACAAGTTTGAGACCAGCCTGGCCAAGATGGTGAAACCCCGTCTATACTAAAAATACAAAAATTAGGCAGGTGTGGTGGCACGTGCCTGTAGTTCCAGCTACTCGGGAGGCTGAGGCAGAAGAAACGTTGGAACCTGGGAACCTGGGAGGCAGAGGTTGCAGTGAGCCGAGATCACACCACTGCACTCTAGCCTGGGCAACAGAGCAAGACTTGGTCTCAAAAAAAAAAAAAAAAAAAGAAAGAAAAAAGAAAGAAAGAAAGAAAAAAAAGAATTTCTCGAAGTGCTTACGTGTGTCACTGAGCGTGCAATTTCAATTTTCTATCTAGGTCTAATTCTCTTTCAACTAACTTACCCTTACAGACCCTCCCTGAATGAATCAGATTTCTAGGATCACAAAGAGCCATTTTCCAAAATTATCATTTCTCTTCAGTGAACATTTGTATATGTAAGTACCCTAAAAAGGGAAATCAATGAAATAGATGTTTGTAATGAAAAAGTATGTTTACAAATTTAACTACAAAGTATAATCCAATGATTCCCCACCATATATTTCATGTTTCCACCTCTGCCCTTTTACTTCTCATCCCTTCCCCAACGCCTGGGTGCTGTCTGTGCCCTTTAAGAAACTGAGGCCAGGTAACATTATTTTCACTGACTCTGACAGGCCTAGTAATGACCCAAATTAGTTATCTTCTACTTCCCCCTATTGTACAATTTGCAGCATATATCTTTCTGACACTTTAAGTACTCTGATTTAGGTATGCCTTAATTTTGGAGGGCCCTGAACAGTCAGTCAGTCTGTCTCTCAGTCTCTCTCTCTCTCTTATCAGTAAAGTATCAGTCAAATGGTGGTTATTAACAAGCAGTGCATAGCTCTTTGGCTTAGGGAGCTTTTAGAATACCCAGGCAGGGTAAGCCCCATTCATGATGATTCTAACAGAGCAGGTGCAGGGTGGGGTATATATAGCTCTGTGTATTGTGAAGACTCCCTCTAGGGATTCTGGTATGTACTGTGTCCAATTATGAACCACTGTGAGAAAGGGAAAATGGCTCCTGAGAGTCCACCCTTGTGGACTGCTATACTTGTCTGGTAGGAAAATTAATTTCAGTTTCTATGAAGGCATTGAAGTTGTCAATATTTATTTCAATATTATTAATAATAATGATGTTCCGACATCCTGAATTCCAAGTTTCCTGCCACTTAAACCAACTGGAAAACCACTGTTTTAGATGGCTTTCTAAAGCCCACCCCCATCAACAAGATACCCAAGATAGAGGGACTTACATGAAACATTCACTGAATGCTCCCAGATGGGTACAAGAAAGAGCTCAGTTTGCACAAGTTATCTCCTCAGTTCGAACTCAGTGGGTATGTGAGACAGAATGAAAGTGAAACGGGAAATGTGAATCTGTTGGTCCCTAAGTTGGTCCCATTTCTCATATCCCTCTCACAGAGTAAGCATTTTGCCTCACCGAATGAGCGTCTCTGTTCAAAAGAATGCACTTTTCTTACAGCATAGCCCTAAATGCTACCGAAGTGCTTCTGGTGCTTGACCAAAGATGACTAACATATTAGATATATGCACATTTCTATAGAAAGTTCCAAGTAGCAGAGTGGAAGCAAGCTTCCTATGTTACTCTCCATTCGTTCATCCCTTTTTAGAAAACCAAACACGGGCTCATATATCTTCAAAAGATTTCTAAGAAAGGTTTGATTGGAAGTCCAGAGGGTAATGTGTGATAGTAGCTGATCAAATCTGTATGGCATCTGGTTAGCAGTTTTCTGGGTCTCAAGCCCACAACCCACACCTGTGGTCCAGATCTGTACAGTGTCTGAAGCCCTGATGGTAGCAATGTGCAAGTATGCATGGCTTCTTAAAAGCCCACATGGGACACATGAAGCTTGTGATTAGGAATATTTTCTCTTGGACTGAAATTTCTAAAAATAACCTTCCATGCTTTCAAATAAGGGAGATATTTTAAGGATAAAGACCTCTTTAAAAATAAAGTCTACTCTTGGGAAAACAGAGCACACACAACGTGCAGAGTACATCTTTTAGTCAGGATGTGAAACACATCGGCCAGTATCAGCTGTCAACGTCAAGTCCCTGAGCTCCCTGCTGAAAAATATACACTGCCAGCACATGACAGGTTCCAGTATGTTTAATTGGCCTTCTTGACTAATGAAACACACACACGCCCAGCTGCTCTGACAGTCCTTTATAAGTATTAATAAAATTCCAGTTATAGAGACTTACTACCCAAACAAAATGTAGCAAAATAACCAAAACAAACAAACAAAAAAACCTCTAGACTTCTGACCCCCCATTTCCACCCAGGAATTCTTAAGGAAGAATACCCAGAATGACCAAATTTCTGCATAAAGGCCTTTTCTTCTGTGGCTTCTGTTTTTCCGGGAACCTGTTTAGATAACCTCTGATATGAGCTAACAATTTTCTTATATCTTTTTCTGCCCTTCTGACAAGAACCTGGAAATAATTTAGTGACCAATATTTTTCAGAAGCAAAGTGCTGAACTTGAGTGCAGAAAGACTGAACATTAGAAATGTCTGGAATTCCACACAACACTGCTGTATTAACAAACAAACAAACAAACAAACAAACCTCCTTAAAAGGCAGGTCTCCAAACCTGCTTACAGGAAAAAGGGGTTCCTGAGGTTTACAGACATCTGGGTCAACACGTACACCCACTCTGAGAAGCTTGGGATGTCACATTGTTCTCATCCAGGGTCCTCTGCTTACTACAACACTGCCCTGAACAACATCATGACTACTGGACATGGGCAGGGTGGAGGACCACAGTGTGGCCTCCAGACTCATATGAAAACCCAGAATCATGAACTAACTGATTGTTGGTATATAGGAATTAGAAACCAAGTGACTGTCTTCAAATTAAACTCAATGGTTCTATAATCACATCAGGGTGGCAAAGAGTTTATTAGCAGTGTGTAGCTCAAAATTCTAATTGCAGACTAGAGAGGGCAGTTAGCTGAGCTGCTGCTGAATATTAATTATACAATCTTAACTGATTTACACACTGCCCTCATTTAAATTTACAGTAGCATACCCGCTAATAATCCCATTTATTTTCATGCTGTCAAGAAAAGAAATCGCATTAATATCTACTTTTGTAAATGGATCTGTTGTAGTAAACCCTGCATGAATAAGAGCCACTTACAAATAGAAAGTTGAAAACGTTCACATGCTTTCAAGGAAGATGATTGAGAGCTGTATTAAAAAGGCATGGATTGATTTATTAGGGCAAAATGTTTCAAGAAATTGAAGTGACAAATACAACAATAAAAGAAAAAGGCTGTAGGCGTTGTTGGGCTTTTCCTCAAAGAGGAGTGTCTGAAATAACTCCGGGATTCCACTTGGAAAGGAGCCCAATGTAAGTTCTAAGTTGAGATTTTTCATATACAACAACTCACTTGCTGTTAAGTTTCTTTTATGGCATGTTAAGTGATTCAGTTTATAAAACTCAGTTTACACTTGTAGTATCTCTTCCGGAAGGGATCTTCTCAAAAGAAAAACTCAAACCAAAATATGTTTCTAGTGGCCATATTTTCCAAATCATAAAAGGGGGCGTGAGATTTGACAAATGTCAATGTGCTTTGGGGGATAATCAAATGGCAAGTTTCACATGAGGGCTGTGGAAGTCCCAGGGCATATGGCTGTCATACCTTAGATAAGCAGGGCTTAACAGATATGAGGAGAGAGAAAGGGAAAAGGGAAGAGAAAAGAGAACAAAATCATGCAGTGATGGATGGGGTGTGAAAGAGGAAACAGATACTAAAACGAGGAGAGAATGTTTCAAAAATATTTTGGATTTCACATGAATAGGAGAGATGGCCTAGTCGACTTTTGGTACAGTCAGAAGTGACAAAAATCTGATTCCCATAGTGAGAATTTTATTGGATGATTCAAATTGCCTGCAATTAACATCTTTAGGAAGGTGGGAGAAAATGATAAATTATAGGCACAAAAGTGGTCTCAAAACTATATTCTCTTAGCTAGGCATTAAGTTTGCCAAGAAATCCTTGCAGATACCTAGGTCTGACTGAAGTACTGGTAATACTTTCCAGGAGATAGGAGAGAAAAGGTCTCTTCAGAAACCACATTTTGATGAGACCGTGACAGTTCTTTTATTTTAGCTGGCTTTGAGAAAGTGAGCCCTGGACAGGACTTCCCAAGACTTCCAGCTATTACTTAGAAAAGAAGGCTTGAAGTCAGGGGCTTTAAGGTGTCTGTCTCACCCTTCAGACCCTAGACTGGAATATTCTGAACATCTGGACTGAGGCTTGAGGGGCTCTCCACCTCATTTGCCACAGTTTTAAGGCACTGACACAATATCCCACTGATTTTGGAAGGTTAACAGTGATGTGATAGTCCAACTCATTTTGGGGAGGAGGTAAGAAATGAAATTCACATTATATTTACTGCACATATTTTTCAGTATTTATAATCTAAAATGTCTGGGTAAAAGCCTCTTGGCAACTCCTTATTTTGTTAATATACTGATTGACTGTATTTTGCTGTGAGTGATATTTTAAGGATCTAAGAAGGTATTATATGCCTCTTCACTAAGCCCCAGATTACAGTATTTTTTTTAAAATACTTGAGACCATCTCGGGGGGGGGAAGTAGATTCAGACATCACACGATCAACCAGGTTAAATTCCAAATGAATTTACTATTAAAATTTGAAACCATAAAAGTGATTTTAAAAAAGAGTAACCTCAGAATGGAGAGACTTTTAAAAGAAAACTCAAAATCTAGAAAACAAAGCAGAAAATATAGATAAATCTGATTATATAAACATCAAAGAAGAACCATAAATACAGTTAAGAAGTAAACTATGAATTGGGAAAAAATATTTGCAACTCACATTGCTACCAAGGGATTATCTCTCTTCATTAGAAAAAGACCAATAACTCAAAGAAAAAACAAGCAAAAGATATAAACAGTTTACAGAAAAACAAATGGTTCAATCCCACTTATAGTAAGAGATAATACATTAAAATCACACCGAGACACCGTTTCTTTTTCACCTATGAGGTTAGTAAAAAGGCCAAAGTTTGACAATGCAGTGTGCTGGGTTGGCTGTAGGGAAATAGCATGCTCATAGACTGCAGAGAGAAGCCCACCTTGGTATCCCATTATGGAGGGCAACTTGGCACCATACATGCACAATAGCATGTACCTTGTGATACAGCCAATAAATTTTCCTCTGAAAATTTTCCTACAGACATGCTTATCCACTTGCAAAGTGACACATAAACTTATTCATCACACGATTGTTTATAATAACAAAAGACGGAGAACAATCAAAATGACAGCCACAGAGGATAGGTTAATTAAATCATGACACTTCTATACAAAGGAATACCATGCTTCTGTGTAAAAGGATGAGGAAATTATATAGGCATAGGGAAATCGTGTGTTAAGTGAGAACAGCAAGGCACATGATTGCATATGCTGTATTCCATTGTGTACAAGGAGATAAAAGGATATTCATTATTTGCTTATATATTATATATGTGTAACAATCCCTGGAAGAATAGACAACAAACTAGCAATAGGGGCTACCTATTTGTGAGGAGGTAGGGAGCAGGGTGGGTGAGTGATGGGATGGTAATTTAGTGGTGCATATAATTTTAAACTTTTTTATTTTGAATCATGTCAAGTATTACTTACTCAAAACTTAAATCAGCTTTATTAAAAAATTAAATACTTGGGTCTGATCTTCAATGTTTTTTTCCTCTCCTTTCTGGGAGGATAATCACCTCTCACAGCTGTTGTCCTGCTTTTAGCAATTCTCTGTGCAACGCGTCTTAGCGGCACAGTCTCCTTCCTTCCTGCTGTGGGACAGGGAGATGACAGGGGCAGAAGAGTAATGCCACATGAAGTTAATGTGTAGGGATTCTGTAACAGCTCTTGTAGCTGTTTGGAGGGTTGCAATTTAGCTATCACTGGGGGCTCTTCTTTTGATTCCTGGCCACATTTTAGGTGGAGATACAAGCCAGGAAAGAAAATGAGAGCGGAATGAAAAAGGCAAAGGTGAGAGAGAGCCTGGTTGAAGGGCTTGCATTCCAGCCTCCTGCAGAAGCCTGACAGAGGTAGGGGGCACCCTGTCTTTCAAAGCCCTTTTATAGAACAGCAGCAGGATGGACATGGGTCAGGAAAGGAGGCAGCAAAAGTGCCTGGGGAGAGAGCATGGGGAAGGAGAGGGGACAGTGGGCCAGAATGAGGAATTGTACATTACAGCAGGGCGGCTAGCGTAAGAAGCACAGACATGGCGCCCCTTGAGGACAGGATCTGTATCTGGCCCATATCGTTTTCATGGAGTACTTAGCATAGCACATGTAGCTGTGAGAGGGGGTACTGCTCAGGATTCACGCCGCTGCAGTGGAGTCCCAAGGCAACCACTTAGGCAGGGTGGCTTAGCCAAGTGACAACTTCTCAGAGCCTGAATTTCCTCATCTTCTCAATGGGTTAATATATTTCACACACTAAGCATTTTACATATACTACCCCCATTTAATCTTCACAACAACCTCATGAAAAGTTGCTATCATTAGACTCATTTTCTAGATAAGGAAACTAAGGCCCTATGGGCCCTTCCTAGTCGCAGGGCCAGGAAGTGGCAGAGCTGCAGTTAGAACACATATCTCCCTGAGCCAAAGTCTGTCTTTTAAGCTGCTACACTATTTAAAAAAGTAAATGATATGATTCACAATCAGAGGGATTCTATAAATACCTGTAGTTTCACAAGATGGTTCCCAACTCCTAGACCTAGATGAAACTGATTGTGCTTCCTTCACTGAGCAGCAGAGAAGATACCAGAGAGACTGGGGCATCTCTGTTAGGATCTAAAATATATCTATAATGGGCCCACTGACGTGGGGGTCGAAGTACATAAAAGAAATAGTCTGGCAGGCTACATCATCACTTCTGGGGAGGACCTGAAATTGGATGTGCATTTATCTTTGTGATATTCATAAGGTGATGCTGGGTTTTTAAAGTGTTATAGTCAAAAACACAACATATTTATAATGGACTGGGTATGACAGTTAAGCATTTAAGTGATGTCCAACGTCTTCCTCTCTTAAGATTAGTCTTTGACTCCAAAACTATACAGAGAAATTTCTATTTCAGTTTCTATCCTTAGTTTTGAAAATGTATTAGAAATTAAAGACATTAATAAGCAAAAAGGGATCACAGAATAATTTAGTTACCAGTGTTAGCAGTTATTGCTTTCCCTACAAGGCCAAAATTGCACAGTACAGTGTAAAAGAAAATAGATCATATACTTTCTCATTAATCTGTCACAACTCCTAAACTATACCTTCTCAGATTTCATAGGTTTATCTGATTATAATAGTTGGATATCTAAAATTTCATCTCAGTATTCTGATTTACCCACAACCAATGGAGATGAATCATTCCATGTAAAAATTCTAACATAAATCCTATAAATTGGTTCATTGAAAGTAAAAAGGGACTGCTCCTGACATAATATGGATTAGTGAATTAGTCTAATTAGCAACTTAATATTAAAAGATATTAATATTAAATACAGTTTGCCTAAGACAGGCCTTACAGAAATATTATCAAGAGACTCAAGTGTGGTGATTAAAACTGTACAATCATGAGTTCCAAACATTTACTATAACTCTTTCCAGGACAATAATTTTTCCAAGTATTCAAACTATCCAGAACTCATATGCATTTCCTTTTTTTAAAAAAAAAAAACAACTTCACCATTCTTAAGGAAAAACACATAGTACATCCATGTTTGCTCACTTCTCTCTCCCCTTCCTACTCTTCATCCCTAACTTATCTACAAATTTAGGTTTCTAAGAGGTATTTTTCACATAAGGCTATATGCATGCATTATATGTTTTTTTAAAAGCTCAAAACCATGCAAATATCTAAAAATTTGGAAAGAAAATGGATGCAACACACATACAGACACACAAACATAGAGCACCCCCAGTACATACAAACCCGGAAACAAATAACACCCCCAAAACTGCAAAATAAAGCAAAGCAAGCACACACAGGACATACTTTTAATTGGTACCAGCTACCCACAAGCTGAATTGATATTTGCAAGTCTTACTTTTGGGAATTCAGGTAAAGCAGGTGAGTTTCAGCACTGTGCCATCTACAAGACTTCAATCCCCATGGCAACAAAACAAAAATTTGGCAAGCCAGTCCCGGCCATCAAGACGCCCCCCACTTAAGCTTGACCGCCCCTCACCTGCTCCCCTTCTCTCCTCTCTCCCCAGAAGAAGGCACTTCACGGAAACGTCTGGGAAAGCCCTTGGACTTTATTTTGTTACACCCTCTAAATGGACAAAAAACAAAAGAGAACAGGTGTAGAATACAGTATTTTCAATTGGCCACCAAGAGTTGCATACAAATGCCCTCCCCTCCCATCTAACACAGACAGACCCCGTCATCAGGCCTCATCTGTGACATTTTCAAAAGAGGATGCTTATGCACAAAGGAGCTTATGAGGAGCTTTTATGCTGAGGTAAGAAATACCCAGTGGGAACTTTACTCTTTTAAGTCATCTTTACATATTCGCAGCCTCTATTACCCCGGTGTTAATGGAAGGTTAGGATATCACAAACACAGTGATGACCCTTGTCATTCATATACCCACTCTTCCACCTTTGACACACTGCCCTGGCAAACAGAATGGCTTAAAATATCATTGGAGTAAAGTGAACTTGGAGATCATTTGGTCCTCCCTTCTGCCACAAATGTCTCTGAATTTGGTGCCATTAGACACATTTCGGGTTTTGTCTTTTACCCCATGCTTTCCTCTCATCTCAGAACAAACATTTTCTTAATTCACAATACAGATTGGAGAATAAATAGGAGAGGCACCTCAGGGAGATGGGAACAGCAGTTGGCAAGTTATTACTATATATTAAGTCCTATATTTAGTTTCTCCTTAAAACTTAAATAACTGTAGCATCTGAGACTTGGCTACAGAATTTGAAAGATGCACTTCTGTCACACAAGAACACTTGAAAGTATTTATTTAATTATATTTAGTCTCCCAAACCAGCTGGGCTATAGGATTTCACACTGAAATGATTCCTATTCTTTCCAAACTCTGTTGATAAAATAGCAATGACAAACTCAGATATATGGAAGTTCTCTTTTTTTGGAAGTTCTGTTGAGTCCCACAAAGAATTCTGAAGCCAGGTATGTAATTCCAAAGGAGTTAACATTTTGTTAACTATTGAGTCCGCTGGTGGTTTTTCACTTCTAGGAATGAACATCCTCTAATTCTGGAGTGTTAGGTTTTCTTCACCCTTAATACAAGCTTTCAATGATTGTATTAATTATTAGACTCCATATTGGGTAAAAGTGCTTGGCACAGGAACCAAAACTTGGAGAAGTCAAACTTGGAAATACGATTAAAAGGGGGGAGGGATTGCTGTAACACAGAACTTCTTGTCTCCCTCTATTGAGTACATCCTGGAACTACAACAACTGTCCTACAAACATCATGGATATACTCAGTGTGGCTATGAACATTAATCTGAAGAAATCATGAGTGTGTTGGAATGTTTTTACAAATTCTCATAAAAACTTGAAATTTGCAGCTTCCTAAAATATTTAGACTTTTTCTCAACCCTTAGCCCTACTCTGAATTCTGCCAGATTCACTCTTTCAGGAATTTTGGAGCAGAGCCGGCTATCTCCGCAGTTTTTCCTCACACACAATCACAGGCGCTTAAAACTACCACCCGTAAACTGACAACACTTTTGCTGAGAAGCAAATGCCACACAATCAATAACTAATATCTTGAATAATTGAGATATTTGAGGCTACCTGAGCAAACCAGCAGAACAGACATAATTAACCCCGGGGGGAGAAGACAGTTAATTCTGAGAAATCCAAAGAAAGATGGTTGTTACCTAGAATAGACTGAACATACAAGGAGCTTCCCTTTCCTGAAAAGTAAGCTTGGTTTAAAAATTTACCCACCCACCGCTTCCCTAACAGAATCAGTCCAGCTTTTTAAGTATCATGGAGCATGTTTAACTGGCAACCTTTAGCAGTGAATCTCTTTCCGCTTTTGTCTAATGACTATGTGTTAGCTTGTTCCAAGAGCTTCCACTGGCATCTCAGGGCCAATTCGACAGCAGGGGGCCGGTTACTATAACAACTGACAGCTCTCGTGAATTCTGAAAGGCCCCTGAGTAGCCATTTGGGAAACAGTTATTGAGCAAAAAGTTGCCTGGGATCCACAGCATTAGCTGCCATGTGACCCAGATCTCCCAGCACAGGCACATAGAGAAAGAAAAAAAGGGGTGACCACCTCCAGGAACAGTTTGGGGACCTCAAAAGACTCCCTACCCCCATCTCTTTTAGCATCTCAGAGCAAGATAGTTTAACACCAGGGTGTCGTCATAAACTCAAACCCTCTGAGGCAAGCCATATTTTGGCACCACAAAATGTGCTTGAGCTCTCCCCAATGGCTTGACACATTGTCAGGCTTTGAAAAGCTGAACTGTAAAAATTATTCCTAATGATTAAAAAAAAGTCTTGAAATATGGCCACAGATATGGGTTCCAAAAAGAAAAGAATGGCACACTCACCAGTTTTAAAAGAAAAAAATGATGCCAGAATACCTGTGGTCCAGTAAATGGTCTGTTGGTAGAAAAGATGGTGATCACACAAACCCACCAAAAATAATGACTTGGAAGCTCAGAGTTTTCCAAACTAGACAAAGTTTTATATAAACCTACCTTTTGATTCTCACTCTCCCTCAGCATAAGAGGACATTGAGCAACCAGGACTGACCCAGTGCCTTTGTACTTTGTACATGTAGAATCTTCCAGAAAAGAATCTGATTCTACCCGTTAACAGTGGACTTTGCTTTGCATAAAGGAAGGGCAGTTTGGCAGAGTTTGCCCTAAGAAATAATGAATGTGCCATGATCCAGTGCTTCTGGGTCATCTCCTACACAGCGACCTCTGCCTGGAGCACTTGTCCTTTTTCTTTTTCTTTTTTCTTTCTTTCTTTTTTTTTTTTGAGATGGAGTTTTGCTCTGTTGCCCAGGCTGGAGTGCAATGGCGTGATCTCCACCTACTGCATCCTCTGATTTTAAGCAATTCTCTGCCTCAGCCTCCCAAGTAGCTGGGATTACAGGCACCCACCACCACATCCGGCTAATTGTTTTTGTATTTTTAGTAGACGGGGTTTCACCATTTTGGCCAGGCTGTTCTTGAACTCCTGACCTCGTGATCCACCTACCTTGACCTCCCAAAGTGCTGAGATGACAGGCATGAGCCACCGCGCCCAGCCTCCTTTTTCTTTGTTTTGTAAAAAATACAGTCCAAACATTCTCTCCTCCGAGAAATCCTTCTTGGCTCCCTCTCCTTCTCACCTAACCCTGGCTGTGGTCAGAGTCCTTCCCAGAACACACTATTTTCCTTGATCACTATTGCAACCCAGGGGAATGCAAAATCAACCACCCACAGGGGCCAAACAGGCAGGGAATAGCGGGGAGGGCAGAGACTGGCAAACTGGCAAGGGAGAGCCTCTCAAAAATGGGCCACCATAGCACCATCCAGCCACCAACGGACACAAGGGAATCTGAGAACACATTGCTAAATTGTCCGGTTTATCAGAAGAAGCCAGATAACTGGGGTTTTTCATCACATCTTTCTATTTTCTAAATAATTCAAGATTTTAAAAAAACATGTTAGCTAAATAAAATTGGTCTGGAGGCCACCAGTTTTTGACCTCTATTTGGGATTACCTTGGTTTACCTGCTCCTCTCTTCCTCTCAGGTATGAGCCCCTTAAATGCAGGAACTCTGTCCCCTCAATGGCTCTCCAGTGCCTGGAACTAACTAGATGCTTAAGAAATGTTGAATGAACTAACAAAGGAGTAACTAGGCCAGCCATAAAGGGCCTTAGGTCAACAAAAAACCCAAAACCCTAAGTCTGAGAAATTCTAAAACTTACAAGCTCTATGATCCTGGACAAGTCATTCCCCCTTCTGGAAACCGTTTCCTCTCTTGGGACAAGAATGATGCAGTCCCTGATTCCTTGCCTACCACACATGGCTGCTGGAGGATTAAATAACATAAGGTGTTCTTTGTATTAATTCAGCTATTATTGCTGGTTAACAGGGGTGTTTCCCCTTTCCTACGTCTTCACAGTTACCTGTATGTGAGAAGTCATTCTTATGATACCTGTCTCCTTTGTGACTTTGCTGGGGTGAAAAGGGGACAAACACCTATACCAAAAACCCAGTCATCGTCAAGTAGACCTGGAAGTGTCGGCCGCTAGAGCAGATGGGTGAAGAACATGTGCCTGGGCTCACAGCAGCTCTGGTGTCATTGTTGCTACTGTGGCAGTACAGGAGGGATCTGTGTTCCAGTGAGGCACATGTGGTCAGTCATCCCTCAAGCAAGAGAGGGGTGTTACCACATGCCACTCTCGACTCTCGCATGCATCTGTTTGTTTGCCTGAGCCTCCATTATGCCAACACAAATCCCCCACACATTTGCGGTTTGCATCCCTTCATATTTATTACACTCTGTCTCCCACTGAACATCCAGGGAAGAAAAAAAATTGCAATGTCAACAAAACTCACTTGTTTTCATGAACAGCATTCTTAATGAGGAGGCACCAACACATGGCAAAATTTCTGAAAATCTAAAGATGGGACTTAGAGTAAAAGAGAGACCTTTTCCTATTTGCATATGTGGCTAAATTGGTGTTGACTGATTTACCACAGAATTTACAGATGGCTTGGTCATGTGCTGAAGTGAATCTACCAGATCAGAGTGTGAAATCCTTCTCATACCAAATTTTAACAAACCTGGGTCAGATGTTACAATTCCCACTTAGGGAGTTTCCAGTTTTCTGTTCCAGAATCTGCAGTTAGCTCAGTCCTATCTGAATTTGAGAAGTAAAGCTGCTCTATACTTTTGCAAGTCTTTTTCTAGGCTAGAATTATGGTCAATAAGATATTAAACATTTAATATCAAGAAAACTAGCACTGATCAGCTGGGACTAAGACCAAATAGGTTATATTATTCAACATAAAAATCTTCTCAAATAATGGAGATGTAACTGAGTGAGTACCACTAGTTAGCTTCCAGAACACCTGAAAATATAATTGGTTTCTTAAGTTTTCTTTCACATGATTTTGGCAAATCCAAAACAAAGGATGATTTATATCTGGCCTTCCAAACCAGTTTACTCCCACCATGTCCAGCAGCAGAGACATCCCCTTTTCCTGGAGTGTCTTTTTGACACATAAACATGCACTATAAAAGTAGGCTATGGAGGGAAGTATATGCCACCAGGCATGCTACTCCTCCTCTGGACAAGATAACGTATTGGCTAACCCAGTGGGCTATGAAGTCAAATTGTCTGGGTTCAAATCCACAATCCACCAAAAATTAACGCTGCGACTTGGGGATGTCACATGATCTTACTAAGCCTCTGTTTTCTGATCTGCAAAATGAACATAACAATACTGATTATTTCCCAGGATTCGTATACTAATTAGGTGGGGGTATAATCTGCTGAGCACATGTCTAGTATGGTACATAGTCATAAAAGGTTCTTTGCTTGGCCAGGCGTGGTGGCTGACACCTGTAATCCCAGCACTTTGGGAGACAGAGGCGGGTGGATCACCTGAGGTCAGGAGTTTGAGACTAGCCTGGCCAACATGGCAAAATCCGTCTCTACCAAAAATACAAAAATTAGCTGGGCGTGGTGGTGGGTGCCTGTAATCCCTGCTATGCGAGAGGCTGAGGCAGGAGAATTGCTTGAACCCAGGAGGTGGAGGTGCAGTGAGCCGAGATCACACCATTGCACTACAGCCTCGGTGACAAAAGTGAAACTCCATCTCAAAAAAAAAAAAAAAGGTTTTTTGCTTAAGAACCTTTAGATATACAAAGCCTTTTCAGATATACAAAGCCATTTCAGGGGTGAGATATTGCTCATCAGAGCAATAAGAACTACCTTCTATGCAACATCCCTCAGGATTACAGAAAAAAAAAAAACAAAACTAAAAATATCTTTGTAATACAATTCTAAGCAGACAGAAATGTCTGGCTCTTAATAGCTATGCTATTCTACAGCACAACTAATAAGTTGCACCCCCTAGCACACTGATTGGACACCGGGCACATAGCTCCTCTCCCATAGCTCCTCTCCCAGCATTAACCTCAAATTATGTAAATCAAAAAGAAACCTTCCAAAATTTTCCTCTTCTCTCTGAGTGGCAGCAGCTGTGCTGCTCCAAGTCTTTTCAGGAATGTCAGCACATTATTGCCATAAAAACAGCTTGTCTTGGTAAGGCAGGGGATGCGAAGCTCTTGGAATGCAGTATCTGACTGTTGGAATTCAAAAGGTATGTTTTACTACCATCTTAAGTAAAAAGACCAAAATGGCACACTGTGAAAACTTTTGAATTGATTTTTTCCCCTTATTTCCAATAGCTCTGAACCACTGCATGCTTGTATGGATTGCAATATTTATAAGGCACACAATAGGGTGCCATTAAAGCTGTAACTGTTAGTTGATTTTATTTTTATTATCTGCCTCACAACCCTGCCCCTTGTCCAAAATCACTTTGCTTACATTTCTTCCTAGTTTTATAGCAACTTCTGTGTTTTTACAGATTCTGGTTCCTACAGCTCTTCAAGGCAGACCTTTGCGAGGGACATTCAAGGGAGAACTATAGTGTCCTACCTGAAACAGCTCAGCTAAAAACATTTTAGAATAAATGTCTCCCCACAGATCCATGTTGCTGCCTATAAAAACACTGCTCAAATAGTCCCCGATGAGACTGATGTCTGAGGTCTCTCAGACATACAGGTATCCGAGGTTTCTGCTCATGGTTTTTAGTTTCAGCCAAATTTTAAGTACAGACTAATGATTGGTCTCCAAAGTTCTCCCTTTCAGGAAACATATACATAATTCAATGATACCAATGGGTTTAAATATTTAAGAATACTGTGGCAGTGCTTAACAAATACCCACGTGTTCCCCCTACCTCATCTGTGTCCTTGGGGCTGTGTGACCATCTGTGGCCAGTGGTGAATGAAGGAGTGAAGGGTTCCACTTCTAGGCCAAGCAGTTGAGAGCTTGGTGCCTCCTCAACTTCTCTATCCCTGCTACACCAGTTTGGGAGATATGTGTTCCAGAAAGAGAAACCACTGGTGGAGGAGGGCGGCTCAACCCTGTCAGACCTCACGTGGGTGGGAAATAAACCTTTGTGTGTTATTAAGCCACTGGGGTTCTAGGGTGTGTCTGCTGCAACATCAATGAAGCTTACTCTAATACAGCCAACCTGGAATTAATGAGGCTGGCCACTGGGCTTCAGAGTTGTTTCCTGGGGTTGCGGGTGGGAGTGGGGTCATGTCTTTAACCCAGTTATTTAGGGATGTCCTCCTCTGGAATTGACTTTAAGGCCTATTAGGAGCATCACCCAAACCAATTTCATTAACATTATAGTCACCCCTTTCCTTTTTTGGCCCAAAGTGGTTCTGCTCAGTTGGTTAACCTACATTTATGCTATATTTAGCTCTAAACAGATGAGTTTTATCTATTTCTAGGATAAATACTTTGCACAACTGAGATCCTTCAAAAGAATGAACTCTAGAAAGAAATTCCAAAAGTTATTTTCAAGCATGTTGTATGCAATGGACATATTGGAAACTCTGTACAGCTATACAATGTGATGACATTTAAAGGACAAAATTCATTTAGCTCTGTACATTTGATTTTCCTTATTAAAAAAAAACTTCATTTGAGGCATACCAGGACCCAGAGTTACATTTTCCATTTTTCCCTAAAGTCAGATCTGGTATAACACTACCTCACATTCACCATGTGCCAGGCACCAGGACAAGCATTTTCCATAGCTTGCACCGAATCCTCACGTGAACTTGTGGCCCATTTCTTAACTATATTTTGCAGATGAGGAAACCGAAGTTGGTGGAGAAGTCTTTGTCTAAAGCAGTGTTTCTCAACCTGTTTTTCATTGGCACCTCCTCTGAGGGGCCCTTTTAGACTCCGCCCCCCCAATTGCCCAGTGCCAATTTTAATACCACGAATGCACAATGCTATTTATGTATATGTAAATCTGTGCTTTATACACAAAATAAGTTTATAAAAATCTCCCCAAAACAAATTCACACCTTAGAGATGACAGCACTGCTGGTAGGAACACATGCTCCACAGCTGCACAGATAAACAGTGTGGTGGAGTGTGGCTCCAAATCCAGGCTATGTGACTATAGGCCCGTGTTACAGTCTCTAGACACAGTAGTGTTTCTTTCTGATCTTGCCCTCCTGCAGTTTTGGCTCCTTCAATACCTTCCCATCATCCTCAGGATATGGCACATCTCCCTTCGATGAGGCCCTCATGATCCGGCCCTTGCTGTCCCCACACTCTGCTCCAACAACACTGAGCCACATTATCTGCTTGCAGTAGGCCAGGCTTTTTCTCCCCAGCCTCATTCTTCCACACCCTCTTCACCTGGCTGACAGCTGGTTGTGGTTCAAGGCCCAGGTCCTCCAGGGAGCTTTCCCTGACCCCAACCCCTATTCCAGGTTGGGCTGAAGCCCTTCCTATATGCTGTTATAGCAACTTGGATTTATCCTTCTCCAAATACTCCCCATACTCAATTCTATTTACTCATCTGCCTCTTCCAATGGACTGTGAGGGCCAAGGGACCTGATCTCTAAATCTCTAGGCCCACCAGGATGCATGGCAGGAACTCTGTAAGCATTGCATAAATAATAGGAAGCTGAAAATGGCTCCAGTGCACATGCAATAGAAACAGCTTTATAATTTTTTAAGTAACAGAATACTTAGCTGAACCTTCTACTCACTTTTTTAGGTCTTGATGGTCCTTTGGAAAGCCATCCCTTGTTCGGCTTCAGTCCAAGGTTTTGATGGCAATGGTACTGATCCTACTTCTGAGCTCCAGAGTTAAATATAAGACCTAGGCCTGACAAGAATGTTCCATCCTTTTGGCCACCAGACGACTCCGGGGTATGGACAAATGACAGAAGTCAGTAATAAGAGATGCCATGTTGGGACTTAAGTGGAACTATTAGAGAAGAAAGATTCCCTTTGCACTGGGGTGGAGACATGTAAGTCTAACATGGCCAGAGGCTGCTCTGTACAAACAGGCAGAGGGCCTGCTTGAGCGAGAAGACCACACAGACAGCAAATCCCAGAAACTGACGGCAAGAGAAACACAGACAGACCAAACCAGCCAAGTCCTGATGTTCCATCTTACAAATTCAGCCAGGCCCAATGCTCCTGAACTTCTCAATTCCATGAATCAAACTTTTTTTTTTCCCCTTGAGCTTTAAGGCATTTTGAAATGGATTTTTGTCAACTGCAATAGAAAAGGGTTCTGAACAACAAAAGGGTTCTGGTGATGATATTGCCAACTATTTGGCCCATAGCAGGCTTTCAACAAATGTGAGTTCTCGTTCTCTTCCTTGGTCAAAGAATGTGGGTCAAATAGAAAGGACAGTGATAGTACCTACCGTACAGATCTGTTGTGAGAATCACATGAGTTGGTGCCACCCAAGTGCTTGGCACAGTGCCTGGCACTCAAAAGGACTCACTGAACATTAGCACTAACACCACTGTACAGCGGGAGACTTGGAAGAGACAGAATTCAGAGACCTTGAGTGTAGTTTTCCACTATTTCATGAACCTATTAAGTTGTAGTATCAACAACTTGGAGAAAACACACTCAAAAATCAGAATAACTGCAAAGGGCCATTCCTTGGTTGTGGTAGAAAATGCTGCCACAGTGAGCAGGTTTGAACCCCCCGGTGCCAGGCCTGCCTCCTGAAGAAATGATCCAGAAGGTTTTGATCTGCCTCAATGCTCTACTTATGTCAAGTCTGTTTGCCAATCATCCAGTCTTACTGTGCCTCAAAAGGCAGAAGAAAAGCACTGTTGTTCTAGCTAAAAAACTGCATTGCCAAAGGGAAACGCATGTCTCCTCTGTATTTACCAATTTTCTATGTGAGCTCCCCAATGCTTTCTTCTTTCGCATTAATAATAATTTTTTAAAAGTTGGACAGAAAAAAGGTCCTTGTCCCCTCTAGGCTGTATGCTTAGCCAACTCATTCATCCTAACACTAATTTAATTTTACTTTCCTTGCTCTATAAGAATTTTCTTTTTCACACTCATTTTTTGTGCTACTGGGAGTAGGAATTTGGTAAAAGCTCAAGTCCAGACTCTGTTGGATGAAGTTTAAAGCTCTGGTTACTTTAAATGAAGCTTTTGATGAAATATATGCATACATGTATAATAAACATCATAAAAATATTTCAGACAGGAAATATTAAGATATTATTCAATTCATATTTTCCATTTGGACTCACTGAGATTTTCAGAAGTATAAACAGTTGTCATTTTCTAAAGGGAAAATACATCTTGAATGGAAGGATTTTAAAGCTGTTTACTACATGACACAGCCCTTCCCTATAAGAAACCTGTAGTAAATACTCATGTTTTGGCTGGCTGGGTATTGATGCCTGTTTGGCCCCATGGTCCTTCTTGGTCACTGTGATCCATTTAGGGGTGGGTAGAGGATCCAAGGTGGGCCAGTCAGAAACAATCTGGAGGGTTTTGCCAGAATTGCTGGGTACAAAGTGTTTCTTTATGCTGTGGCAGCTGTGGGACTTCTCTGCTCCCCTGTGGTGACAGTCTGAGACTAAAACCAAACAGTGCTGAGCAGAGCCAAGAGATAGGCATGCTGACCTTGTTAACCTCACTTGATTAGTTAAACTCACACTAGGTGGCCTCCAGTTTACCAATGGGCTTCAAACATATTTGCACAATACTTTTTCCTGGAGAAGGGATGACATGAAGGTGAGTCTAGTGTTCCTATGCTCACCCCAAAATACAACATACTTCATAAACTTGCTGGTCTGCAGCACTAAAGGGCTTATGGTTACCGTCAGACGCCCGAGGAAACCTGAGATGACCTCCTTCCTTATTCTTCTGTTCCAGCCAATTAGGAACAGACCCAATCTGCCAGCAGATTCTGTTGCTCCCACCTTCAAAATAGATCTATACACAATGAATTCTCACCACCTACACGGCTACCCTCATCTGAGACACAATCGTGTCCTTCTTGAACTAGTCCAGTAGTCTCCCCGATGGTCTCTGTTTCTGCCCCTGCTCCTCTTCAGTCTGTATTCAACACAGCAGCCAAGTAATCTTCAAGTCAAATCATAACATTCTTCTGTACCAAACCCTACTCATCTTCGAGTGAAAGGCAGTGCATTAACAATGGCCCACAAGGCTGTGCAGCATGACCCGATCCTGCTCTACCTTGTTTCTTTCTGATACCCTTTTCTGCCACCTTACCCCTGTCTTCACGTCTCAGCCCCACTGACCTCTGGCTGTTCCTGGTGCACACCAGGCATGCCCTTGCCTCAGGGCCGTTGCATGTGCTGTTTCCTCTACTTGGAACTTGCCCCAGGTGGAGCCCATTTGGTTCCCTCCTCCTTTAGGTCTTTGCTCAGGTATCATCTCCTTGACCACTCTGAACACTCCTGCTAGGCCCCCATGGGCCCCTCCCCTTTCCAGATTTAAGCTTTCTCCATTATCCAGTTACCACCATCTTAGAAATTACATGTTTTACTTATTTGCTTTGTTTATTGCCTGCCTCCTCCACTAAACTGTAAGCTCCATGACAGTAAGGATTCTTATCTGTTTTACTCACTTCTTCAGAAATCATTTGTGTCTAGAAGACTGGCACAAAGTGTGGGCTCAAAATTGAGTGAATGGAAAGAAGGGAGGGAGAGATGAAAATATGACACCTGTTTCTCACTGGTGAAGCCTGTCAGATAAAGGGCAGAAGCCTCCTACGTTAGTCTGAGAGGTGAGGGCACCCAGGCCAAACGAGTGGGCTTGACGGAGTTGCTCAGCTGAGCTGGCTGAGACGGTCCGGCTGAAAAAACACAACTTCTAAACAGAGGCTGCAACCTGGCTTCCCATGAGAAGCAGTGAGAATCCGGATAGCTTACAATCTGCCATTTTAATCTTACATATATTAAATACCACATAATATGCTAAATGTTTTCCTATCACCCAATTTAATTTTCAGTGAAAGACTATGAAAAAAAATTCTAAGGTAAAGAGGAGTTATTATGTGACTACAACAAAGTAAGCATCATCTCAGAAAAACTGCAAATGCTATGACTTGTTAACTCATTTTGCTGGTTCTGAAACTAACAATCAAAGTGGACACGGGATTTGGATCTAGCAAGTAGCAGAGCTTGGATCTGAACTTGGATCTCCCTGGTTCTCAAACAAAAACCTCTTTGGTACTAAATCCCAGAAGCTTACCATAAATGCCTTGACCTCAAAAGTGGATCTGGCCCTGCCATCATCTAACAGAGACAAGATGGCCTTCCGGGTGGCAAGACCAGAAACACTTAAGCTACCTCACCTTCCTGAATGCAGAGGCCGTGGGATTCCCCTCCCGTGAGCAAAACCTGGCCAGCATCTGGCCCCCAAATCTACGCTGTAGGTGCTGCCTGGCTTACCTCCAGTAAACGAGCACAGCAATGAGAAGGATGAGGCACACGAAGGTCAAGGCTGATACCACAATCAGAGGGATGATCCACTCCATCCTCCCTGGAGCAGGGCGGCTTATCATTCCAGAGGTGTTTTTTTCCGCTGCCAAGAGAAATCATCCCAGTTAGAGGACAGAGGTTAGTGGAGGTGGGAGCCAGAATTGATGCAGAGTTCTGTTCCAGTTTTGTGTGGTTTCTGGCGAACTGGGCCATTTGCTCTGAGCTGCCCCATGACAGGAGGGGCAATCCGCAGCCCTCACCATTTCCTGCCCCATCCCAACCCACACAGGGCCTCTTCTATGGGCTGCATTCTGTAATTGGCAGTTATATGGATTTACAGATACAGTTGAAGGTGTTTTTAGACAGCTGTACAGAAGACATAGACATTCCAGCCTTACCCCAAGAACATGACCGACCCAGAAGAGCCTTTGAATGTGCTGAGGACATGTGCTGAAGTCTCAAAGAAGCAAGGGTGGAATGGCTGTCCAAGAGCCTCTCAGGTTCTCTAGGGCAAGGGCAAGAGGGCTGGCATGATGGGTTTCACTAGGATAACTAGGAGAACTGGCTGTGACTACGATGGCCATCTATTCTTTGCTGCTCAGCATCCCTTACTCTTTCCTGTAGTAACAACTACACCCCAATTCTGCTTTGGGAAACCACCTTTCCCTAACAGACACAGTCATGGTGGGACAATCATCGGAGTGTGGGGCTCCCTGCTCTGGTCAACGATTTAGCACTCAAGCCAGGACAATGACATCTTGCCCTAGAATCTCAACCACCGACTCTAAGACTGAGCAACAGCACATCCCAGCAGGAGCACCTAGGTGCTTCTGTCCGTGGGCTCCTACCACCCAGATCCCCAGAGATCCTGTTTTTCCTAAAATATGCTTCTCCAGTTTGTCCTTTGATCCTATCACCTACCCCAGATCCTTCCAAAAGCTCCTATTTTCTTTCCCAAGACAGGAAGCCATACCACACCCTATTCCCAGAGCACGTCTGTAACCAGCAGCCACAATCTAAAGGTTAGCAGGGAAAGCTTGCCAAATAGTTTAGGATTCTCTCTGGTCGGCCAATACCTGTTAACCAGGCAGCTCCTTCCTCCACCTCTCCAGGCCCTGAATGTCTTCAGAAGTCCCCAGGAGCCTCAGCAGAAGATCCTATCTTCCCTTCCACTGTGAAGAAGATGCCCGGAACATGCCAGGTGGCCCAAATGAAGCCCTGGTTGGGGTGCTGGGGCTGGGAAGAGCACAGGTGCACAGAGGCAAGCAGTGAAAAAGCAAAGGTTGCCTGTGATCACAGGGAGAAGCCCCTTAAAAAAATCTAACATTGGCTGCAGGCTGACTTGAGCCCAGCAAGGATTCCTCCTGCACTGCAAAAACGAGGCCAGCGTTCAGCCAGCCCGGAGTGTCCCTCTGCAGGATGGACTAAATGCAGAGCTAATCAGGTTGAGTTTCCAGGTGAGAGAAGGTAGGCTGAGTAGGGAAGAAAGAATTGGCTATGGGAGCAGATTTTTAAAGAGGCAAGACTCCCGAGTCAGGAAGAAGTGTGTTACGATGCGTTTCACTGGATTTCCTCTAATGCATTTGATGTTGACCACCTCCTTTGTTTCAGGCACAGGCCTGTGACGCAGACAGGACCTGATGTATCCCCTGCTCACAGGTAAGAAGACAGAGTCAAGTAGGTGCAGCACACTCTGATTAAAAACCTCCACAGAGCACTTTGCCATTTATAAAGTGCCTTCCTAGCTGTGCCTGCCCATTTTCCTAACTCCCTGCTCCATTTTTTCATTAGATAGGAGAGATTCTTACCAAGCCCCTACTGTGCACAGGCCTGGTGCGAGGGGATGGGGACACATCAGTACATCAGATAGTAGCACTGCTGTACCCATGGGGAGGAATCTTTTAAATGGGGAGAGGCAGGCACAACAACAATTAATTAGAATGCAATGAATGTGGCACCAGGGGAAGCACAGGGGGCCATAGGGGAATAGCTCTCCAAGCCCAGGTCTCCATGAGCTCCCCAACGAAGGCAAGTGTTGAAGGATGAAGGGGAGTTAGCCAAACAGAGAGTTGGGGAAGAAGGGTGTTCTGCACGGAGACCATCAAATCAGTGGGAGTTCAAGAATGAGAGGGAGGAGGACCCAGATGGGGAATTGGAAGGCAGATGAAGCCAGGGCCTTTTAGGCTGAAATAAAGAAACTGAATTTAGTCGTAAGAGCAGTAGAAACTACTGCAGGGTTTTAAGCCAAAGCAGACAAAGATCAGGCATGCCTTCTCTCCATCAACATAATGCTTTTATAGCAGAGCTCTGGTGGCTGGCCAGAGGAACCAGAGTTGCAAATAAGAATAATTTTGTGGGGTCCCAGAAGGGGGTGGCCCAGCCAGGCAATTATCTGGCTGGTGGGGGAGGGGGGGGAATCTCAAAGACCTGGATGTCCTGTTAATGGAAAACAATGTTGGGAGGGTTGACGCTATAGGCCACATGTTCAGTTAAAATCAGTATCCACTCTGTGAAGCCCTTGGGTACAGGAGGGACTCTCAGTGTCTTATTCCTCTCCTCACTCCTTACAGAACAGGATTCTTGCCTGTGCTGCTACAAAGAATGCAAACTCCATGTCCTATTCATCCCGAACCACAGAAAGGAACTCTTGGCCAAAATAGTCCCTCACACTTATATCCCTAAACAATCACTGGCAATACCACCTCTGTGGTATTTCTATCATTTTTTTTTTTTTTCTTTTTTGAAACAGGGTCTCACTCTGTCACCCAGGCTGGAGTGCATGATCTCGGCTCACTGCAACCTCCGCCTCCCACGCTCAAGCGATCCTCCCACCTTAGCCCTCCAAGTACCTGGAATTACAGGTGTGTGCCACCACGCCTGGCCAATTTTCATATTTTTAGTAGAGACGAGGTTTCACCATGTTGCTCAGGCTGCCCTCAAACTCCTGACCTCAAGTGATCCTCCCGCCTCGGCCTCCCAAAGTGCTGGGATTACAGGCGTGAGCCACCGCGCCCAGCATATTTCAGCCATTCTAAAACCAGTGAAAAGTGACCACTCCAGAATTTCTCGGCCTTGGGAAGGGGTTAGGGAGTGACCATCTGGTTGTGTGGATCAGTGGCACATTATATCGTCCCTCAAGCCACAGGGGCATCTCTGTGTTGGTGATAATGTCTGTCCCCCTCTCCTCCTCTACAGGGTGAGTGTTCAGTTTTCATTAGATTCTCAGAGAGGTTCAGGCCCCAGAAAAAGTGAGAACCACCAGCATAGAGAGAGAATGAAGGTCCTGAAGACAAGGCTCTTGAGTCACAGCCCAGGTCAGAGCTGGGCTCAAACTTGATTTCCACAATGGAGTCATTTCTCCCTCTAACATTTGGTGAAAGTGTGTAATAATTGGCGGGGGGGGGGGGTTCCCGTAGGGGGTTGGAGCCTATCTGAAATCCCACTGTGGACAGTCTCCAAATGGTAATTTCTGTGGAGGAGCTCTCAGGTTGGCAATAACTTGTAGTGTCAGTGAGAGACCTAAGGAAGTTTTTCTGACAAGTTTCACTCTGACCTTGACTAATGGCAGGCAGTTTCATTGGCTTGGGTCTTTTACATAAAAGCCAAGCAAAAATAAGAGCGACTGAATTTTCATGTGGGGCATGATAAAGTTGATTTCATTTTCAAATTCACAATACTGCTTTGTCTTCCTGGTGCCAGGAACCTGGAATTGGATTCCATCTCCAGGTGACCAAGTCAAATCTGCTCCTGTCACTTTCCTAAGTAGCTCCTCATAGCCCTCAGGATACCCCTGAGTGGGGAAAGCAAGGCTCTTCAGGAGCAGAGCCTTCCATCCCCAACCCAGCATCATCTCCTGCTGTTCCCTGTCACGGTTCCAGCCACACTCACCTAATCAGTGACCATGCTGAGCCATGGTCCCGCCTCTCTGCCTTTGCCCCTCCCATTCCTACTGCAGGGAGTGCCTTTCCTTTCCTGATGCCAGAATTCATCTTATTGATCCTTCAGTCCTGGTTCAAATGCTGCCTTCTCTGTGAGGCTTCCCGAAGCCGCCAGTTTGTACTATCTCTTAAGGGCAGAGCAGAGATTATAGGTTCAAATCCTGGCTTGGCCATTTTCTGTGTGACTTTTAACCAATAACTTAAACCAGTTTGGGCCTGGAGTTCTTCATCTATCAAATGGGATGAAAAGAGCCTACTTCATAGGACTGTTGGGGAATTCAATGAGAAGGTGCATGTAAGCACCTAGAAGTGTGCCTGGCATCAAGCAAATGACAAGTACCACCACCACTATCATCATCTTGTGTTGCTCTTACTGCACACATCATACTCAATTATAATCGCTCTTTTGTTACTCTAGGTCCCCAAAGGCAGGGCTGATTTCCGTCTGTGTATGGAAGAACAGTTACAAAGCTCTGCCTCCTACTAGCTTTGCAACTTTGGGCAACTAACCTAACCTCGTTGTGCCTCAGTCTCCTCCTCTGTAAATGGAAGTAATAATATTGCATACGGCATTGTGGTGGGATGAAGATTAAATGAGTTAATGCATACAAAACACTTAGAATGTTGCCTGGCACCTGGTTAATGTTAACTATTGTGATTATTGTCATCACCACCACCCCAGCTTCGGCAACACCATCACCCGCCACCATCCTAGCAACAGCATCATTACTTATCATCACCACCACTCTCTTCCTCAGCACCCTCACACAGCAGCAGGAGATGGTGAGCACTCACCGGGTGTTTGCTGAATCTGACTCCTCTCTGTAACATCTGAGTGTGTAAGTGGCAGTCATACAGAACTTCAGATGTGCTGAGTATCAGCACAAAGGGCTGCCTATGATGAGATTGCTGGTAAAGAGCTAGAATCTCAGTTTGCCCTGAGACTAGACTGTATCATACTGCTTTTTCCCTCTTTTTTTTGGTAGAGACACTTTCTTGATATGTTGCCCAGGCTGGTCTCGAACTTCTGGGCTCAAGGGATCCTCCTGCCTCAGCCCCCACTCAAAGTGCTGGGATTATAGGTGTGAGCCACTGTGCACGGCCCCCGTACTTCTTGCTGTGTCCTTCAGAAGAAATACCCGTCCTGCTCCCTGACTCAATTTGTGGCCCTAATAAAACAGCAAGCTGCTAGGACTACTACAACACACAAAATGTGGCCCTGAGTATACACCCATATCATTATATGCCCTCAGACACCGACAATCCATGAGGCTAAACTTCCCCATGCCTAGGCCTCCAGAGACCAGAACATGCTGTAGGCCTTTCGGTACAACAGCTGCAGCGTGCCACAAGATGGGCAATTCTGCACCCCAGACTCAGGCAGACCTGAGTACAAATTTTGACTTAGGCCTTTCCAGCTGTGTGGCTTTGGGTAAATGCCCATCTCTGAGTGTCTGTTCACTCCTGTATCAAAGGGAGACAAATGGTAACACTCACCTCTCGGGGAGTCCTGAGGATGAAAAAAGATCGTCCGTGTGAAAACAGACTATGTAAGTTATGGCTATGTAACTTATAGGACCAAATGCAAAATGAAATCATGGGGCCCATTCGAAAGTTATAAAAGAGTTTTGAGAAGGTGACAGTAGAGTATGAGACAGTATGAAAGCAAGCATAGGCCCTTCTGAGCACAGGGCCTGTGTGAGTGCACAGGCTGCCTGCTTATGAAGCTGCTCTGGATCAGTCAGGTACCAAGCACAGTGCCTGACACAGAGGAGGTGCCCAAGAAATGTTCATTCTTTTCTTTCCTTCAATGGAGCCAAACAACAATTCTGACAGTTTAGTAACACTAGATGCTCCCCTCTGTCAGGAGCAGCACACTTTCACTCGGAGCTTTGCTGGTAACCTAGCTGCCTCCTGAAGGGTCCAGCAGAACTGAGCTGCCCAGTTACTGGGGGTTTGCTTCCCTCCATGATGCCCAAATTGTGACACCAAGATAAGGACAGGACCTCTGGGTTAACAGAGCTCCTCCTCACCTCCATCTCTGGTTCATCCAGATGATGTAGTTTTCCCAGCAGGACTAGCCCTTCAATTCCTGCCTGACTTGGGTTATGAACTGGCAACCCTGGTTTGACACCCCTTCCAAGTAGTTATTTTTTAATTGTGACATAGCTACCAACATTTAATAAGCAAAGGAATTCAGATAAAAATCAGCAATGGTAGCTTCCACTAGAAATGTTCAAGGTTGGCAACAAAAGCCTGAATTCCCACGTGGCACACATCAGTTGGAACCAAGCGGCACACTCCCTTCAGACAGGGTGCGTCTCACTGGTTTGCCACAGTCGTCACTACTCCCTAATGTCACACCAGACCAGCTTTCCTCACTCCCAACTCCCACTGCAAGCTCACTCTGGCCAGCCTGGTTTCAGTTTGCAAGATGGCACTCTGACCCAATGAGTCTGCAGAACAACACTAACTCGGGTCTTTTGAAAAGGCCTCAAAAACGAAAGTAAAAATCATGGTTTAATAAACTCACCATGATCCTGATACCAATAACCTGGCTCAAGAGAAGAGGCTCTTTCTGTACAAAGCAGCTTTCTCCAATTCTGTTTATTTTTGAAGAGATTTTATTTTTAGGCCAATTAGAAACTAACCATGCTGTTGCTCTGCCCATATAACATAGTCCATTCTCCTCAGCACATTTGGATCTGTGTGTAGAAAAGATGACAATGAGGAAAGGAGTATCAACTGATACCCAGTACTCCCCCAGTGGATGTAATGTGCAGGTGAACAGCTACTCAGAGGGTGATGTGAGGCCAGTTAGAGCCCAGACTCAAAGAATGAGCCTGCTCCTGAAATGTCTTCCCCATGAAACTTGGAGCAAAATGCTAACGAACCCTCTCTGAGCGTATGCAGGAGGAAGGTAAGGTTAACAACCTCCCCACAGCCGTTCTTTCTCTCCGTACAGCCTTTCTTTCTCTCCGTCTTTATTTCAGCACCCAGCAGAATCTGAGTAAAGTGCCTCCATTCTGCTTTTTAAAAAAAAATTAAAAAAAAAAAAGAAAAGAAAAACAGTTTTCAGTGGCATATGTCATCACTGAATTAATGCTGTTTGCCTTTTACTGGCTTGGCTCTCATCCCAGTAGAAGCAAATAAAAACGGAGTACAATGTACTATAAATGCTACCGGCAGCAATACATCAGATGGACCCATCTGAAATGCCTCCTACCCTCCAGGAAGGGCTCAACTTCTGCTACAGGACAAGAACCGCTCTGGTGTCAAGACTAAAACTAGCTTGGATCCAAGAGGCCTCTATCAGGAGTAGGGAAGAGCAAGATTCTTTAATTTGCAAGGAAGATAAAGAGAAGGACGATATGCATACTTATAAATTTATAGCCTGTTTCCATCGTGGGGAATTTCAACATATTTGTTCTGAGCCATACCACTCATTAAAAACCTCCCACATCTGTGAATTAAGGTGGCTGCTTTAAAAAAAAATAGTGGAAAAACACATAACACAAAATTTACCATCTTAACCATTTCTAAGTGTCCCATTCAGTGATGTTTAGTTATTCACATTGTTGTGCAACTGATGCGCAACTGATCTCCAGAACTTTTTCATCTTGCAAAACAGAAACTCTATATCCATTAAACAACTCCCCATTTCCCCTTTCATCAGCCTCTGGCAACCACCATTCTACTTTGTTTCTTTGAGTTTGACTATGCTAGATATAGGTGGAATCATGTATTACTTGTCTTTTTGTGACTGGCTCATTGCACTTAGCATAATGTCCTCAGGGTTCATCCATGTTGTAGCATGTGAGAGGATTTCGTTCCTTTTACAGGCTAAACAGTTATTTCATTGTATGTACTATATGCCACATTTTGTTTATCCATTCACTCATTGATGAACACTTGGGTTGCTTCCACCTCTTGGCTATTGTCAATAATGTTGCCATGAACATGGGTCTACAAATACCTCTTTGAGATCCTGCTTTCAATCCTTTGGGCATACAGTTAACCCACCAACAACATAGGCATTAGGGGTGCTAATCCCTGAATAGTCAGAAATTCATGTATAACTTTTGAGTCTCCAAAAGCTTTCCTGCTAATAGCCTACTGATGACCGGAAGCCTCACCAATAACATAAATAGTTAACACATATTTGTATATTATTTGTATTATATGCTATATTCTTACAATAAAGTAAGCTAGAAAAAAATGTTATAAAGAAAATCCTAAGGAAGAAAACATATTTATATTTACTATTCATTAAGTGGAAGTGGGTCATCATAAAGGTCTTCATTCTCATCATCTTTCAGTAGGTTGATGAGGGGAGAATGAAAAGGGGTTGGTCTTGCTCTCTCAGGGGTAGCAGAGACAGAAGAAAACTCGTGTATAAGTGGATATAAGCAGTTCAAGACTGTTTTTCAAGGGTCAAGTGTATACCCAGAAGTAGAACTGCTAAATCATATGGTAATTCTGGTTTCACTTTTTTAAGGAACTACCATACTATTTTCCACAGGGGCTGCACATTTTACATTCCCACTAGCAGTGCACAAAGGGTTCCCTTCTTTCCACATTTCTGCCAACATTTATTTTCTATATTTTTGATAGAAGCCATTCTAACGGGTGTGAAATGATAAGGTGGCTGCTGTTTTTACAGGGCCACAAAACTGGCCTTTTATTTTTCTGGAGCCCTGACGTTACCCAAACCACTGCTGCAGAGAAATGATTGTTCATCAGTTACAAATAAATATGTTCTCTTGCAACAGGACACTGGCTCTGTGTTAACTCGTGTGGGCAGGATTAGAGCATCATTCGTTTCCATTTATATCACTGCCAAGAGTTCCTGTGAATAAGTGCTCCCTTACCATTTCATGCAGAGCTTAATTCACCAGACTCAAACAATCAAAATGATGGTCTGTCATCTCTATTTCAATTAGGTGGTGGGAAAGTGGGGAGGCATTTGATAAATCCTAATTTAATTCCAAGCCCCTAAAAGACGGCAAGCCCTAACCTATCAGACGGCCACCACTGACAGTTGGTTGCAATAGTACGTGGTTCTGAAATCAGTCACGGACAGAAGTTGTACACCAATCTTATACCAAATATGCCACCTGCTGCAACCTGAATTCTTGACTCCAACCTCTCCGGAAATCTAATTGTTCTTAGTGGGGTCTGGTTTTCCATACCATGAGATTTACCATGTGTCTTAATTCAAAGATCGTTCAGTGGGCAATAGAAACTCCAAGGACCCAGATACTTTCTGAGAAGAAACTAAACCATACTGGCAGCTGAATAACCCCTTCGGCCTACCCTGAGCTTGTTCCCACGGACATGCCAGGAAGATGACAGACCAGGACGGGGGTGGGCAGAATTATAAAGAAAACATTTCTCTAGAAAGAAACCTGACGAGCAAAACTAGCACTGGCTGAAAAGTACTTCTGATAGTCCTTACAAGTGCCTGATGTAACTAATTTTAAATAAAGCATGCTGCAGTGCTCCCAATCCCTAGACAGCTGGGTACTGCATTCATGATTTCTGCCCGATCTGCATGAACCTGTACTGGTACTTATTTTTGTCTTTAAATTACTACTCTATTTGTCCTCAAGTAAACTTCTTCAATAAGGAAACTTTACATGAATACTATAAATCAGGGGTTCTCGGCCTTGGCATTAATGACATTTTGACCAGATGGTTCCTGTTGTGGAGCTGTCCTGTGCGCCATATGACGTTTAGCAACAGGCCTGGCCTCTACCCACGAGACACCAAGTAGCACCCCAGTGCCAGTTATGACAACTAAAAATGTCTCCAGATGCTCCCAAATGTTCCTAGGGAGAAGGACAGAATTCCCTCTGGTTGAGAACCACTGTCACCAATGGAAAGTTAGTCTCTTTTTAAAAGCACACATTAAAATATTCACTTAATTAATACTGCATCTGAAATCATCTGGCATTGCTCATTCTGGGAACTGGCGCCAAAGCCAGCATCACATGGGGAAGATCCCCCTGGACTATAGAGTCAGAGCCCATATTTGGGCTCTGTCTTGCCATGGGCCGTGTGGCTCTGGGCACGTTCCTTCATCTGAGCCTCGCTTCCCTCACCAGCATGACAGCAACAAAGTACGACATTCATGGGAGTACTCTAGGATCAGTGACATATGCAGCTGGCCTTCTGCATAGGCAGGGCTAGCACAAATGTTCACTGGTGACGCTGTTATTATTTCTGTAATTAAAGGTGTTCACGTTGAGTTCCTTAGTGCTTAAGAGTTCCAAAGAGGCGCCTCATGGTTTGCCCAAAGGAGCAGAGTGGCTGCAGCTTTGCACCCTCCACTCTGTCTCAAAGCAGAATAGCAGCCCAGAGCCTCTGCCCAATTGTGTTCATTCTTAGCTCATGGGCCATGCAAATGCAGGCCAGGGGATGGAAGTGGCCTGCGGGCTGTGGTATGCCGACCCCTGAAGTGGAATGTCCCCTTAGCACCTGACTCAGGGCTGAGCCAGAAGATGCAGTCAGTAAACCTTCAGCAATGAGTGTTCACATACTGAGTTTCTGAGCAAGATTCAACCTGAAAAAAGAGTTTCCCTAATTTAAGGAAACAAAAATGGAAAATCCCAGCACCAAATGATGAATTTGTAGATGATGCCCACTCTGAAATGTTTTTGTAGGGTATGCTGTACTGCATAGTACCCCCAAGAACATTTCATTGCATCAGTTGGCTTCTGGGCTCACGCTGTGGCTCCTCAGGATGGGACCACATGCTGGATTTCCATGTAGCAGACATCCAGCTGAGGGCTTTGCACTAAAGAAACGCTAGAAAAAAGCCTGGTGAAAGGGAGGGAGTACACCTAGGCCTTCAAGCCTTCTGAAAGGCTTCTCAGGAAGTTGCAACTCTAGCAATCAACACTACAGTAGAGGTTGACCACCCGCGGTTCCTACCTGGCCCAGGGATGGGTTTAGTTTGGCCTACATTTTTAAAAAGCAGAAATTGTTTTAAAAATTTGAGCTTACTTAAAAGTTGGGGGGTTCTGCACAAAAACCTGGATTTCTGGCTCACTAGGCATTCTCACTGGCAGTAATCTGTTGGAGCTGAGTGAGATGGCCCTCTTTAGAAAAGTCATGTGCTCTTTAATTTGCTGCAGTCCTTACCACTCCCTAATGTCTAACACCTGGTCCTTGTTTCTCATTAGTATTAACTGGTTTCTGTAGGTGTCTGGGTTTGCCACTTCTTCTATAGAAGGATTCCCTTCTTCTTCTTCCCTGGGAGATAATATATTAAAGCCACTACTCACAGGACTTAAAAATATGTTATGAAACACCAAAGGGATTTAAACAAGCTGTTTGGAGATACTCATAAAAATATAACAGTGTGTAACTTTACACATTATCACTCTTTTCAGAGACCAGGTATTGATTAAAGTAATTGTTTTTCCTTAATATGAAGAAAAAATAAATGTGTAACAGATTTAAAGCAAATGTACACACAAAGTCCTTAAAATAAATCACTAACATTAAAATGATGGCGATTTCATTAAAAAATAAATACCATACTGGAGGAGGCAGACAGGGCAAAGGACAGGGTGAATGGAAGTGAAGCAAGACCTGAAGGATCATTGACTGATGTGGGATTTGCTTGTTTTACCTTCAGGTCACTCACGTCCTTTACTAATCAACAGGCACATGCAGATTTCTGTGTAAACCAGGGGTTGGCAAATGACAGATTGTGGACCATATCAGACCCATCGCCTGTTTCTGCAAACAAAGTTTTAATTGAAATACTATCACATCCTCTCAGCTGTGTATTGTCTATGGTGGCTTTTGTGCTACAAGGCAGAATTAAGTAGCTGCAGCAGAGACCTGTGGCCTGCAAAACTGAAAAACATTTACTCTCTGGCCCTTAGCTGAAAAAGTTTGCTTATATCTGGCTTAAACAATCATCACCACCATTTTCAGACTTGAACTGCTTGAAATTTTCAAGGAAGTTTTTTTTAGCTTTCAGAAGTGGACCTTCTCACTTTGCTGAAGGTGATAAGGGAAAGCTCTGATTTACCAGTGTTGAGTTTCAGGAGGAGGTCCTTCTTTTTTTTTTTTTTTTTTTTTTTTTTTGAGACAGAGTCTTGCTCTGTCAGTGGTGTGATCTTCTCACTGCAGCCTCTGCCTTCCAGGCTCAAGTGATCTCCCACCTCAGCCTCCCGAGTGGCTGGACTACAGGCATGAGCCGCTGTGCCCTGCTAATTGTTGTATTTTTTCTAGAGACGGGGTTTCACCATGTTGCCCAGGCTGGTCATGAACTTCTGGATTTAAGCGATCCACCCTCCTTGGCCTCCCAAAGTCCTGGGACTACAGGAGTGAGCCACTGCACTCGGCCATCTGGAGGTCATTTTTAATGGCAGTTACTTGGGGACCAGTAGCTTTAATGTCCACAGACAATAGCAAAGGAAAGGGCTGTGGGGGGCCTCCTCACAGTCACCATCATTGTGTGGCACCTGGGCTGCTGACAGCTCCTATTTGTCAGTGACAGTGAGGGGGTCTCCACAGCCACACCACCTTCGGCATTAAGCATGATCATTAGCTCCACTTTGCAAACGAGGACACGGGACTAAGACTTACCTGAGGACCCTGAGTGAATAAGGGACAGAGCCAACTGGGTTGATCTGACTCCCAAAGCCACTCTGCCAAGATTGTAGATGCTCTCAGATTTCTGTAGGGTGGAAGCCGAGGACCTACACACCTCATACCTGGAGTAGGGAGCCCCCAAAGTTTGCCATCCATTTCTTCTCCCCTGTCTCTGGAATCTGGAACCTGACTCCAATGGCAAGAACTCATTTCCACTTACCTGGGGCGGTCCCAGTCCCTGCCTCTCTCCCATCTCTCAAACTGTAAATACTCCCAGCCTAAGCTCTCAGCAGCCACATTTTTCAGGAATGTGGTCAAACAAATGTTTAAGAGGAGCAGGCTGAGAATGCTACTTTGCCAGAGCCCATAGTCCAGAGGCTGAACACTCAAGCTTGAAAGTCAATTCCAAGTCCACCACCTGTCTTCATAGAAAACACACTGGTCCAAGCCACCATTACCACTGCCTCCTAACTGGGCTTCTTTCATCCATTCCTGCCTTCCTATATCATCTCCACGCAGAGGCCTGAGAGGTCTTTCAAAAAATCAATCAAGTAACACTGCAGCCAAGATCTACCCTGGTTTCTCATTTCTAGTAGAAGGAAATCCTCAGCGTGGTCAACGAGTACCTTTCCAGAGCACCTCCATCAATCTCTAAATCCATCCCCTCCTCTCCCCCTCACTCCCTCTGGTCTAACCACACTGGCCTGATAGCTCCTCAACTGATCCAAATTAATTCCCCACTGTAGGGTCTCTGGACCTGCTGTTCCTGCAGCCCAGAATTCCCCTCCCTGGATCTTTGCATGGCTAGCTCCTTCTTACCACTTGGCTCTCTGCTCAGAGGTCATCCTTGACCACTCAGAGCTACACTGTCCCTCCGCTCCCCAACTGTAGCAATTAAGGCTACTTAAGGGTATGTATTTGTTTACTGGCATATTCTCAAGCTCCCCTACCAGAATGCAAACCCCAAGAGAAGAGAAGTCTGTGTTACCTATGTTCTACTGCCAAAGCCTAGCCTGGTGCCTCTTATACAGTGGGCATTCCGTACATGTTTCTTCAGCGTCTTCAAATGCAAGAAATTCAACTTTTTCAAAGTAATTCCTAGAGGGAATGTCACTGTTCTTACAGAAACAGCTTCCCAAGTGGCCCCACATTTCCTTCACTCAGTTCCACAAAAGGCTACTCTGCACCTTTCCCCCAGTCACAGCTAAAGTGAGCAATACCCACAGGAGACCCCCACTTCAAAAAATTAGTTCATAGCAGCTTTAAGAGGAAAGTAATTCAAAACATGAAAATTTATTCTAAGTTGTATCTTAACATACGAGATCTCAGCTTTAGATGAATTTTAATGTTTACAAGTGCAAAAGCAAATAAATATTTACCAGTTGCTTTTTTTTTGCACTCTTATAACTCCACAACAGCTTAGACGCAAAAAAAATTGTTGCTAAACATCTTGTAGTCTGGCAAAATGAAGAATTTCTTATTAAGAAAAGCCCTCACAACAATAACAACTCCTCATGCTTATGGCTCCCTTGCAGAAACTATCAGGATGGTTCATTAAGATTTGAGCATATGATAGAGCAACAAAATTGCCACCAGGAGATGAGGATCTCATGCCCTGGCCTCACTGTCTATACACTGGCTCATTCCCACAGCAATGGGAGCTCTGGGAGAGAGGGCCGTATTTCTTGGGCAAGGACCATGGGCCAATACCAGCTCTCCCCAGGCTGAAGCCTTTCATTCTGTAGGTTTCCATGAACAAGCCACTTCTCCAGAGTGGCCTTTCTTAATTAAGGTAGGTCCCTATCCTCTCCATAATTCTCTTGGACAGCATCCTGTTTATTTCCTCTATTACCATTTCACAATCGAAAACTTCAGTTAGTTAGTTTTCCAGCTTGCCAGTTAACCATCTAGCTTGCCGACTAACCACCATCTAGCTTGCTGGCTTTCTAACGTTCCTGCTACCTAACTTCTGGGCATGCGCTCCAGCTAGCTACTGTCTTGTCATCTGTCTGCCTTCCCCTTTAAACTTTTTAGGCAGGGACTAGGATCCCCTGGGACAGCACCCTGCCCAGTCCCTGGCACCAAACTAGCCATTTGTAGATACATTATATAATGAATATGGAATGAAATCTTAATAAATAAACTTCTTAAGATCGATGGCTTTTTTTATTCATGTATATCATTGCCTGGTTGAAGTCCCTGGAGTTATTCCGAGGCAAGAAAACAAATATCAAAGAAAGACTTACTCCAGCGTAAGAGAGTAGGCTTTTGGAGTAAAACAGGGACACACACATACACATTTCACATGTGTGCACCTTTTCTATGACAGACATATATGATTCTAAGAATATTAAGTACCTTCTGAAGCTTCACCTTCTGCTCCCAATTTTTTGAAAAAGGGTACGACTATTCACAGGAGCAGGAACCCTCGAAGAAGACCTGCACCACTTACCTGGATTAACAGTGATAAATCTGCTGTCTTCAGAAAATCGGTCCCCGCGGGACATAGGCTTTTTAGATGGCATTTCGGGCCTCTTGGGATCACTCCCTGCATACTGCTCCTCTGTGGCGGTGGGGGGCACTTGGGTGGAGGTGACCATGTCGGGGTCCAGGCCTGGGCCGGCATCCCTCCTTCCGCCCGTCTGGTCTGTGGGGACGGCAGTGTGATCCTGCTCATGCCCAGGTATAGTCTGATGCCCTCCCTCGGCAGTCCTGTTAGGAGACGAGGGTGTGGGGCTGGGCTCCGTCTGATTCCGCTCCTCGGCAGCGTGGGTCACCCCACTCTTCTCCTTCTTTTCGGAGTCCTTCTCTCCATCCTCCTCGTGCTCCCGCTCCCCATCCTCACTCTCGCTTTTCTCATCCTTCTCTCCTTCCTCGGTGCCCTCGCCGTCCTTGGTTGGTGACGAATCACCATCGGGCCCTGGAGAAGCCAAGGCCTCTGTGGTGGCTAGGACTGGCCTAGCCGCCTGCTTGCTGGCTGAGGCGGCCGTCGGGAGGCGCGTGGGCCACACAGTGCTGGGGAAAGAGGAGATGCCACCACCGCCGAACCCCAGGCCGGCGAGCAGCGTGCTGGTGACCACCGAGGCCACTGTGGCCTGGCTGCCACTGGAGGAGGGGCCCATCCCAGTTGCCATGGAAACAAATGAGAATGGGATGCCAGAGGACGTCCAGGTAGAAGACCCCGAGCTGATGGGGGCCATGTCGGCTGAAGAGGCAGGAGACGCTGTGGGCTGGAAAGGGTCACCCGGCAAGGGTGGAAAAGAGGCAGAAGAAGAAAAAGCAGAGAAGCATCAGTAATTGAGATTGGGAATGAGGCCCTGGTTGTCACCCTCTGAGGATTTTACTCATCTATGCTATGGAGTTTTCCAATGTATGGCATAAAGTTGACATTAGGTGGTCCATGGGTGATCAACTTTTATTTTTAATGGTTTTATAATTGTGAACATGTTAAAATGCATAACTAGTCGATCAAACTCAGCTTTTCACTGATATTACCCAAGATGAGGCTAGGTGCCAAAAAAACTAAGTAGTGTTAAAGCTGACTTACACAACAAAGAAGTCATGAACTGGAAAAATCAGATGGTCATCTGTTCTTGGGGTGATGAGAGGCAGAAGACCTTTGATTTTATGTATATCACTGACACTTGAGTAGATACTCAGCTCTAGGTCTGGAAAGATACTGGGTGATCCAGTCCAACCCCACTGTCTCCCAGTGAGGAAGTGGGTGGACAAGGAGGGAAAGCAGCCTGCCCAGGTCTGCAATGACAGGGTCAGAGGCAGGAGCCATGCTCTGCACTGCATGCTCTGGGCACTGGTTTACATCTCTGCATCTCCATGTTGGGCACTGCAGAGTCACTGTACCTTGCAGTTTCTAAGTTGATCCGTGGGAAAATCTGAGCCCATACAGATGACAACAACATCAACAACAATAACAAGAATTCCAATTAACAAATGCCAACCGTGTGCCAGGGCTTTCCATGCTACTCTGGAGGCAGGCATGATCATCACCCCATTTTGCAGGTGAGGAAACTCAGACACAGAGATGTTAAAGAGCTTACACAAGGTACATGACCTGGAAGGCACAAATGCAGGGCTGCCTGGGTCTAAGACTCGGCTTGTTCTTACCACCATACTAAACTGGGGCTCAAGTCTGGGGGTTTTACTCACATAAGGTATCTTAGGAAAACAAGAAGTGCTGCTCTGAGCTATTAGTCTAATTTTAGCTTGCCTGCTGGGTGATGCTGGACACATTACTTTAACTCACTGAGCCTCGGTTTCCTCATCTGTAAAACGGGAACAACAGTAACACTGACCTTGTGGGCTGCCTGGAGAAGTAAATAAAATAATCTGTGCCTGAAACCCAGGAAGAGCATAGTGAATTTTAGGCTATTATTATTATCACCACTGCTGTGATTAGTATTTTAATTATTCATTATACCAACCAGGAATGGGGAAACTAAGATATTAATTCTGGTTCCAGAAATTTTCAGATCCATATAACTTTACGCAAATGACAACCTCTGAATTTGAGTATATGTCAAATGAAAGGGTTGGAACAGATTTAACTCCTTTGTGGTCCTGCATCGTCTGATCCCACAAATCATAACTAAAAATATGAAGAATTTTTACCTTCACAAAATTATATAATATAACCACCTAACACTGTTGCACAGCTTGTGTTCATAAGGTACTGAATTATAAAAAGTGAATAATGTAATTTTTTCTCTACTATAACCGCTTTACACTGAGCAGTTTAACAACATTATACTGCCACTTCGTGGTGACAGTTTTAACTGCAAGCAAATTAACAACCAGCCACGACAAAGCAATTTCCCATTCTCTACTTACCACTCCTGTTTTCACTATTCTGGTCCCTTGGAATATTCGAGTGGTATTAGCTGAGAAACAAAGAAATTACATTTAAGCAATATAACTTTTTTTGTGGCTCTAACAAGATATTCCTTATGAACACAAATCTGAATTACATATAATTTTCACATGTCAAAATATTATTCTGTAGATTTTTTCCAACCATTTAAAAATATAAAGCCCTTCTTGGCTTACGAGTCCTACAAAAACATGCGGAGAGCTAGATTTGGTTTGTGGGTAGTAGCGTGCTGACCCCTGTCTTAAGCTATTAGTTAAAAAGTTATTTTTCAATTTTTACTGTTTTCTGTTTTATTGAGGTAAAAGCTTACATACGGTAAAATGCATAAAATATAGGTGTATAGTTGAATGAATTTTACATATGTAAACACCTGTGTAACCACTCCCCACAGTAATATAAAGACATATCGCCAGCACGTTGCTAGAGAAAAGGTGTACCTGTGCCCTCATCTAGTCAATGTCCACCTCCACCCCCAAAGCTAGCCACTATTTGGACTCTGTCAGTTTTACCTGTATTTGAACTTGATTTAACTGGAATCGTATTACACCATTGTTCCTCCTCTACTATCTTTTTGGTCATGATTTCTTATCCTTTTTGTGATTCTAATTATCCATCCTTAACTTATTACTGTTTACCTTAAATTGGTAATTTCACCACTTATTAAAAATGAACTGTACAATAATTTAACTCTATTTGCCCACCTTACCTTTTGTGTACTGTTATATTTTTATTCCTACCTATATTTTAAAATCCTGTAAGCTACTGCCAATTGTTTTAAATGGTCTAATGATTTCGTATTAACCATACATTACCCTTTCTGGTGTTTATTTCTTCCTGTAGCTCTGTTCTATGTGTTATCATTAAACAATATAACTTAGAAAAAAATTTTTTTTAAGATTACGGTAAAATACATGACAGAATTTATCATCTTAAAGTTTAACAAAATGGCCAGGCACAGTGGCTCAAGCCTGTAATCCTAGCACTTTGGGAGGCTGAGGCAGGTGGATCATGAGGTCAGGAGATTGAGACCATCCTGGCCAACATGATGAAACCTCATCTCTACTAAAATACAAAAAATTAGCTGGGTGTGGTGGTGAACGCCTGCAGTCCCAGCTACTCGGGAGGCTGAGGCAGGAGAATCGCTTGAATCCGGGAGGTGGAGGCTGCAGTGAGCAGAGATTGCATCATTGCATTCCAGCCTGATGACACAGCAAGACTTTGTCTCAAAAAAAATAAATAAATAAAAATAAAATAAAATAATAAAATAAAATAATTACTATCTTAACCATGTTTAAGTGTATGGTTCAGTAGTGTTAAGGTTGTTCACACAGTTGTACAACCATTACTTCTATCCGTCTCCAGAACTTTGTCATCTTGCAAAACAGAAACTCTACACGCATTGAAGAACCCATTTCTTCCTTCCCCCAACCCTGGCAACCATCACGGTACTTTCTCTATGAATCTGACTGCTCCGGATACTTCATATAAGTGGAATCATACATATTTGTCCTTTTGTGTCTCACTTATTTTACTTAGCATAACGTCCTCAAGCTTCATCCACCTTGCAGCATGTGTCAGAATTCCCTTCCTTTTTGAGGGTGAATAATATTCCATTGTGTGTATATAGCACATTTTGTTTATCCCTTCATCGGTCAATGGACACTTAGGTTGCTTTCACCTTTTGGCTATTGCAAATAATGCTAAACAACATGACTTTTTAAAAACTCCATCAAACTGCTTCTATGTGGTTCTTTCAAAAAACAAAAGTGCTATATAAACTGAAAAGCTGCTTCCTATATACACTGAGAGATTAGCGAAAATGCTGTAATAACACTTGTACCTGCTATGACAGGTACCAAAACCAGAAATGGCAAGTGACCCACATATATTTTTGTTTGGCCTGCAAACTTCTATAAAAACAAAACAAAACAAAACAAAACAGAATTTGCCACCAATATTGTAGATGGTAGCTTTATCTAAAGCTCTCAATCTCTTGCTTATCTGAAAACTCACGATATTGGCAAAACTAGGCTCACCTTCCAGCAGGGCACCATTCGGCTGGGGCTGAGTGTCCATCACCCCCTTTAGGTGGCCACATGGTCTCCAATTTCCCACTGATGGCACTCCCCTCATGTGTACATGCCCCCTGCCTGGCCCCATGGATGCCAGAGTTTGCAACCTTGACCTGATGATATATCCATTTTGCACAGTTGGAAAGTCAAACGTGTGTAGGTCCCAGGTCAAATAAGGTAGCAAAGAAAGCAAATAACAGGGGTCTCACCCAGCCTAAATATAGCCTCCCATGATCATTGAGCTGCTCAAAGATCAATACTTCATGCTTCAGACAGGTGTGCATGCCTCCCCTAGTTAAGACAGGAAAAAAGATTCCCAGGAGGAACTACTTTACCTCCCCTTTAAAAGGAGCTCTATTTAATGCCAACAAACTGAACAGCCACCCCATCAGCATGTGGCTTTCCACTGGTCTTGAACAATCTCCATTGGGGTCAATATCCACTGGGGTCACTGATAGCCCTAGTAACTAGGACTAGCTTCTACAGGACCTTTCAGATCAGGAGTGTTTAACCTAGGGTCCATGGGCCTAATGGGGTTTTTCTAAGCTCTCACTGCAATGGTGCCCTTTTTTCCACTATGCATGTAGGCAACCAATCTCAACTGCATTCGCAGGACCTGCAGCTTTGTCTCTGATTGAAATCTCAGATATTTTCTTACTGCCTTAGAGTTGTTGTAGCTATTTTGGAATATCATTGATGTTCGTCACTATTCAAAAATCACTGGAGCTAACAGACCAACCACTTGTCATTTAATACCTTAATTTTAAAAAGCACATATATTATTATATCCCAAATGTGTTTAAAATATTTTGACAACTGTATTGAATATAATTGGTTCCTTTCCTGTGTATTTCACTTATTTATCTAAAACCAGTCTGAGAGAGGATCCATGGGCTTTGCCACGGATGAGTCTGTGGCTCAGAGAAGAAGCATATAAACCCCCATTTTCCATGACTGTTGAGAACTGCAAAAAGGCTTTGAATATCTCATCAATATTTTCAACCTTTTGTTGAAGACTGCAGGTATTTGGTAATTTTTACTCTTTGGGGTGGGCCATTGCTGTGTGTTAGTGATTGGGCTTTGCAATAAGAAAACCCAACTCAGCTTAGTAGCAGAGTTCTTCTGAAGTCACCTGCACCCAAGCCATCATTTCCCTGTTTGTAAAATAACCCCTACTGCACCAGCTGCCATAAAGTGAGGTTCAGATGAAATAACTTATGTAACAATGCTGTCACTGTGAGCCATTCTACAAATATTGCTTGCTATTATTATTGTTATATTATTGTTATATTTTCCACAGTAAGGTAAACATATTTATTGCAATGTTACATACAACCTAAATAGTGTTATATTTACTATAATATGGTAAATATTCCATGTGGCTTCCTAATGCTCCCAAGCCAGATTAAATTTATTACTGAGAAACCTAATTATTCTGAAAAAGGAGATATCTTTTTTCTTTCCATTTTAAAACTTGCCCCCTTATCAACATAGAGGGATAAATGCCAATATATGTAATGAGTAAACTCACGTCCACCTCTGAGGAAAGAAAGTCTGTAGACAAGGAGACACTGGCCATTTTCAGCAAGTCATCGTCATCAGACATTTAAACTATTCCATGCTTTGAACTTATTAGCTGACAGGGCCTTTTTGAATTACATTATATTACAAACATTTAATTTTTCAAAGTCCATGCAGAAGCCAGGGAGCCCTGGGTCTATTAATCAGGTAAGGCAGTTCTGCAGATTCTAGGCTCTTGGATGGAGCACATAGGAGGCCTTAATCATGATTTATGTGTCCGAAGTTCCAAGGGCCCCGGCCTCAGCAAGCTCCCAGTCTGCCTTCCTTCCTTCTCCCCTAGGCCAGCACAGACCTGGCCTTGGCCTGCAGTCCTTCCTCGACACAGGGAAAGAGACCAATATGTTCACAGTAAAGGTGGGCACAGGGAGCATGATTTATTTATGGAAAAAAATGCAGCTATGCTCATTTCCATTAGTTTAAATGGAAGGATGAGATCAATGTGAACATTAGCAAAGAATATTTAAATACTAAATGGAAAATGTTCAAGCCAGAAGGGATCCTTGCAGGAAATCTAGGCTGGAGAGCTTCTAATCCTAGGTTTATTATTTATTATTTTTATATACTAATACTAAGGGGGGGATTTATACATAGTGCCAGTAACTAGCACTATGTGAATGACTTAACATCCATTACCCCACATCATTCTACAAAGACCCTATGGGGTAGGTACTATGGATACTGCCACTTTTTGGATTGGGAAACTACAGGTTCAAGCAGTTAAGAAACATTCTCAAAGTTGTGCAGCTTCCAAAAGGCAGCTGGGACTCAGACCAGAGGTCCTCACTCCAGAACCCCTTACAGTGCCTGCCAGCTCCCAGGGCCATCAGGGCCAACTTGTGAAAGCTCAGATTCCTGGATAACGCCCCCTGCCCCAGGTAAGATTCTGATGCAGTTGGTCTGGGAGGGGCCCATGAATGTGCACTTCTCAAATGAGGCTTCCAGGAGATCTTGCAGTTGCTGCTGCTGCTGCTGGTCCACAACTCACATGCCTGACTGGGTCCCCAAAGTTGTATGCAAAATTCTAGCACTTTGTAGGGAAAATGTCCAAACCTTCATCAGATTTGTAACTCAAAAAGCGTTCACCACTGGCCTGGTTAACCTGGCGTGGTTTTCTTATTTGACAGATAAGTTTTCCCTCAGGGAAAACTGAGGACCTGAGAAGTCAAGGACCTGATCCAAGAGGACCTCAGGCTGGCAGAGCAGAGTCCAGCACCCTGGTCCCTACTTCCATGCTGGTCTTAAGGCCTGTCATCAAACCAAATCACCAAACTACGGCCCGTGGCTACAGCCCACAGCTGCCTAAATAATACTGGAACCAGGACTGGGATTAGGTTGGCGCAAGTAAGACAGAGTGTATCTATCTCTACTTAAAATTCAGATATTTTATTCATGAGATTTTTACATTAATTTTGCTTTTATTTTTATTTTTGTATCTATTTTATTATATTTTCATTTTTCGAGACGGAGTTTTACTCTTGTTGCCCAGCCTGGAGTGCAGTGGCATGATCTCAGCTCACTGCAACCTCCGCCTTCCAGGTTCAAGTGATTCTCCTGCTTCAGTCTCCCAAGTAGCTGGGAGTAGCTGGGATTACAGGCACGCACCACCAAGCCCAGCTAATTTTTGTTTTTTTTAGTAGAGACGGGGTTTCACCATGTTGGCCAGGCTGGTCTCGAACTGATCTCCTGATCTACCCACCTCAGCCTCCCAAAGTGCTGGGATAACAGGTGTGAGCCACCGCACTCAGCCTAATTTTGCTTTTAAAAAACATCCCATTGCCGGGCGTGGTGGCTCACGCCTGTAATCTCAGAGCTTTGGGAGGCTAAGGCAGGCAGATCACGAAGTCAGGAGTTCAAGACCAGCCTGGCCAACATGGTGAAACCCCCGTCTCTAGTAAAAATACAAAAAATTAGCTGGGCGTGGTGGCAGGTGCCTGTAATCCCAGCTACTCAGGAGGCTGAGGCATCACTTGAACCCAGGAGGCAGAGGTTGCAGTGAGCCAACACCACCCCACTGCACTCCAGCTTGGGCAACAGAGCGAGACTTCATCTCAAAACAAACAAACAAACAAAAAAAATCCCACTAAAATGTTATGTCTCTTGGTCACTCAATTTTTTGGTGCCCCTTAAAATTTTGAGCAAAGGCAAATGTCCCATTTGCTTCACCCTAGTTCTGGCCCTGGACCTTTCTATTAGTCCCTAAGTCATCAGGACCATCTATCTAGATCCAGGAATCTCAAGGATCCTGCATGCAGGCGCTTGTTTGTGTGGCTTGCAAGTCGGAAGGGTGAGGTGTAGCTGCTATGGGCTGCAGTTTTTGAGAGAACAGCTAACTGAATCACGTTAGAAAGACAAAGAGGATATTCAGCGGTACAACTTGGAAGTGATTGTGTGATCTGACACAGCGCTGGACAGTGACCGAGAAAAAGGCCCGAGTACTTGGTTCCCCACAGTTGGAAAATAACAATAAAACAATCAAAAATGTTTTGTTTTTTCTCCCCTCTTCTGCCGATAAAACCTCCAACCTAAAAGACCTAAATTACTAGGGCTTCCCGCATAGGCTTTAAAACCCTACACTGATTCTTCTGCCAGGCTTGTTTGTATTTTTCCCCAGCACCTGAGCAGGAAGAAGCAGAAAGCATTGGGAGGGAGTCTCAGGGGCACCCCGGCCACAGGAGGGGAAGCCAGCCTCACCTTGAAACAGCATCGTCTGGCTAAAGTCGCTGCGCATGTCGTTCCGACACACGGCCTGGACTCGGAACAGGTAAAGGCTATCGGGTGAGACATGGCTAATGGTGGCTTTCTGTAAGTAAAGAAGGAAAAAGCAGTGAGTTAGTTTTGAAGGCCAAGGCACACTTTGCATTCTAAAGCCAAACCTGAGTGCCGTGACAATGCCTGACAGGTGTGATGCTTCCCTGCTGACCAAAGGCTCACTTTGGAAGGAAAGACCGCTTGGACCCTGCCTGGGAATCTATTTTTATGAGCTTCCCTGGGAACCTGTTTTCAACACCGAAATGTTCAGGACACAGGAAAGAGTAACATTATTCTTTTTTTTTTTTATTGAGATGAAGTCTCACTCTGTCACCTAGGCTGGAGTTCAATGGCAAAATCTCAGCTCGCTGCAACTTCCGTCTCCCAGGTTCAAGTGATTCTCTTGCCTCAGCCTCCCGAGTAGCTGGGATTACAGGAGGCCGCCACCAAGCCCAGCTAATTTTTGTATTTTTAGTAGAGACGGGGTTTTGCCATGTTGGCCAGGCTGGTCTCGATCATCTGCCCGCCTCAGCCTCTCAAAATGCTGGGATTGCAGGCGTGAGCCACCCTGCCTGCCCAGGTCTGTTTCTTTACAGTTCAAAGGCCTCGCTGTATTTTTATTACGCAGAGTATGGGGCATGATGCAAGGAAGAACACCAGGCTAGAAGGCAGAGGACATAGTCTCCTCATACCACTCACAAGCTGTGGGGTTCTGAGTCAGTTCTTTCAGCCTCTGCTATCTTCTGTAAAATGGGGAGAGGAAGAGCTACTTCATAGGTACTTGTGAGAATTACATAACATAGGCCCAGCAAACCTTGCTCAGAGGTAGACCACACCGAGCAACAGAAAGAATGCCACTTGGCTAACATAGGGGTGTTGGCAAGCTGTGGCCCACTGTCTGTTTTTATAAATAAAGTTTTATTGGCACAGCCACGGCCATTTGTTTAGGTAGGTGTATGGCTCCCTCCACTCTACAATGGCAGAGTTGAGTAGTTATGCCAGAGATTCCATGACCTGTAAAGCCTCAGATATTTACTATGTAGCCATTTCCAGAAAAAAGTTTGCCAACCTCTTGTCAAACATTAGCCAAATCCAGGTCCCTCTTCCTCACAGTTTCATTCTGACAGCCTTTAAAAACGAGAAAATGGAAACTACCTAAAAAACAGGCAGCACTTGCTTCCTAAAGAAACGAACAACAAAAGCAACTGATTTTCAAAGACTCTTCTTAATAGATGAGTTGTCTTATCATCAAAGCATGTGTTCTGGGCCAAGTATAGAAGCAGCTCTGTGAGCTTAGCCACCGATTGGGAGTGGGTTTTCCCAACGCAGCTATTGAAAACCTCTGAACTGGTATTAAAATGTTATTGTGGCCACACCTGCTGCTGTTGCCTTGAAAGCAGCTTCCTAGTGAGAGGGGTAGGCTAGGGCCATGTTATTTAACTTTAAGCCTCACTGATCTCGTTTGGAAAAGGCGGGCAATAACACCTGCCCACAGGTTTGTGGTGACGATGCGGAAGGTGGATGCCCTCTAGAAAATGCTGCTCAAATGATATGTATTACTTCCAGGTTTCTGGGCCACAATAACCATGATGAGTTAGAGAATAGCTCTGTTGCCACTAAGTCAGCACTCTTCACTCGCTGAGGAATTAGAAAAATTAATTTTGTGTGTCCCCAAAGAAAATAACCAGCCCTAGAAATTCTTGTAAGAAAGAAGTTGCTGTCAATGCATGTTTTTCTCTACATCTCTCTTTTTCTCTGAAACTAATTTATGCTTCATTCTCTAAACCTCTGACCCCATCTTCTGTTCAGAGCGAAATCTTCACTCCATCTATGCAGGGATTTATTAGAATTCACTCCAAGACGGTATCTATTCATCTTTGCATGTTTAATTATTTTCCACTTAGAACAAGAAACTGCATAAGCGCCTAGATGGTTTCTGCTGATTAATGCAAGCCATCTTCACTCCAGAAAGAGAAAAATCCCTTATGGACTTCCAGTTGTGACAAGAGAAAGGTTAAAATACATCATAACCTTGGGTGCCTTTCAACACATTCCTCTTTGATTTCACGAAGCTCATCATTCCCTAACGTGACCCAGATAACAATGTCTAGTGGGGAAATTGAAAATATAAATGGAAATGAAGTAAAAGAATCTTCATCTAAAGAAATATGAAAAGTATTATTCTATAACTGATTGAATGGGCCCGGAGGACTCTGTATTGGAGAAAAAAAGTGATAACAGTCATTAAGAATCCCACTTGGTGCTACTGCATTTTTCATGTGCATATACAATTACGGGTTTCATTATTCCAGAGCCTTCCTTTGATTAACAATAAACGCAAGGCTTTCAAACCAAATGTGTCACTTTGAGTTTTTAGGCAAAGACTTAAAGACAGAAGTTGTAGGCTGGGCGCAGTGGCTCACGCCTGTAATCCCAGCACTTTGGGAGGCCGAGGTGGGCGGATCATGAGGTCAGGAGATGGAGACCATCCTGGCTAACACGGTGAAACCCTGTCTCTACTAAAAATACAAAAAAAAATTAGCCAGGCATGGTGGCGGATGCATGTAGTCCCAGCTACTTGGGAGGCTGAGGCAGGAGAATGGCATGAACCCGGGAGGTGGAGCTTGCAGTGAGCCGAGATTGCGCCACTGCACTCCAGCCTGGGCGACAGAGCAAGACTCTGTCTCAAAAAAAAAAAAAAAAAAAAAAAAAAAAAAAAAGACAGTAGTTGTGGAGTTTGCTTTATAGGGAAGGAGATGGCTTCTGCAAACATCTGTTCTGAAGGGGCTTGTGTGTTGGACACTAAACATTTATGTAAATTTTTAGAGGAGACATTGAATTAGGCACGTGTAGCCCAAAGTGAGGTCAGATAGTATAGCATTTGAGTATCTGAGAAAAGAGATAAAATATTACACAGCTGTAGGGGTTTGGCAGGTATTGGAAATGTGTAAGGCAGAACAAATGTGACAAAGGGAAGTGGCAGCGACTGTGGACAGTGGTGGTGGTGACATCAGCAGCAGTAGCTTTAGTAGGGGAAGAGGAAGAGGAGAATGATCGTAATAAATAATAGTTAATATTTATACAGTTATATAGGACCTGTTGAATACTTGCATAGCTCATTTAGTATTTATGATAATCCCATCAGATGAAAAGGGCCTAATTGAGGCTGTTAATAATGAAAGAAAAAGCAGTCAGTTTTAAAGGAACCAATCTAAAGAAATGAACCGGCTCTCCGGGTTGCATAGCTGTTAAGTCTAAGGTCAGGATGGCGCCCAGGCAGGCTCCATCCACTGTCCTCCCCGGCACTCTCGAGCAGCGCAGCAATGGCAGTGCCCATGTTCACCAGACAGTGTGAGGACAGATGACACAGAGCTGGCACACTGTGCAGTGCCTGGCAGAGAGCTGCAGCAGGAGTCCCTCTCTGCAGCATGTACCCTGAATCAGAGGAGGGGCTTCATACCAAGTCTTTGTCGCTGTCCTTTGTAAACGTCTTCTCCTTCTCGTCCTCATTCTTGGTCCAGCTGTAGGAGATCATGTAGTTCATGATGGGTGGGTGGTAGATAGTCTCCGGCTGGCTCCAGGACACCTGCAGTGCCGTCTGGTTCAGAGGCTGCACCTTCATGTGGATGGGTGGAGAGCTGCAAACTGAAGATACACAGGGCTCAGCTCAGGGAGCTTTCAGAACAATGCGCCATTCAATCCGTGCCCCTAAGGACTGCAGCCTCAAAAAGTTGAAAGAGTAATACAGGAAGCACCCATGCTCCCTTCTCCTGGGTCCTCTTAACATTGTGTGTGTAGAGAGAGAGGGAGAACATTGTTCTCCCTCTCTCTCACACACACGTGCACGGGACACAGATGCACACACACGTGTGCAAGGGACACAGATGCACACACACGTGCACGGGACACAAATGCACATACACATATGTGCACGGGGCACAGAGGCACATGCGCACACACACGTGCACGGGACACAGACGCACACACGCACACATGTGCATGGGGCACAGATGCACACACACACATGCACGGGACACAGATGCACATGCGCACACACACAGAACTGTTTTTCTGCTAGGCCAGTAAACACTGCAGCATTCTGACGCTTCTCCTCTAGATACTCTGTCCTGCATCTCCCAAGATTGAGGACACTCTCCTATGTAACCATAATACCAGTTTCACATGAAAGAAACTAAACATGAATTCAATACTATTATCTCATATATAGTCCATATTCAAATTTTCCCCGCTGTCTCCAAAAGATCCTTAATCACTGTGTCCCCCTGACTTCAGCCTCATGGTCAACAGCCTTTTTCTTCATGATGGACGTTTTGAAGAAGCCAGGCCGTTGGACTGGTGGAGTGTGCTAACTAAAATTGTAGACGAAATCTTATTGTAAACAGGTCCGAGTGTAAATAAATAAATTTAAGATGAGACTTTAAATAATTTTAAAGCAAAGTCACATAACACAAGGATGACTTTCTCTGGAACAGCAGAACCCCGTGTAATTATCCTGACGTGGGGTGTAAGGAAAAGTCAGGCTCATTCATCTTCTTATTCCTTGGGGCTGAGAGGTTTAAGGGACACGGTGGATCTAAATCTATTTACAGACAAACCTATGAAAGTGTTGAGACCTTGACAGGTCTGAATGAGTTATACAAATGCTCAACAGGTCCAATCCAGTCAGCCGGAAATGTGTGCTTTCTCAGGGGTGTCCAGACCCGTGTGGCCGTGCTGCCTGCCTTCATGGAGCTGATGGTCCAGGGCAGGGGTTCTCACCCTCAGCACCCATGACCTCTTGAGCTAGACAATGCCTTGCTCTTGGGGACTGTCCTGTGTACTGTATAGCAGCATCCCTGGCCTCCATCTGCTAGATGCCAGTAGCTCTGCTCCCCGTCCTCAACTTGTGACAACCAAAAATGTCTCCAGGTGTTGCCAAAGGTTGCTTGCAGGGGCCAATCACCTTCGGCTGAGAACCTCCACTCTAAGAGATGGAGGCTCACCAAAGAATCCCATGCGCAGAGCCATCACTGCACGCCAGGACAGGATGGAGGGAGAGGAGGGAGAGGAAGAGGTGGCTCGGGCTTTGGCACCCAGGGAAGATGCCCTTGAGGAAGGTTCATGTAACTGAGAGCTGAGAGCTTATGGAGATGAAGGGGGTGGGAGCTGTAAAGGGATCCGGTGGGAAGGTCTGAGGGGCTGGAGCAAGTCACAGAAAAGACAGGCAGGCAGGGCACAGGTGTAGCTGCAGTGAGAAGCCTTGGGGCCAGATTTGAACTCTGGCCTTTCTCCCACGAGTCCTTGGACACCCCTGGAAAGAACTGAGCCCCAGAGTGATGCAATCAGGTTGGTGCTTTACAAAGATCCCCTGAACTTCAGCTGAGTGTAGAAGGCCCCAGAGAAGCCAAGTGTGGAGGAGGGGGCCTGTGAGGAGGGGCGGCAATGGCCAATTGCTGGAAGACCAGGGAGGAATGGCAGGTCCTAGAGCTTACAGTTAGGAGGTAAAACGCAGAGGCCTGGTGATGTGCCGGGTAAGGAGGGCAGGGGAGGGTGAGGAGGACCTTCTGGTTTGGGTGCAGGAACCGGGTAAGAAGTAAGCGGGCGTGCTGGCAGAGACAGGCCAGGGGACCACGGCTTGGTTCTGACCCGCTGGCATCTTCCAAAGACCACCCACATGCCCTGCAGCCCACCAGGAACCAGACTCCCGTATTTCCTACTCAAGAACCCAAAACCCAAGGCAGCTCTGGGGACAGGATGGCTTTCCTGCCAGAGACGCATGGCCCAGCTTTGAGGACCTGGCCGGTGGAGAAAAGTAGATTGGTTTTGACAGGGAGGCCACCTTTTACTCTTCAACTGCCAAACCCCAGTTCAGTTGGTAAGGTTCACTTAGTGCGACAGAAACGGAAGGAAGGGAGGGAGGGAGGAAGGGATAAATTAGTGGGTCATTCCCACTGCCCCGCAGAACCCCTGGGAGGCATCACGCTGTCCGCTGCGCAAATGCCACCAGAGAAGGGACATCAAACAAAGAATCTGAAGGGAGGCTTCCACGGAGACATGAGGGCGGAGTGACAGAACGTGGGCACTAGGTGGCGCCAACCTACTGTTTTTAAATACTCCGGCTTCTAAGTGGCTTCATAGTTTTTCAAGACAGAACACGGAGGAGGCGGGGGAAAGATCAGGAAATAGCTACACCCCCAGCGTTCCAAATACTAATAACGAACCGAGATGTACATATTGGGAAGCTTCTATATCCCATAATGATGACCATCTCAGATTTCCTAACTTCTCTATCTTTTCTCACCTCCCACCATGTTCTTATTTATCTTCCTCATTCTGAAAGCATTCATTCCCCTGCTCCAAATAGCAATGAACACTGTATGGGGAAGCATCCCTCTCTGACAGTTACATCATACCCCCATAAATAATTCTGTCACCCACATACAGATGCAACCATTCTTCTTATTTTTTGAAATTAAAATAGATGGGTTTTTCTGTGTGCATTAAGATGATTCATGTTAATATTTTTTAAAAAAGGAACCCAAGTAGTACAAAAAAGTAAAAAGAAAGTTAAAAGAAAAAATTCACCCCAAATCTCAGTGCCCAGAGAAAACGATTGTGAACATTCTGGGACTCCAACATGCAGTTATCTCTTTATATACATGTGAAAGTACATACGCACAATTGATAGAAATAGAATAGGATGTGGATGGCACTAGAATGGAATGTTTGGTTTTGTTTTGTGGTGGTGTCTCACTCTGTCACCCAGGCTGGAGTGCAGTGGCTGGATCATGGCTCACTGCAGCTTCAACCTCCTGAGCTCAAGTAAGCCTCCCACCTCAGCCTCCTAAGTAGCTAGGACTACAGGTGCATACCACCACACTTAGCTAATTTTAAATTTTTAAAATAGAGACGGGGTTTCACTATGTTGCCCATGCTGGTCTTGAACTTCTGGGCTCAAGTGATCCTCCCTGTTTGGCCTCCCAAAGTACTGGAATTACAGACGTGAGCCACCATGACTGGCCCTAGAATTTTTTGTTGTTGTGTTTTACTCAACAACTCATGGGTATATTTCCTCGTCAATAAGTAGAGCTTAGTGTCATTGTCTTGAATGATGGTACAGAATCTCACTGTCTCAATGTATTAAAAAATACTGAGTTAAGCTCTCAAAGGAGGTAGATCTGGCCTCGCTCTAACAGGATCACCTGCCAGGAAGGGAATTCTGTAACTTAATGGCCTCCAAAGATCCATGCTTGTCCCTGATTACACGAGAGGAGGAGCATGAGGCCAGGGCTTTGCAGGCTGAGGAGCTATAGGAAGAGCAGTCTGATGAGAGATGTCTCTTCTGTTCTCTACCCCCCATCCTGGGTAGTGGCTTTTTCTAGCTATACTGGGCCAAATTTGGAGGAGGCATTTGCAGAGTACTAGGAGGGCCTAGAATAGAGGATGGCAAACATTTTTTCTGTAAAGGGCCAGATAGTAAATATTTTCGGCTTTGCAGGCCACATGGTCTCTCGTAACCACTACTGATTCCACCTTTGAAGCACAAAGCAGCACAGATAGTATGTAAACATGAATGAGTGTGGCTGTGCTCCAGCAGAAATATCTATGGACACAAGTTCAATTTCATAGGATTTTCATGTGTTGCAAAATATTCTTTTGATTTTTCTCCAACTGTTTAAAAATATAGAAACCATTCTTAGCTCATGGTTACACAAAAGGTGGTGGGGAGTAAGTTTCGGCCCGTGGATCAGTGCTGATCCCAGATTGCGACAGTAAGGAGAGGCCAAGCCTTTTTTTGAAACACAATTATCAACTGCACTGTATTCTTGGCACTGAATTCTGCCCCTCTGCACAGGCTGACAGGCCTGCTCCTTCACAGAGCTTAGATTCTTCCCAGCACTTACTAGTACGTGGAGTTGTATTATTGACTTCATTGACGATCTGTAATTATCTATCTCCCCCACTAGGTGGAAGCTCCACAAGGCTGGCGCCTTTTCTGTCTTGTCTGGTTCATTACCTTGCATCTAAGACAGTGCCTGGCACGTAGTGGGCTCTCAATCAATACTTGCTGAATGAACAGAAAGTTGGTTGTATATGGAGTAACAGCCTTAGTCTTTCCCGTGGTCCACAGGTCCTGTGTGACATGTTCCCCTTCCACATCGTCAGCCTCATGGCTTGCCATCTTCCTCTTCATGGACGCATCTCTGGCCAGCCCCCACCCCAGCCCCCTTAAAGATCCGGCTTCAAGGACAGGCGTGGTGGCTCACGCCTGTAATCCTAACACTTTGGGAGGCCATGGTGGGTGGATCGCTCGAGGCCAGGAGTTCGAGAGCAACCTGGACAACATGGTGAAACCCCGGCTCTAGAAAAAAACACAAAAATTAGCCAGGTGTGGTGGCGCACACCTATAGTCCCAGCTACTCAGGAGGCTAAGGTGGAAGATCACTTTAACCCAAGAAGTGAAGGTTGCCGTGAGCTTTGATCATGCCACTGTGCTCCAGCCTGGGTGACCGAGTAAGACCCTATCTCAAAAAAAAAAAAAAAAAGGAAAAGAAAAAAATCCAGCTTCAACACCCTGCTTCCCCTCTGAGGCCGATGGGCCACCCGTGTCCTCCTGCACTCTCACTGCTTCCCTCCTCACCCTGTGTGCCCATCACCCTCTGTCCTCACCACCTACCCACCTCTGTGTCCCCCTGACTGAGCTGCAAGCATCTCCCAGGCAGGGACCACCAAGCTCCTTATCACTGGTACCCTTGGCAGGGGCTCGCGTTTCTCTGACGGAATGAGGGATGCTGTTTTGAGCGTCCTCCATTGAAGAGGATTCCATGTACAAAATCAGTGCCACACAATTCATTCCTGGGGTCACTGCCAGGAGCCTCAAATGTGTTGAGGATCTTGTCTCTGGTCTTTAACTCATGCCTTCTGCTAATAAGAAAAGCATTCAGTCTACAGAGGGAACAAAAACCACCGATGCTTGGCGACTGGGGCAACGATAGTACCAGACACCCGTCAAATAACTCAGGCAAGCGAGCAGGCAGACACCACTGTGCCTTGTGCTTCCAAAGTTCTGCTTGCTCTTTAAGTGATGGAAACCCTTCTTTCAAACAACACCTCCCTCAAAAGTCCAAAAAGGAAACAGGCAAACGCAGCAAAACAGAATTCTATAGATCAGTTTGGAAGAGCTGGTATAACAGAAAGTGTGGGCTTTGGAGCCAGACCCATGCAAATCCTGTGTCCGCATCTGTAAAATGGATGACTAGGGTCTAGCAATTATCTTCCTCACAAGGTTGCAGTGAGGATTACGAGGGAACACTGTGGATAAACCCAAAGTTGTGGGCCTCAGGCCCAATGGCAAGTACGTGGACACACTCTATGGCCCACACAGTGTTAAAAAAATGGTATATTTTACATATAAATATGGGCTTTAAAATCACGCCTGCATCCACACGTGGCAGTGGTGAGCTAGAGCAGGAGAGCAACCATTTCCTTTAGATGGGAGTGTGTACTCAATTTTTCTTTTTTTTTGCCATAGTCTCCACCACTCCCCGTTGCCTCTGCTCAGCCCACTTCCCCGGCAGCTCTCTGGCCCCCAAGGCGAGGTGAGTTTTCTACTGGTCTAAAATGAACACCAGGAGCACTCTCGAGGGCACACCACAGATGCCCAATACTTGTACTTATCTATCTCTTCTCAATGGTCCTTGTAAACTGCACCTAACAAAGGGAAGTCTGATAGACCTCTTGATACGTCCTTTTGCACAAAATTGAAGCCTTTTAACCATGCGGGAGGTGCCACACCCGGATCTCTAAACAAATATCCCCTGTGAGGCCTCCTGACAACAGCCTTTCCCCTTTCAGGGGCCTGATTATGTTCCCACTGGGGTCCGATTGCTTCTCACAGGCATGAAGGTACTGCTCCTCACCAGCTCTGAGAATTTCTGCCTTCACTCTGAACCACCTTTAATTATGATCCCAGGCTTCCTTAAGTAATGAAGAGTCTTCTAGCAGAGCACCCAAGGTCCTCTGATCCTAAATCAATGTCAAGGATATTTTCTCAGTGGTTCCACAGTAAATAGTAGGCTCCCCACCCCCACCCCATCCTCTTCATTTGGGGCTTTAGATAAACTAATGTGATATGCTCTGTCTGAAAGTCAGTGTAATTTCCAAGTGCCTTAAACTATCTGCAGTTCAAGGTTCCTCCAGGGGCCTTCTTCCAGCACCTGCCCCCTCGGAGTTTCACACCCGACGCAACTGGCCAAATATTGATCAGGAGTCAAAGAGACAGTACTACTACTCAAACAAACCAATTCGGTGCAGATTCACTATTTCACAGTGCCTGTCAACACAGATGAAACTGCTGCTTCCTGGGTGGGAGGTGTTGCAACATCATATGCCACACAGGGGCGGTGTCAGAGGGAACAGCTTGGCTTAAGCCAGCAGACGACCGTGGGGGAGATGCCTGTTTCTTGGGGACTGCCTGGCCCTGGTGGGGAGAAAGAGCAGGAGGCATTTCCTGTTAAAAGCAGGAGGGAACCAGTCAGGTGGAAGAGAGCCCAAGCCTTGCCTTAGACTGCTTAAATGCCTGTCATTTCTTTATCACCTTCAAATATGGAATCCTTTAAGGGAAATTTCCAGAGAAATGGCCTCAGGGAGTGATTATCTTTTTGAAGGGCTATATGAAAGAGGTCTAGGTAAACACAGAATCCTCCTCAGCAGCCCGCGTAGGACTTCAAACCTGGAATCTTGGTGCTTGGGGTGTTGCCTCCCCCATCCCTGCCCAAGAGCTCAAGATGGGCAAACCACACGGAGGAAGGAACTGGGAACGATGGAATCAAAGCAGGACCCCAGCTCCAGTGTAATGTGCATTTCCATCTGAATCATTTCTAGCTGGAGCTGCGGCTGCCACGCACATGCCCTGGGCCCGGCTCTGTGCATTCCTCTCGGATCATCCCCCGCACACAACGCATAACCGAATCCGAGAGCTGGGCTCCATTCACCCCATGAAAGATGATGACACTGGGCTTCAGAGAGACCAAGTTACTGGGCTGGGCCAAGGAACCAGAGTGAGAAGAGAATGGAGAACTGAATCCCAATCTGCCTGAGTCTGAACCAGAGTTGACAGGGCACTCCATGGAGCAGTCATGTATGTACTTGCCCCATACACGTCCCGTAACTGTTTTCCTATCTTCAAGATGCTAATAAAGATGTCAGGGGCATTACTCCAAGAGCTTAAAAGGGGAAAGCTGTCCCAGCAGGTAAAAAGCTTCCTTCCCGTTCCCTTCTCCTTCATCCTTCCCCATCCCCACTCCCTTCTCAGTTCTCAATGACAAATGACAATGTGGGGTCTCTTGACAATTTCCAGAGCAGCCTCCAACTCCTTCGGGTCTCTCTAAAACTGGACGCAGCAATCGCCTCTTCCCCCATCAGAAACGCATAGGGAGCTCATGGTCCTTCAAGGAGTGACAGGATGCTGGAAATATACAGATTGCTGCTATAGTGCCCACCCACCAAGGCCTTCATTCTGTGCCATTCTTTTTTTTTTTTTTTTTTAATTGAGACGAGTCTCACTCTGTCGCCTAGGCTGGAGTGCAGTGGTGTAATCTTGGCTCACTGCAACCTCTGCCTCCTGGATTCAAGCAATTCTCATGCCTCAGCCTCCCAAGTAGCTGAGATTACAGGTACCCACCACCACACCTGGCCAATTTTGGTATCTTTAGTAGAGACAGAGTTTCGCCATGCTGGCCAGGCTGGTCTCGAACTCCTGACCTCAAGTGATCCACCCACTTCGGCCTCTCAAAGTGTTGAGATTACAGGCATGAGCCCCGCGCCCGGCCTACTCTGTACTGACATATTAATAGTAACGAGTCCTATCTGATGAGCCCAGCTCTGGGCTGTTAGAACATTTCACAGCTTATGTCATCAAATCCTCACGGGAATTCTGTGGGGCTGCTGGCTCTATCATTACCCTTGTTTTAGAGACCTAGATCTAAGAGGGTCATTCATTCACTTGCTTACTCTAGGGTCAGACTGCTTTGGTTTTAGACAAACCAGTTGTGTGGCCTTGGATAAAGCTTGGGTAAAAGCTTCTGGGATAAATGCATGAAATGCACAAATGCACGTGGACTGACATATAGCAAACGTACTTTAGAAATAGTTACTGTTAGCCGGGCGTAGTGGCTCATGCCTGTAATCCCAGCACTTTGGGAGGCTGAGGCGGGTGGATCACGAGGTCAAGAGATCGAGACCATCCTGGCCAACATGGTGAAACCCCGTCTCTACTAAATATACAAAAATTAGCTGGGCATGGTGGCAGGTGCCTGTAATCCCAGCTACTCGGGAGACTGAGGCAGAATTGCTTGAACCTGGAAGACGGAGGTTGCAGTGAGCTGAGATCGCACCACTGCACTCCAGCCTGGCGACAGAGCGAGACTCCATCTCAAACAAACAAACAAACAAAGAATTAGTTACTGTTAACTATTTATTCGGCACCGGCCATATGTCAGGCCCTTGACCAGGAACTATGGATAAAGGTGAACACATGTTGTCATGCTCCTGACCCCCTGGAGATGACAGCCCAGTGGGAGAACACACATCAACAACAGAATCTCCGTAAAACAGAGGTTTTGAGTGTCCTTAGGAGATCTGCATAGAATTCACAGAAGTTTGTGAACTTAGATAGCAAAAAAGTCCACTTTTATGTTCACTAATCTCTAACAAAAATGTAGCATTTCCTTACATTTTAAATGTTGGCAACAAACTACAGTAGTGTTACGAGACTTGTGTGATAATCACCAAAAGATATCACAAAGCTATTCCTGTTAGATTACAGTGATTACCAATACAGGTGACCCTTGAACAACACAGGTTCGAACTGCATGGGTCAATTTATAAGTGAATTTCCACCCCTGAGACAGGGCAACGAACTCCTCCTCTTCTTTCTCCTCCTCAGCCTACTCAACAAGAAAATGACAAGGATGAAGACCCTTGTGATGATCCACTCCCATTTAATGAACAGTAAATACATTTTCTCTTCCTTATAATATTCAAAATAACATTTTCTTTCCTCTAGAGTACTTTATTGTGAGAATATAGCATATAATACATATTACATACAAAATATGTGTTAATTGACTGTGTATGTTACTGGTAAGGCTTAAGTATTAACTTTTTGGAGAGTCAAAATTTATACTGGATATTTGATTGTGTGGACACTCCAATCTCCATGGTGTTCAGGACTCAGTTGCATTTCAAAATTTCCTTCATGTTCATCATTATATCAACATTATAATGATTTTTAGATCTGCAGCTGGATCTTGTAATTTAATGCCCTCATCAAGAAGCAGGTAAGTTAGTACAATTTTAAAGATATTTCGAAAATATCTGAGGATAACTGGCTTCCTCTGTAATCTATTATATTTTATTTTAAGCATCTAAAACCATCAATATGAGAAGATAAGCTAAAGGAGTCCATGGCACCAAAATGGTTAAACCCATCTAGCACTAAGGCATATATAATTACACGCTTTTTAAGGAAAATGTTATAGTAGTTCTGTATAAAGGTTTAATAAGGAACCCTGACCTAAACTTGGGGAGTTGCTTAGAAAACTTACTGAGCATAGTTTGAACTGAAATCTCAACAATGAGTAGGTGTTTATAGAGGAAAGAGGAAAAAAGGAGGCTTGGGTATGTCAGACAGAAAAAAAAAGTGTGTACAAAGGCCCTGTGATGAGAAAACTGGGAAGGAAACTAGTGTGACTGTGAGCAGGGAATGAGGAGGAGAGTGGCCCAAGATTAGGTCTCAAAGCTAGGAAGCACTGGAGCTGGGGTTTATCCCGGGGTGGATCTGGCTGCCGAGGCCAGAATTTGCTGGCTAGCCCGCCACCTTCTTCCGATGTGGGACCCTGGTGCGGAGTTGCCCCCAGATTCTCCTAAGTGCTAGGACAACTGCTTTCAAGTTTTAAATCCATGGTGTCTTCACTGATGCCACCTGTTACCTGCGGACTTTTCTTCTACACAGTACAATGACATCTCCCTTTCCATGAACAAGCCCTGAATTACAATTCAGTTTCTCAGCAAACAAATGAGTATTAGATGCTCTGTGTTGCAATTACCATGGAAGAAAGCAAATTTGAAAACTGTTTCTTATCCTGTTGGCTGTCTCTGCTGTGCATGTAACAGAGCTACATGCTCAGAAAACAGAAATAGGCAGTATCTGGGAAAGCAGAGGCAGAAATTCAATTCTCCAGTTCAAGCACTGGTTTCGACTTCCCACATTATGCTCTCCCTGACCTCTCTTACCTCCTTGGATTCTTTTTTCTACATGATATCCCTCTTCCTCTGAGAGCTAAAGGCCATGGGAGGTGTCCATGTCCTGTGCAGGAAAGAGCATTGTTCAGCTCAGCGCTAAGGGAGGTGACAAAGTTCAGGATGATGCATCTTCCCAGCCTCACTTGATAACAGCTGCGTGCATCTTGGACGCTGGGTGGAAGGCTGGATTCCATGTACCCTGGGGTACATTCTCTCCCTTTCAACTTTATGATGCTGTGATTTCCTGCTAAGAGAGCAAAGCGGACCTATCCCACTTTAATTGAGCACAGCATCCTTCCCTCGTGGTGCTTCTGACCTTCCACCTTCTCCCCATGTCTTGCCCTAGTGAAGGGCTCCAACTGAGTGTCTGAACCACAGACCTGGCTGCGGAGCTAGGGTGGGTAAATGCCCAGTGTCCTTCTTTCATAACGATGTTTTTCTCCTGCTTCCCACTGCTGAGACAATGTTGTAGTCCCCTTTACTATGAAGAAACAGCGGGTCACCTAAAATAGAGCTCTAAAGCTGCCCTTAGCAACACAAGACTGGTATCCAAACACCATCCAAGATCTAAGATCCCATGAGCTGTTTTTATTAGTGATCCCAACAGCCACGTCAGGAAATCAACCAGTGACCCACACAGATGGCTTTAGCTGGGATTTTATAGAAATACTTGAGTCTAGATTATTATGATGCAAATGGTTAAGGTGCCCTCATTTGTTTTCCATCTGAGCCTTAAAATAATTTCTCTTGGAAACAGGTAGTCTGCTCGGCTTGGTACCTACTATGCTTAAAAGTAGTGTCCTGGCTCACGCATGGCATTTACCTGTTAACTCTGCATCTCTGCTACTTCCTGGCCACTTGCTACTCCTACTTGTTCTCTGCTCTGGCTGAGTGTGGGTGGAGTGGTAGGATGAACTCCAATGTTTGGGTTCCAACCTCATTTCAATCCCCAGATGTGGCGTCTGAACCAACTGATCATTTGGTAAGGATGGCCCTATCTGGTATGGTTTCAGGGCCTCCCACACCTGGTACTGCCCTCAGGTCAAGACTTGGTCAAAGGGACCCAAGAAGGAAACAGGGAGACTGTCAGTTGATGGAGAGACCAGGCTATGGGCAGGCACTGCCCGAGAGTGGGCCCAAGTGGAATCATCAATTCAGCACATGGCAGGGACTGAGCCACTTGAGTCTCTTGGCTGCCCCTGGCAAATAGGTCCATACGCTCTGAAGAGCAGCTGGTGGGTGAAAACCAAGTTTTCAACAGTCAGCACACTCCTCAGCGAGAAGGCTCTTCTCTTCTGGCAAGCCTTTCCTGGTGCCAGCCCGGAAGCAAAGAATTGCATAGCTCTGTGCACCTGATAATACCTGACAGCATTTAGTCTCAGACATACAGGCAGCGCCTTCTCAGCACAGGCAGAGATTTGAAATGTGACAGCCAAGATACTTATTTCGGTCCCAGCCAGTGCTTAGGAATCACAAAACCAGTCAAGAGAGTTGCCCAGGAGTGAAGCCAGCAACCGTAACAACCACTGGCTGTGCTGAGAAGGAATAAGAAAAGCCTGACTCAAGAGGACACCACATGGGGCTCCCTCTTCTGGGTCTTAACAGTTGTTCTTTGATTTTCAGGCTTCAGGGGCAGGGAGATGAGACTGTTTCTTATGCCCTAGGAAAGAAGGGTTCTGTCCATATTCCTGGACAGATACCTGAAGAAAAACAGCTTCAACCAACCCGTGTTTGTTTGAGGAATAATGAGTGGGATGAATGGGGAAGATGTCTCCCAGCTAGATACCTCCTATGGCTCCAATGAGAGGCACACCAATGTCTCGCAGCCTCATGTTTCATAGGCTGTGAATGCTAGTTAGTGAAAAAGGGGAAGTGTGCTGCTCTGGGAGTAAGGAAGCTGTTGGCCTTTATTAATTTCCAGATTGCTGTTCACAAGCACCATGGTGCCCACACAAGTAAACCCAATGTCAGAGAAGATTTTTCTAGTGAGCAAAGAAAGCCAGAGTAGGGTTGCTAAGTTGGCCTTGAAGATCAAACTCTGTCTACCTGCCTAGAGATGGAGAGGATTAAGTAATTAGGTAAAGTGTGAAAACACTAGATGGCCCCTGGAGTCTGCTACCAGTATCAGCTCAAACGCTCCCAAGCCATAACAGCCGATTCTGCCTGAGAGCATCCTGACACGAGTGCCTGACACTTTAAGTGACTCCATTCTCTGCTTTTAGGCTGTTCCTTGAGGCAGACAGAAAAGCCCTCGCTCCATGTTTTGTTGAAATGTACGCTTCCATCCAAGGTGGCTTTTGGTCAGAGTAAAAGGTGGCTTCCCCAATCCCAGGAGCCTCTCTGATTTCAGGAAGTAGTACTGGCATGACATCCTACTTCAGATGCCTGGCAATGCTCCCCAGTAGGAGCACCCAGCCTGGGCTACATCATACATGTCCCAATTGTGCAAACTCTTTTGGTAAGAATTTTTTATTCCTGGCCACCTGATATGTATATGTTAGCTTAATCCATCCATGCATCCCTCCATCCTCCCATCCATCCCTCCATCCTCCCATACATCCATGGATCCATGCATTTATCCATGCATCCATCCATCCTCCCATCCATCCATGGATCCACATGTGCATCCATCCATCCATCCATCCATCCATCCATCCATCCATCCATCCATCCTCCCATCCATTTGTGGATCCACACATCCATCCATCCTCTTATCCATCCATGGATTCACATTTTCATCCATCCATCCATCCACCCACCCACCCACCCAACAACCCATCCAATCCAGTATTTACTGAGGAGTCAACAGTTACCATAGCACCCTCTCTCCAATAAAAACAGAGAAAAGGAAAAGTCTCACCCCTCACAGAACTTATGGGGTAGTGGGAGAGCTGGATATTAGGGGGAAAAATCACATATCGCATAATCAGATGTAAAAATTCAACTTTGGTAAGTACTATAAGGGAAAGGTACTGGTGCCCTGAAACAAGTGGCTGGGTCAAGGCAGTCAGGAAACTTCCTTGGGGAAGGGACCCTTGCGCTGAGTTATGAAGGCTGAGGAGGGGTCAGTTAGGTACAGAGGTGGGACAAGGGCCTTCCAGGTAGAGGGAACAGCCTGCTGGGACTGCAGAATGGCTGCTGGACTGAAGTGTAGGATGCCAAGGGAAGGAAAGTACAAGACGGGGCTGGAGAGGGGGACAGGACTTGATGTGTGGACCACCTTAAGGATTATACATTTCATCAGAAAGGTTTTGACAAGTTCGAACAGCCTGGCTTCACACTTCTAACAGGAAGAGGGCATGGCACCCTTATTCTGAAATACGTTCTCCAATGATCATGTCACATATAACAGGTTGTCCTGGGCATACAAAGAAGCTATTGCTGACCTACAGATAAGAAGATACAATTATTTGCAGAGTAATTTCCATATCCAAGATCCTGTACTATAAGTCTTATTTGAAAGGCCACTGGCTGAGGAAGAGAGTGTATGATTATTATCTCTATTTTATTACTATTATGTTTTGAGACAGGGTCTCACTGTGTCACCCAGGCTGGAGTGCAGTGGGCATGACCATGGCTCACTACAGCCTCAACCCCCTGGGCTCAAGTGATCTTTCTGCCTTAGCCTCTTGAGTAGCTTAGGGACTACAGGTGTGTGCTACCAAGCCCAGCTAATGTTAAAAAAAAGATAAATTTTTTTTTCTTTTCTTGGTGGAGATGGGGTCTCACTGTTGCCCAAGCTGGTCAGGAACTGCTGGTCTCAAGTGATCCTCCCACCTTGGCCTCCCAAAGTGTTGGGATTACAAGCGTGAGCCACTGGGCTCTGCCTTATTATCTCTATTTTAGAGGCAAGGAAATAGAAGCTTAGATATTAGCTTGAGCAAGGTCACAAAGGAGTGAATCGTTCCTAGGATTTCAGTCTAGGTATGCTTGAATCCCAAGTCTGTATTCTAACACTGCCTTATCCTGTCTTATTATTTATTCATTCGTTCACTTAGCAATGACTGTGCACCTACTATGTACCAGGTACTGTGTTAGGCCCTCCTCATCCAAGGATGCACAAGATCTTCTGCCTAAATGGCCCCACGGTACAGATCAAGTGGGTGCAGGACTCTCAGGACTAACCCTGTGACCAATACCCTATGCCCTGAGCACCCAAGATAACCTGACAAAATAGATAAAAGCCAAGCAGATAAAGACTGAGCCCAGTGATGACTTTTAGGAAGGTAAGAGCACCTCATTCCCACAAGTATGTTTCCTTTTAAAGCTCCTTCATTCAGGGAAGGAGTACTAAACTGTGTTGTTCAAGTCACCCGATGACATCCAAAACACAGAGGCACCACTTGCAAGTTCTTGTGGAAGATGGCGGTCCCTTGGATGATGGAAATATTGCGTTTGGACATAAGAGGATCTTGGTTCACGTCTGAGCTCTACCACTTCCTGGCTGAGAGGCTTTGGATGATTCACTTACCCTCTCTGAACGTTAGACACCTCACTTGTTAAAGAGAAACAATAATACTCCATTTCTCACTTTGCTCACCCTACCCACCCCTCCATCCAAACTGTTAGTAAATCTCCAAAGCTCTCCTCCAAAGTCCACCCCTAATGATCACTTATACTTTTACTATGATCATCCTCATCCAACCTGCGATATTTCCATCAGCCTCTTGCAGGGTCCTGCAGACTCCAGTGCAAGTCCTCTGCAAGCATTCGCCACATAACAGCCAGAACAATAAGTTTATAGACGTTGTGATTATTCCAGAGTCCTCTTTAAAACCCTCCAGAGGCTTCCCACTGCTAGAAGATCTTAACTCCTAACAGTCTTAACTCTTTACCAAGAGAAGTCTTTGCCAGAGTTGCTCTTGCCTGCTTCTCCAGCTCTTCTCTCTGATCTTGCTTCCCCCTTTGTTTACCTCGCTCTAGGTTGGATCCCATGCCTCAGGGCCCTTGCAAATGACCTTCTTCTCCAGATCTCTGTGGGGCTGGCTCCCTGTCCTCACTTGCCTTATCCCTAGAAGGGCTCCTCCCCACCACCTCACCACACTCTACCGCTCTTAGCACACGACTTGATTTGATTCCCTTTGGGACAACATTGAAGCCCATCATCAGTGGACTTGTTTATTTATTTCTCCTTTCTAGAATGTAAACTCCATGATGAGGGACCATCCCTTGTTCAACTTTATTTCTAGTACCTAGAACTTTTTTATAGTAGATGGTCAATAAATATTTAATGAATGAAAAGCAAATCCTGGCAGAGGTTGTTTTGAGGATTAAATAAAACAACTATGAATAGGAAACAATAGCACAGCATCTGGCACACAAAAACCTCTTCCCAGACTTTCTTTTTCTTTTCTTTTTAAGAGACGTAGGCTTACTATGTTGCCCAGGATGGCCTCAAACTCCTGGGCTCAAGCGAACTGCTCACCTCTACCTCCCAAGAAGCTGGGACTACTGGCGCGTGCCACGGCACTCGGCTCTCTTGCTAGCCTTTCTGACCACAGGTGTTTCAGGCACCACTCCTAGAGTCAATAAGCTTTTCAAAGCTAGAAAAAATGTCTGACATATGAAAAGAAATTTACTAGCTACAACAATTGATACAAAATATTTAATGCTACATTAAAAGTCTATAAAATATCAACATTATGTCAACCTATCAAATGCAACTTAACACCAACTCATATATTTACATAAACTTAGAGTAATCATGAAATGTCTGAGCATTTAAAAATGTTGGATATAATATGGCAGGACCTTCAGAAGTATGAGAGCCTAGGATGTTCCAAGGGTCTTGAAACAGACCTGTTTTTTTTGTCTTCTTTCTTAAACACTCCAGGTTAAAAAAAGAATGACAAATCAAAGTTATTTTTGAAAGAAGGGGGTTAAAAACTCTCCATGGGGGCTGCATGAAAAGTTTGTTTTTCTTAATACTTTCCTATGCTAAAAGTTTCTGGCAGTAACAAGGTAACTTTCTGCAAGAGTTTCTAGGAGGGCAGCTGCCTGCAAAGGCATTAAGTGTTCATATCAGAGCTTCTTTTAATAAGATAAGTAATTCAAGCTCATTAATCTGGTGAGTAGAAATGATTAAACTGAAAATAGAACAACATTAATATTTTCTCCCAAAATAGCAGAAAACCATGATTTCAATGTCAAACTCTTTTTTAAACCAGTCATGGATTTACTTCTTTGTTTGCTAATTTGGATAGAAAATGTGACCCTCTTTCTCAATGTACTGATTTTAAATAGGCTACTTACTCAGGCATCCTTGCACGGTGGTACATGTCCTTTAAAAGTGCTTTTAACCAAAACAGGAAGCAATGTTTAGAATTGAAAACATAGCTAAAAAAGAGATCCCTCCATCAGCAGAGGCAAAAAACACTCACCAAAAAAACACGACATCGGCTTAGGAGCCTAGAGGGTATGCAGGCAGCCCGGTGTCCTCTCCATTTCCTTTGCTTTTATTACATTATACAGTGTCATTTTAATTAAGCCATCAAATCAAATTATCAGATCAAGTGGTTTTGATTCCACTGCGGTTTGAACAGGTTTGGTTAAATTAATAAACCATATGTTTCATGTTGTTGGAAGGAAAGTTATTTTTCTCTGTTCCCTGTTCCAAAAGTCTTCACAATAGACAGTATTCAGCACTTAATCACTGAATGCTCTCCCATGTACCCGGGATATGCTGCAGAATAACTGAAATGACAGCCCATTAAATCCTAAAGTCTGTCTAAGTTATTTGCCGACAAAGGGCAGAGTGGCAAATCGGATGTCCCTTGAACAATCCAATAAGCCTAAATATTGTTTCCATTTACTGCAACTAGAGCTTTATTATTTTTTATGGATGACATCCATATAGAAGTCTTTCTTCAGCAACAATACAATATTAAGATGACTTTTCCCCCACTTCTTTCTTAAGGGGCCCTGCCTCTTGTGCTTGGCACCGAAAGGCTGGATTCTGTATTCTCTATTCCAGGACGTCCAATCATCCTGATAAAATATGGGTGCATGAACACAGGCCCCCACCACTGGCTGCCTCAAGTTCACGATCATAACCAGGGAACAGAGGAGGCGGGGAGCTATATTCAGTCAACTGAGGCTCTGGTTACCCCTCTGATGTGAAAGATGACCGGGTGTTAAAGTGAAGTGTAAGTGGGTGGTTACCAAGTTAATGAATCTCTGGTTGGTCCTAGGGTCTTTCAGTGGAATGGAAACACAGATCCAACACATTCACAGTCATGGCCATTACCACCTTGAAGACAGAAAATATGTATCTTACAACAAGCCTATGATTTCCCCATTTAGGGTTCTCCAACTCAGTTTAAGCTACTCCATAGAGTGGGGGTCAGTAAACTACAGTCCCAAGGCCAACTCTGGTCTGCCATCTTTTTTTGGAAATAAAACTTTACCGCAAGACATTTTCTATGCTCATTTACATATCATCTGCAGGTGCCTTCCTGCTATACTGGTAGAATTGAGTACAGTCGGCACTTATATCCATGGGTTCTGCATGCATGGATTCAACCAACCACAGACCAAAAATATTTGGAAGGAAAAAAAAACAATAAAAAATAGCAATATAACAATAAAAAACAGTACAAACAAAAATCAGTAGAGTATAACAACTATTTACATGGCATTTACATTGTATTAATATTATAAGTACTCTAGAAATATTTTAAAGTATACTGGAGGATGTGTTCAGGTTATGTGCAAATACAACACCATTTTATATAAGGGACTTGAGCATCCAAGGATACTGGTGTCCGTAGGGGTCCTGGAACCAATGTCCCACAAGTACCCAGGATTCAACAGAGACCATATGGCCAACAAAGCCAAAAACATTTACTATCTGGCCCTTAACCAAAAAAGTTAAATGACTCCTGCCTTATGTAATTAATTTATTTTTCCTTCTTCTGTGACAACAGCCCGATGAATGCATAAAACATCATAGCTTTCCTGGGCATTGAAAGCTTCCAATAATTATCAGATAGAGAATACCAATCAGGCAGGCTTTGCTCGTTTTGAATTACCTGAAGATTACAGAATACCACTCATTCTCTTTTTAAAACTTTTTTTCGCAGAAGAGTAGAGGAAGGAAAAGGACTTGTTCCATGCTTTGGCTCTTTCCTGCTTACATCTCTAAGGTCAATAATCTAAGCCCTCCAGGCTGTTTGATGATGTGTCAGCATCTTTTGGCCTATAGTGGCGCTGAGTTACCTGAGTCTTCGTAGGGAAAAAAAAGGAGGAACATTTGGTCATGTGGGCTGTGGTTCCATGACATGTGCATTTAAAAACAAACAGGGAGATCATCAGTCATTAAGGAGATGGAAATCAGAACTATAAACTGATGCAACCTCATATTCACTAGGTTGGTGAAAATAAAAGAGATGCACAATAACAAGTGTTGGTGAGGATATGGAGAAATTGAAACCCTCATACACTGTTGATGGGAATGTAAACTGATGCCACCACTTTGGAAAATAGTTTGATAGTTCCTCAAAACTGTAAACAGAAAGTTACCATATGACCCAGCAATGCTATTCCTAGGTTTACATCTAAAAGACTTGAAAATGTATATTTACACAAAAACTTGGACATGGATGCTCACAAAAGCATTATTCATAACAGCCAACAGGTGGAAAAAACTCAATGTCCATTAACTGATAAATGGATAAACAAAACATGGCACCTCCACATATTATGTGGTATATTACTTGGCCACAAAATATAATTAAATTCTGATACACAGCCCCCAATACAGATGAACTTTGAAAGTATTATGCTAAGTCAAAAAAGTCATATATGATCCACTTGCATAAAATGTGCAGAATAGACAAATTCATAGAGACAAAAGGTACGTTAGTGGTTGCCTAGCCCTGGAGGAAGGGAGGGAGGGACATACAGGGCAGACGAAGGGAAGGAGAATGGGAGTGATTGCTACAGATGGAGTTTCTTTTTGGGGTGATGAAAATGTTCCAGAAATAAATGGTGGCAATGGGTGCATGACTTTGTGACTACAGTAAAAAACACTGATGTGTACACGTTAAAAGAATGAATTTCATGGTATGTGAATTAAATCTCAATAAAGCTGTTATTAAAAAAAAATAGGGACACTATTCAGCAATAAAAAAAAAATGACCTACTGATACATGCCAAACATGGGTAAATGTTAAAATCATTAACACCAAGTGAAAGACAAAACCAGACCTGAGGTTGCCTGGGGTTGAGGGCAGGAGAAATAACTGACTGCAAATGGGCAGGAAGGAACTTTCTGTGGCGATGAAAATATTCTAAAACTGGACTGCAGTGATGGCTGCGCAAGTATAAATTTGCTAAAATTATCAAATTATACATTTACCATAGCTGTATATTATGGTATGTAAATTATGCCTTTAAAAAAATGCTGTAAAAATAGGAAAATTTCCTAAACTGCTGGCAAAAGTGTAAAGTGGCACATACAGTCACTTTGGGAAGCCATTTGGCAGTCTCTAACCAAACCTGAAAATATGTGTACTCTAGGATGCTGCCATTTTACTCCTGGGTGTATGCCCAATAGAGATATATCCACATATTCATTAAAAGGCAGGTTCAAGAGTTTTCGTAATCACCCAGACTTGAAAATAATCTACATATGCATGTATACTGAAATGGATAAATATATTCAGGTATAATCACACAATGGGCTTTAGCAATACAGAAGAACAAACTACAACTACAGGCCACAACAGAGAGGATGCTTAAAATCACTGTAGAGCAAAAGAAGCAAGACACAAAAGAGGACATACTGAATGATTCTAACTTTATGCAATTTATTAAACAGGCTAAGTGAATTTCTGGAAGTGGTTACCCTTGGGAACACAGAGTGATTAGGAAGGGGGATGATGGGGGAGTCCTGAGATCCTAGACGGGAGTTTCTTGATCTAGGTGCTTGTTACTCAGGTGTGCTCAGGTTGTGAAAATTCATCAAGCTGTGCACGTATTACGGGTACTGCACTTTTATGTACGTGTAGCTCTCCAATAATAAGTTAAACACACAAATAGGACTGCATCTAGATCCTGCTCTCTCTTTGGCTCTAAAAATATCAGAAAACATTTTAATATTCCCATGTCTTAAAGAGTCAGCAACGAGCACTATGATAATTCAAACAAACCTAGTAGAATGACACATGAATTTGCCGTATTTAAGGATGGTTCTGTGGTTGTGGTCAAATTCAGAGAAGGCCCGTTCAGTGGAAGATCGTGCCTACTTTGACAATTTAACACAATAGAAACCATTATCCTCCCTAGCTTTCTTGGATAATAAAGGCCATGCATTTTCTCTGTACAGCTGATATATCATATGCTTGGCCCATTTTTTCAGGAAAGAGCTTTGTATCTGTCACCATCTCAGCAATTCTGAGCTATCAGATCTTGCACTCACTTGTGATAGGAATTCCTCACCCCCCCAATCCACATCCTCTGCATATAACTCTCACAAAATCCCCAGGAGACCTGATTTTCTCAGTCAACTTCTCTTGGGAGAAAGCTTTCTAGTTGGGTTATTTTCTTCATTTTTTTTTAACTAGGTTAAAAAAAAAATTAGTTCATGTGAGGTTTTCCACGGCAGCCCAACCTAAGATATTTCACAGGTTTGTGAGCTTCTTAATTCTCCCATTGTTCCCAGAGAATGATGCCCTTGACAATCTATTGTCCCCAAATTACTTGAATCTCAAGCATTTCTTGAGGGAACCTGGTGCCTGACTCACTTCTCCTCACTAACCTCAAACAAAATCACACAGACAGGAAGGAAATGATCACATTCTTAAACTCCCTCTCCTCTTCTTTTAGCTCCTTTTCAGAAACATGAGCCTAGAAAATGGGCTCTTTCATATCATCAAAGTGCATGTCACTGCAGTTACTTGTGGAATAGAATCCCATTCCCCCTGTTCCTACAAAGTCCATATGCCAATAAACTGTTCCCTTTTGTTGGGGGTGGGGGCACTCTTGAAAGAAAACCTCTCCACGTAACGTACCACACTAACAGTAGCCCACTCTACCTCCAGTGTTGATAAATGACACAAGCTCTCCCTTTATTACCCAAGCTCATAATTTTGAAGAAGGATAGCACTGGGTTGGGAAATATCCCTTTTCGCACCAAAAGAAAATTCCTTCTTTTTCCTTCCTCCCTTCCAAGTAATAGGGCTTTGATCAGCCTTGCTCCCCTCAGCATTTCCGGAGCTCTGTGACCCAATTCTGATAAATCCCAGAGCCTGAGAGGAGAGGTGTGAGGGTAGAACCAGAAGTTCTAGTTTCCTGGGAGAGAGATTCATATTCATTTCACATGAGCAAGTAGAGATGGAAAAAGACTGAGATGCCTGAAAATGATAAACTTATGTTTATCAGATACCGGGGTTAAACTGTTAAATAATAGGTTAAAAAAATAATAAGCAAGTGATTTCCAGTAGGGGTGAGGCTGGTATGGGAGTTCTTGCCGGGGGTGGATGGTAGTAAGACTGCTATATACTGGGGTGTTGGGAGCAATTCAAAGGTCCTGATGATATGGACAGGAGACAGGGAAATACTGGCTAGAAGCGGGCAGTTCCCGGGCAAAGGCCCCACCCTCAAATTTGGAGACCCTTGGGCCCTAAGTGAAAACAGACATTCCTGTTTTCATGACCAAAAGTTGCCTTTTGGCCCGCCATATCCCGCTATCCTGTACCCATATAAACCCCAGACCCCAGGCTCCAGAAGCAGACGAGAGGGATAGAATAGAAGAGCAGAAGAACAGCAGAATGGCGTGGCAGGGAGAAGAGAAGGAGCATCTGAATGTCAAGGGACAATCAGAGAGGAGACTGCCCACCGAATGGCCGAACTCCATCATCTTCTCACTTGATACCCCTTCCAGCTCCCTATACATCCTGCTGAGAGCCAACTCCGCCACTCAATAAAACCCCCACATTCATCCTTCAAGTCCATGGGCGACCTGATTGTTCCTGGACGCCAGACAAGGACCTGGGTACCAAGAGGTCACTGAGCTGGTTAACACTTAAGCTGTCCACAGACGGCAAGGCTGAAAGAGCCCACTGTAACACATGCCCACTTGGGCTTCAGGAGTCACAGACACATAACCCTAGTGCCAGAGCCCCAAGGAGCTCACCCTGGCTCCTGCACCTGCCCATCTGTGTGCTCCCCCTCCCTTATGTGCTCCCCTAGACCTTATGTGTCTGAGCAGCGAATGGTGACTGAACAGATGAGCCACATTCCTGTTGCATGTCCTTCAAAGCGGGGAGTGGGGTCAGGGAACTCTCCCGTTTCACTGATGTCTGAGCTCAGAGATAAGCTCCTGATCAACAGGGAAACACATAAAAAGTAAGACACTTTTCAGAAAGCTTTCTCTAGACACTGCTAGTAAGTTTTGAAGTTACAAGGCAGAAATGCAGACAGAATTATCTATTATTGGTCAAAAGGGCAATTTCTATCATACCTATTTAACAGAATATATTCCCACACCTGCTCCTATTTTTCAGCCAGACAGGCTCCCTTTAGCAGAGAAACATATGCATTTAACACCAAGTCCCAATTCCTGGCTGGCTTTGAATTCCTTTTAATTTAAAGTAATTTATGATAAGGAATCTTCCTCTGGGCAAGGCACTTAAGCCAAATATACCTTTAGAGGCTTCTGTCCCCAGTGGGTTTTCTAAGAAGTCTGTCATGTCGTGGTTCCAGGAGTCACGGACGGCGGACTTGGACACCACCCTGTCATGCAGACGCTGCTGTGGTCGAAAGTTATTTCTCAGATACTCCACCGACTTGACATGGTCTTGCTGCTCCGTGGTGAAGATGGAATAAAAAGCCTCAAGCTGAACAGAGGACCAGAGAGGGGAGGGGGAAAAAAAAAACAACACAAAAAACACACATCAATTAGAAAAGCTATTTGGTCCAAAGCAGGTGAAGGTGATAAGAGCATGAAACGGTAGGAAGTGCCCAATGCCAGGGCTGCTAAACCCAGCAGGACCTGAGGCTGCCTGCTGGAAACACTGCCAACAGGCTCATCTGGCTGTGGTTTCTGTCCTGCCAACTAACCAGCAAAACACTTCATTTGAGGGCTATACCGCACTCTGAGTTTGTGCCTCCCATGAGAGAGTCCCAGTCTTTCTGCAGTGCCCTGCTGGAAAAGCCTTTACCATTCTAGCAAGAAACATAGGGTCACGGTCAAACTGTTATGTCCCGGAGCCAGACTGCCTGGGTATGAATACTAACTCCATCGCCTACCCACTCTGTGACCTGAACAAGCTGCTTAACCTGAGCCACCATTTTTCCTCAATAAAATGGTGATAATCATAACAATATTTACCCAAAAGGATTTTTGTCAATTTTAAGTGCTGACAAAATATTTAAACCAAGTACAGTGCTTAAAACAGTTCCTAGTATATCATAAGAGCTTCATAAATATTAGGGATTTAATTCTTGGCATCTTCCGACATACTAGTGATCAAGTTTGGCAAAGTCGCCAAGTCACTAAATGTGTGACTTGCAAGTCAAACTGCCTAAGTTCAACATTTACCAGATGGGTAATCGGAGATGAACTGTTCAAGTTTTCTGTAACTCAAGTATCCACAACTGTAAAACACGTAATAATACTTACCTTATAAAGTTGTCAGAAGTATTAAAATTTATGTAAATTGCTTAGCACACAGTTAAGTCCTCAATTAAGGTTAGCTATCATCATTATTATTAATATTATTAAGAAACATCTCTTACAGGACTGCCGATCTAACTTTTATGGAAAGTAAAGGAAAAAAATCAGGGTGCCCAAATCATATTTCTATTATCAAAAGGGATTCTTTGGGCCAGGTGCGGTGACTCAAGCCTATAATTCCAGCACTTTGGGAGGCTGAGGTGGAAGATCGCTTGAACCCAGGAGTTGGAGAGTAGCCCAGACAACGAGACCCTGCCTATATAAAAAATACACAAATCAGCCGGGCATGGTGGTGCATGCCTGTAGTCGCAGCTTCTTGGGAGGGTGAGGTGAGAGGGTTACTTGAGGCTGGGAGTTGCAAGCTGCAATGAGCTATGATTGCACCATGCACTCCAGTCTGGGTGACAGAGTGAGACCCTGTCTCAAAAACAGAACAGAACAAAAAAGGGATTTTTTTGTGTCCCTCAACATTGTGATCATTAAAAAAGGTAATTCTGGCCAGGCCCGGTGGCTCATGCCTGAAATCCCACCGCTTTGGGAGGCCAAGGTGGGTGGATCACTTGAGGTCAGGAGTTCGAGACCAGCCTGGCCAACATGGTGAAACCCTGTCTCTACTAAAAATACAAAAATTAGCCAGGCATAATGGTGCATGCCTTAATTCCAGCTACTCGGGAGGCTGAGGCATGAGAATTGCTTGAACCTGGGAGGCGGAGGCTGCAGTGCACCGAGATTGTGCCACTGCACTCCAGCCTGGGTGATGGAATGAGACTCTGTCTCAAAAAAATAATAAAAAAATTTTTAAAAATAAAAAAAGTAATTCTATTACATATGAGGAATGGAACAGCAACTGAGTGACAGAGACTTGTCCTCAACAGGCCACAAAGTTATTCTTGTCACCAAAAAAAAAAAAAAAAAAAAAAAAAAAAAAAAAAAAGAACTGTAATTTGAAATATGCAGCCACCAAAAATACTAATAGGAGAAGAAAATAGAATGAAGAGAAAAGCTGAATGAACTGTTTCTGGCCCATCTGGATCCTCTGGTGCCAAATAAGAGTGCTTTCTGCAGGAGAAATGGTCGAATGGTGCTAGAAAGATGCTCTCTGTGCATTGAGTGACTGTCAAGGCTTCGGGGAACCAGAAGGCAGTTAATACTAATGTGGAAAATAAAAAAGGGAAATCACTCTCTGGGTTTCTGCAAATTCTAGGTGGTCATCCTGAACCCTGGAACTAACCCCCACTGTTTCTCAAACAGCCTCAGAGAATGACACAGAAAATGACCTGCTTCCAAACAGTCTGCCCTCTCTTTGCATGAGAAAGCGATGAATTGAGGTAGTGATATTAGCCATGCAAAAATCATTGAAGTATATGAATTCACCTATCATTCTACCTCCCCTCCAATTCCACAGCTTATGTAAAATGATAATAAACCATGGAATTTTTTCTGCCTTTTACATAGAACCAGGACGGATTCACAACCAGCCTAAAAGCCAAAGCAGCCTGTTACTCTTGTGTTACTTCAATTCTCTGAGTTACTTTACTATCATAAAAACTCATAGTGTCTCTAGGTAGCATCTGCCTGCCTTCCTATTCTTTCTGCTATTCCTTCTTTATTTACAGCAAAGGAAAGGCAAGACATGACAGAAAAATTAGGAAAATTGGACTGATTACTTTGTCCAAATGTGAGCCACTCAAATGAAGACAACTAAAGATGCTGAAAAATCACCTCCACCTCATGATATGAACTCACTTGACAGGACTACCAAAGTCAGAACTGAATGCATCAAATGTGAGAGCAGGTTTCTGATTTCTCAGAGAAAATAACTTCTTAAAATCATATGAGAAGTATTAACAAAGACCCTCTGGAGACAGCCCAGAAAAAGACCAATCAAAATGATTAAAAAGATGGAGAAAAAATCCTGTGAGGAAAGGTTAAAGGAAGTGGAATTGGTTAGCCTGAGGAAAAGGTGAGTAAGGAGTAATTTCATAAAGCCCCTCATATGTGGAAGATGCTGACCAGCTCTTCTCCATGTCCAGAGAAGACCAAATAAACGGAAATTGGCTTAAATTAAAGCCATAGAGACGTGAGTTTAATAGAGAGAGACATTCCTTAACTTTCAGGATGACTTTTTAGAGAAATGGACTGGGCTGCCATACATCGTGAATTAGACCGGAAATTTTCTGGAAGAGACAGCCATCTGTCCCAAAATAGTTTAATCTCTGAGATGCCAGAAAAGAATGGCCTGTCTCAGAAAACTGTCTCAGCAATACGACTCTGCAGTTTGTTTATTCTCTAGAATACTTGCTTCTTTCAGAGCCAGCATTAAATTCTCCTAAAAAGTTTATTTCTGAAGCCTCAGGAAAGAACAAGTCACATAACTGTAAAAATGAGGCAGGTTGTGAATTTAACACAAAAATGCTTTCACTTAAATTGCTATTGCAGCTTAATGACATGCTACGGTTTAAAAGCATGGTGGCTTCCTTGTTATTAACTTAACTTGCCCCAAGATTTTGAAGAAAGGATGTGATGGTTCTGGGAGTGAACTGATGACCTGAATGATATTATATTGTCAACTGGATCACAGTTGCGCTTGACAGTCATACAAAAGAGGGAAAGGAGGACGAGCTTAGCACACTCATCAAATGTCCTTCTGTGGGTTGGCGGCATTCACTAAAACCCTGTCATTTTTCTAACTTAAATGAAAATCGCCAGTGGCCTGTCTCTTTGGCAACTGGCATGCTTGGCCAGTGAGTTAAAAACCTCCAGGAGCCTTGGATTGGTGAGAGGAGTCTACATTTCTCACTTTGGCAAGTGGGCAGTGACGAAATCTACTGATACATCATTACACAGCAACTTCAGTCTGTCCCCACACCCTGACTCTTGCCTTGGACCTCCACTTTGTTTGATTCCAAAAGGTGCCATAAGCCCACCATGAGAAAGTGTCCCCTAGAGTTGTGCAATATGGAAATCAGGCTGGAGCCACAGAACAAACCATACGGACAAAGTTGTGTCTTTCTGGGTCTTTGACCGGTCCGATGTTTGGTCCGTAATCTGTTCTGCTTTTCTAGATCTGGTTAATAGCTAAACAGTGATCCTTGAAAAATATATATGAGATCACGTAATGTCTCCGTTCAATACTTTTTAACAGCCTCCCATCCTTAATGGTGGGGCCCTTATGATCTGGCCTATGCCTAATTCTCCAAATTCAAAACCCTTACCCCTGCTACCTGGGTACAAAATCCTGTTTTTAAACCCTACTTGCTAAATGTGTGACCTTGGTCAAATTATTTAATCTTTCTGTGCCTCAGTGTCTTTATTTGTACAATGGAGGTAACAGCATTACCTATTTCCTGTGGTTTTTGTAACTATTCAAAGAGTTGTGATATATAAAATATTTGGAATGATTCCTGGCACACAGCAGGTGCTCAGTAAGTACTATCACTACTGTCATTATTATTTCATGAGGAATGTGGTAACTACAATTGTACTCTAAGCTTACAACAACTGTAAAATGCTGTATCAACCTTCCCTTCCTTATCCCCCTTATATTTATCAAACCTATGACATGCCAGGTACTTCTTTAAGTACTTTACAGACATTATTTTGGTTTCCAACTTCTTTTTAGCTTAAAGTAATGACATTAAATAATGACATTAAAGTAGCATTACAGAACACTCTTATTATATCATGAACACTAGCAGCCAATATTTGCTGAGTGCCTATTACATGCAAGGCATTGTGCTGAGACTGGTATGTGCTTTCTCTCACTTAATCCACAGAAATCCCATGAGGCTGGTGGTAATATTATTATTAATAGCAGTATTAGTATAAGTTTTATTGACTAGTAAGGAAATTGGGCTTAGAGGCATTGAGTAACTTGCCCAAGGTCACTGATATAGTTTGGATCTGTGTCCCCACCCAAATCTCAGGTGGAATTGTAATCCTCAATGCTGGAGGAGGGGCCTGGTGGGAGGTGATTGGATCATGGGGACGGAATTTCCCTCTTGCTGTTCCCGTGACAGTGAGTGGATTCTCACGAGATCTGGTTGTTTAAAAGTGTGTAGCGCCTCCCCTTTCTCTCTCTTCTTCCTTCTCCAGCCATGTAATGCATGCCTGCTTCCTGTCCGCCATGATTGTAAGTTTCCTGAGGCCTTCCCAATCATGCCTCCTGCAGAGCCAATTAAACCTCTTTTCTAATAAATTACCCAGTCTCAGGTAGTTCTTTATAGCAATGTGAAAATGGACTAATGCAGGCACGGGAACCAAGAGGTGAAGTGAGGCTTAGAATAGCAGGTCTGTGTGACTCTATTTTGTATGCTCTCAGCTATTTCATGCCACAGGCATAAAAGGCCTTAGCATTATCCACTGAAAGAGCCACACTGCAGTGGAGAAATGGATGCAGTGATAGTATAAGTCCTGAAACAATTCCCTTTAGCTAACCTCAAGGCCATTCCACACAGGGCACCCTGCATCAGCAACATACATCTATCTATCTTCATCCTTCTGCACTCTGAATAGAAACTGCCAATAGCCCAACGCAGAAAGAACTGGGAGGCATGAACAAGACAGCAGGCCCAAGGAGAAAATCCCGTCCACCTCCCAAAGCCCTCACTTTTCTTGGCTGATCCTTTGCCACAGCAGGGTAATAAACACACTTGGATTTATCTTGACTTTAATACAACTAATGAAGTCTTTATCATTTAGTAAAAATAAATGAAAGTTTTTATTTCTATAATATTAAATTGACTCTTAAACTTTTGAAGTGAATGTGTAAAACATTTCTTTCTTTTATCCCTGCTTGGGGATTTGTAATTGCAGTTTAACTGGTGCTGTTTCAAGAACAATTTTAACCTTGAATTGCAAATGTGTTGGCTCGAAGTGTATATAAATCATTTCAACTTAGTTTTTATTATAAAAGTATTACGGAGAATAATTAGTTTTTAATCTGTCGGTTCGAATCAAAGGCAAGCTGAAATCTATTCATGCCCTTCGTGTGTAGCGAGAGCTCCTGTCCACAAGACTTGGGCAGGACACCACTGTGGATGAAAGGGAGAAATGAGAGAATACCAAAAGTAATATAATTATGAGCCATTAAAAGGCTGATATGTACAATAGTTTAAGGGATGGGCATATAATGGCAATTAAACAAAACCACGGTCCATTATTAGCACAGCAAGGAACCCAAGGATACTAACTAGAAACTGGAAAATCTCACCTAAGGTCATGGAGATTATTTTAGCTTCACCACACATTTGAGGGATGACAGGGCAGGTCGTGTTTGTTGCCTCCTTATTAAACAAGACAATGATAATGGAATATTAAATTCCCAGTAGCCTGGAGCATCCGAAATTTTACTTACTGAACCACAGCTGCAAACATAAAATCTAAGAACAGCTAGCTAAATGCAGGGCCATGCCCCTCCTGTGGCTACAGTCAGTTTTGCATGAAGGTGATTATAGAAAGGGCTTTATAGAAGGAAAAGGACTTAACCATAATTAACAAAGAAAGCCATCTCTCTTGGATTAATATGGCATCTTCACCCCATCATTAAAAAACCTCCTTCATTCACATGCACTGCACGTCATGTGTTGAAATAGAAACGTTCTGAATTAAGTGACTCACCAGTTGTCGTGGCCTTGAGATAAACCTTACAGCTGTGACAGCCAGTAGCCACACGTGGCTATTCCATTAGAAATATGGCTAGCCCTACATTTGCAGTGATAATATTGTGGATACATTTGATTAAATAAATTATACTACTAAAATTAATCTCACTTGTTTCTCTTTACATTTTTTAACATGATTACTACAACATTTTAAATGATGTGATTTTACTTCTACCAGACAGTCCTGCTTTAAAGGCTGGTGATCATTTAATACCTGCAACAACAACAAAACCAACAACAACAACAACGCCTAATATCTCCAAAGCACTTCCTGTGATGTGCACTTTATACATATTCTAGTCTAAGCATTTTATACATATTCCACCATTTAATCTTTATTGTGACTCCATGAGGGGAGTATTATCATCATGATGTTACAGAGGAGAAAACCGAGGCACCAAATAGTAGAGTACTTGAGTAATTTGGCCGAAGAACAAAGCCATAAATGGAACCCAGGCAGTTTGCCTCCAAAGCACACAGTCTTAATTTCAAAGAGCTGCTCTACTGTTTCTCACAGATACCTTTGGTTAAAAAGGGTCATGCAATTAAACCTTTTCTGTCCACTCCAGCTTACTGTCAGAAAAAAAAAAAAAAAAAAAAAAAATCACACATCTAAAGGTAAACAAAGTAGATGCAGTCAGACTTATTTATTGCCTTTTTGATAGCACCCCCTACAAGCACTTAAGTAAAATTCAAGCTGGGGAAAATCATAGGTAGTGCCTTATTTTAACCTACAAGATGCAAACAGTCCTGGAAAGGAAGGGTTGGGTTAGTTGCCTATGGGCAAAGAACCATCATCTGAGAAGCACTATTCTAGAAGAAAACAAATCCTAGTTAACTGGACTGAAAGCTAATCATCTTCTATGACTGATCATGAATATGTTGCCTGCAACCATCTCCATGTGTTGTCCGGCTCCTCTGACATCCCACAGAAGGGCCGAGAGTGCTGCCATTTTGTTGGGGTGACCCATTTTGTTTGGGGGACATGATTTTGGCCTGATATTTTCAGAAGATGTTTAGAGGGGCCACATAAGCCATGCTGACTAAGTGGGGAATCCCAAACCAATGTGCGGTTCCATTAGCAATGCTGTATTTTAATCTAGATTATCACACAAGCCAGAGGTACAAGTGCACAGGCTGGCAGGGCTGACTTGAATGCCCAACTAGACTCACAAAAGGGAACAAGAGAAGAAAGATTACTGTTTGCCTGTATGTACTCTGAAAGGCTTCAAAGAAATCCACATCATACAAGTCAACACTTTGTGCTAACCGTTATATTTCATGGTGAATATGCTCAAATTTTCATTGAGTGCAGGCACCCATGCTGGATGACAGGGAAGAAAAGAGAGAATACAGAGACTGTAGAGAAGTAGAAGAACGAGAGACTAGGAATGTTTTCTTTCTGTCAGAGGCAGACATGGAATTCCTGACTACTTGGCTTTTCCGAATTGGCTGTTCGCCTTTCTGAAATGAACATTCTGTGCTAACTTCAGAAAGAATGTTGGCAGGGTCAGGGTGGGAAGGTCTGAAGCGATAATACTTGGATGGCGAATGCTTTCCTTTCCAAGGGCTGACACAGCTGTGACCTCCACAAAGCCAGCCAGCAAGGATCCAGTTTGGCCACATGAATATGAGCTGTTTTCCTCCCTTGGGAGAGAGAGAGGGACACATGAAGCAGTGTCTGATAAAACTAAAGTATTATCTTAAGACGGTTTGTAGCAAAGAACCTGGAAAGCAAATATGACTGATTTCTTTTCTATTTCCCTGAAATACAATACCTAGAGAGAAGTTATATATTGGAAGGCAAATACAAATCTTACATTATTTCTTCTTTGAGCGTATGGGTGGCAGAGAGTGGAATAGTGAGGAGATATTTAAAAAGCACTTTCTCAGAGCCCCAGTTACAAAAATGGTGATCAAAATGCTTCTAAAAGACAAACACTTGGCAAAACATCCAAGCCCCAAACTGTTTTTTGTTTCAAATCTGGAGCTATAATGAAACCCAGCATATGTTAATGGTCCTTATTTCTCTCCAGCTAATCAACGACTCTCTGCCTCTCCTTACATGGAATTCTATATGAAAAGTAGCCAAATCAGTATTCCTTAACTTCATTATCTCAAATCTTTCTCTTTTTTTTTTGAGACAGTCTCACTCTGTCATCCACACTGGAGCGCAGTGGCATGATCACAGTTCACTGCAGCCTTGACCTCCTAGACTCAAGTGATCCTCCCCCCTCAGCCTCCCAAGCAGCTGGGATCAACAGACATGTGCCACCACGCCTGGATAATTTTTTAATTTTTTTTTTGCAGAGATTGGGGTCTTGCCATGTTGCCCAGGCTGGTCTCAAATTCCTGGGCTCAAGGGTTCTTCCTGCTTCACCCTCCCAAAGTGCTGAAATTATAGGCATGAGCCACTGAGCCGTAAACCTTTCAATCTTTCAAGACAAAAGTATTTATTAACTGACAAAAAAGGATCTTGAAAAAAAAATTCCTTCCACCAACGCTGTTTATATAAATATTTGGGCTGTAACTTTATTATTTTTTTTAATGAAACAATGTTGGCATCACCATTAGGAAGAAAACTCATTTCTTATTTCATTATCTCCTTAAGGCTGGCAGATCCTGTTCTGAAACCAAATCGCCAGTCCTTTCTTTATTGTCAGGGTCAGATTAAAAGGAAAAAAAAATCTGAAAGTAAAATGATTGCCAAAACAGCAGTGAGGCCAAATAAATTTGTTCAGCCTGGCCTTACATGACCTAACTTGGTTAGGGGGATAGTGTCTCTACTGCCCCTACCTTCTTCTAGGGAACCTGCCCCATTTACCCACTGACAGGTAACACTGGATGTTTCAGGATGCTATCTGGCACCTCTGATGGCTCATTCACCTCTGATGGCTCATTCAAAGATGGACATGTGACCCAAGGCCAGCCAAGTAGTTGGTTGGCCAATGTCTATTCAGACCCACCTACTGGAATACTTGACATAAGACCCAGAAGGTCAACTGGTACTAGAACAATCAGACTGGAGGAGGTGGTCATTTCTATGAAAGACATCCTAAGTACCTTCCAGTTTTGGACAGTCTTGGTTAATGGCTCAAATCCACTTTCTTACAAATCCTACCCATCGTTCCTGGCTCTATTTTTGGGAATAATGCAGAAGAAATTTGACACTTTTTGTAATTCAGTCCATGCTGAATTTTGCACAACTAACATGTCCCTCCTAAGAATCATCCCCAACCATGCATTCAAACCTCATGAGGTGACTTAAAGACCTCTCACTGCCTGGATGGTTCCCCTTCCTCTGACACTGCCTCAATTCTATCTCCAGTTCATCAGTTCCTACCCACAGTTAACTGCCCAGCCTAAATCATGCCTTCCCATGAAGTGTTCTCAGTCCACACTCAGAAGGAAGCAGTACAATATAGTGGTCAGAAACATGGGTTTTGGAATCAGGCAAACCCAGGCTTAGTTTTTGGCTTCATCATTCATTAACCATGAATCTTTGGGCATGTTACCCAATCTCTCCACGCCATGATGTTCTATGTGAATACCCATCTCTCTATGTTTGTGTTGCCACTGATTAAGTTGATATGTATAAAGTGCTGAGTAAAGTACATAGCACACAGAAAGAACTCAATCAATGGTATGTTTTATTTCATTTCTCCATGTCCACAAATCTCTTTCTTTTCTGAACTGTGGGTAGGCTTAGTGGTCAGAGCATGCTCTTTGGAATCAGACACCATGGCATGGTTACCAGTTGTGTGATTGTGGGCAAATAACCTTCTGTGTGGCTTGATCTCCTCTATAAAATGGGGGTATGCACAGCACCTTCCTCATAAGACTGTAGAATGGGGGTACAAATAGCATCTACCTCACAAGAGTGTTGTTCATGAAGATGAAATGGGTCAACATTTATAAAGAGCTTAGAAGAGTTTCTGGCACAAAAGGTCATCATCATTGAGGATAGCTATTATTACCTCCTCAAGATTGAATACTTAAACAATACTCAGATTTCATGAGTGCAATTCTCTTTAGTGAGTTAATTTCATTTGCGGCTAAGAAACCACATTCTATCGCTTGCAGTTCTTGGGTTCAAAAACATGTTTGTGGGAAAGACTGCAGGAATCAATGATATGCACAGGATCAAGAACAAATTCCTTAGTGGTATACTCTAGCCATGCTGGATCGTTAAGTCAATACAAAACAAGTAAACACAGAAACCCCACTTGAGGAAGAATATCTACCTGATGGTAAGAGATGGGGACGGGTCTCCGGAAGACTATCCACTCCACTATTTCGCTACACGGTGGTGTGGTCAAGGAACCTGTGTACCGATAATAGCTGCCCAGGGATGCAGGCAGGAGGTCCCGGAGGACGAAAGGATCCAGAAAGGTCTCCTTCTCTGTTTGGGGAAAAAGGGAAAAGAAAAGCACAATGGTAAGTCATGCCATTCCGAGCCGCAGACACAGTCAACACCCTCGGCATGCTGGTGCCACATCGCAAGCCTTATGTTTGTTTATATCCTGAGAAGCACTAGCATTTGGTGGTGGGAGAGCCTCAGTAAACAAAGCAGCATTTCCCAGGGTGTGTTCTGAGGACACCAGTACCACAGTATATTTCAATAAAATACAGGTTCCATGATGAACATGGTTGGGCCACATTAAAGTCCCTCTCCCTTCCCCAGGAAATAGACAAAATATTCTAGCATACCAAAATCTCTGAGAAGTCTTGCAGAAAAGAAATGGGCTTGACTTTGTTTAACCCACCCCTTCCCAATCTTGTTTCATCATAGAACTCTTCTCTAATTATCTATGAACAGATAGATAATCAGTGGAACAAACTTTGGGACACAATGAGAGAATCACTGTGAAAAGAAAACTGTAAGTCACCAGTAACATGCAATTCCAAAGCTGGCTACATTTCATTATGGTTTCACCCAAGTCCTCTCCAAATCGAAGTGAAGCCCAACCAAGGCACAACTAGAAATTTAAAAAGAATGGCCCCAGGAACCAGCATTCTTTTTACAAATGTGGCGGTATCTTCCCTTAAACAGAAGAAATGATATTTAAGTTCAGACCCAACAATGAAAATATGATTAATCTATGAGGAAAGCAAGGCATGGAATGGGTTAGTGTCTGCTCAAGGTCACACAGCTCCTAAGAAGCAAAGCCAGGATGTGAATCCAGGTGTCTTGACACCGAAGACTCCACACAGCTCTGACTCAGCCATAGAAGGCACTGAGGTTAGCCAGGTGAAAATGCAAGGGTGGGGGCAAACAAGGTAAAGAAAAACATTGTAAGCAGTAGAAACAGCATGAGCAAAGGCCCTGGGACAGGAAGGAATAGTGTCGTAGAGAAGATGAGGAAAATATCTTATAATTCTTCCAAGCATGCCCAGTAAACTATCTAGCTTCTTTCGTGAGTCAGAGAAGGTTCTAGTCTCTACATACATCTCCAGACATCTAGTCTTGAATTTACATCTGGGATTCTCTCCCCTTCCCTGTTGGAGATGCAATAAGACTACTGGAGTCCTGCTCATGGGGTCCCTTAGCTCCTTCATGGCTTCCACCAGCCCCGGGAACAGGGTTCCAGGTGACCTCATAGACACACCTGAGGCTACAGGAATATCATTCCCAAGCCTCATACCTCCTCCTTCCTTCCTCTTCTCATTTTCATGCAGAACAACTAGTACAGAAATTTGGGCAACTGTGCATCCCCAGACTCGAGAAGTCTGTGTAACTAGGGGATAATGCAAAAACCCAACAAGAATCAACTATATTATAATTAAAATTGCAATTTCCTTTTGGAAAAGATTAGTTGAAGAAGACTTAACATTGATTTAGCTTCGCCTATATGCCAGGCACTATTCTGAGTATTTACAGGTTGCAAACACTTAAACAGCACTTATTATATGCAAGAGGCCCTGTTCTAAGAGCTTTATAAAGATTAATTTATTTAATGCTTAAAATAACTCCATGAAGTTAGTTCTATGATTATCCCCAGTTTACAGAGCCGGGATGCAGAAACAGGTAGCTGGGTTTAGAATCCAGGCTTTTATTATTCACATCACTATGCTCTCTTAGTTCACAACTCTATGAAGTGTGTGCTTTCTAATACTCATTTTACAGATGTGGAAATCAAGGAACAGAGAGGTTAAATAACCAAGCCCAAGCACTGGTGAACAGCGAAGTAACAGCAGTTATTCGTGAGGCTCAGAAACCTTGGCTGATTCTCAGAGAGGTGTTCAATTCGTCTTTTTCTAAAATAAAAATTTAGTATTACCCAATAAATGCAAAAGTCTTCAAATCATAGGGTTCTATAATCAAAATTACAAAAACAATTTCTGCTGTACAAAAGGCTAGAAATAACGGAATTGCCCCTCCGCCCACTGGCAAGTCTGGGCTTTAATTTAAACCTGGTTACCAGCAGCCTAATGACAGGGGAAATCTCTGCAAGCATGCTTGGCGGGGACTGGTTTGGCCCGGAGAAGAAAATATTTTGGCCTTTGCTTGCTGCCTCTGAGCTTCCTGGGCTGTGTAAAGAGTCAACACAAAGCCCCAAGCGATAGAGGGTGTGGGTAGGGCTTGGCACCACCAACTGCAAAACTACCACCTTCATGTCTCCCTCATGTTGTAGGTGAACTTCGAGTCACACTGCAGCACACCAACCTGCCTTAGGATCAAGGGATCCAGGCCGAATGGCTAGAGAATCAGAAGAGTTTTCCCCTCAGAGCCGAGTCCAACATTAGGGTTGCAGTTAAGCATGCTGTATGCTGACAGGAAGTGACAAGACAACCCCGGCAAACCCCTGGCAGCCGAGCCCCCATCTAAACACACTATAGGAAGAGGCCATGGCTTTAAAGAGCATCAAAAGATAAAGCAAAAGCACCTGCCCCACCAACAGGAGGAGATTAGATTTCAAAGGGGAACGCTGATTGGGCAGGGTCGGACTCTTATGTAAGTTCTCAGATGGGCTCATGGATTAAGCAGGCATGATGGAAAGTGCGTGTGACCCCTGCTGCAAACTCAAAAGGGCATCTCTGTTCTTGACCAACACCAGGGCTTCAGAGGCAAGCTCTGGTTTTTGCTGATCAGCACGTGCAGTCAGATCGGTGGCGAGGTGGGTAGACCCAGTACAAGGGACAGGGGAGGAGGGCCTGGCTTCACTGCTTATTCATTCCACCACTATCACTGCCATTGAATCTTAGGACTTTGTGATCTGGAAGGGACTTGGACAGTTCAGTGGCTTAGTTCAGTGGCTTTGGAGGCCAAAGGATGGTCTCTTCAAACAAAATCTTGCTCAAGACCCCAGCAACTCAAATAAGTTAAGTCAGCCCTGGTGGCTGAAGCCGAGTAGGGGATCCAGGGACATTTTGAAAACCATCGATTTAGTCCAATTCTTTGACTTTAGGGCTGGATAAATAGAAGACCAGGATGAAGTAAAAGACCTAAGGTCAAAAACATGTGAAGAATACAGAGACTCACATGGGATTCTTTCTTCAGGGAATCTGAAACAGTATGCCTGGAGAGCAGAAAACATCATTCAGGGCTGAAAACTGACATCTAACCACTGCCTGCACCAGCACCCCCAGCACTTGTGAGTTCCTTCAAGGGTTGCTGCTGGAGAACAGATTTTCAGCCTGCCCAGGTTCAAATACCAGCTCCGCTATCTGTGAGCTGTGTGAGCATAGGCAAGTTACGAAACCTTCCTAGGCTGCAGTAGTGAAGATTATAAATAAGTCAATAAAAGAAAGAGGTTCAGAAAGAGCTGGGAACACAGTAAACATCTCATACGTGATAGATATTATTCTTACTCTCATTGTTGTTACTTTTACTATTATTCCTCTAAGCTACCAATGTTCTGTCATGTACTTTCTTTAATGTTTTGTGCATGTCTTTTTGTTTTTTTTTTAACTGGATTACTCCTTGTGCCCTTAAAGGCATACCATGTTAGATATATTGTCCATCAGCATGAGCAGTCTAGGTTAAAGCTTTCTTTGCCAAAGCTCCAGTATGGGCTTCGAATTAACTGACATTTGATGGCTGTGCAACCTTAGGCCTAGGCCTTAACCTCTCTGAGCTACTTCCATCATCTGTAAAATGAGAATAATGAGAATATTTACTCTCAGGGTTGCTGTGACAATTAAGCAAGTTAACAGACATAAGGGGCTTGGTATAGTTCCTGGCCCAGTGTAAGCCCAGATTTATCAAGGCAAGCATGTGGCTGACCACAAGCCCAGATGAGGTACAGGCTGGCTCATTTTGGGTTTTAAGCTAGGAACGAGCAACCGTTTTCTATAAAGTACCAAAGAGTAAATATTTTAGGCTTTGCAGGCCAAGAGGTGAATTTGAAGATGTTATGTAGGTACTTAAATAACAAGCACACTTTCACAATCTTATTAACTGTATTTGAAATGCTATTAATAACTGAGAACAATTTTCAAAATATATATCTACTTAATGAGAATAATATGATTCTTTTTTGGGGGAATAACATTTCACTTAATTAGGAATTAAATGTAAAAACCATTCTTAGCCCAGGGGCCATACAAAAATAGACAGTAGAATGGATTTGGCCTTCGGTCATATTCTGCCTGCCCCTATTTTAACACAAGTGTTGGGGGTGGGAAGTGGGAAAGGAATCCCAAGTATCAGAAAGTCACCTTGACAGCCATAGCCAGACCTGTGGGGTGGGGGGAATTATGCTATATGTTCAGGTGCCCCCATTAGTAAATGACAATGCATTACAGAATTAACACGAGCAATACATTACAGAATTAACTCTCGACTTTTTCCCCCATCTCAGTTCAAGTCGAAGAGCAGTTTGCAGTGATCTTTCTGAAAATTTCATTGCCTGCTCAGTCCCACTGACAGTGCTCTACTGATAAATGGGGTGCTTGCAATGCTTAATTACAAATTAGAAACAATTTTAGAAATGGTAGCTCTACATTTCTAGTACTGTCCACTGATGCCAGCTTAAGCCATAGGGGCTCAACTGGCCAGACTCAAGACTGGTGGTTCCTGAGTATAGCCACTGGGAGGAAGAAATAAAGCACTTTTCAGCTGAAAACGTAAACTCTTCCATTTATAAAATCTTTTTTTTGTTTGTATAAATTAGAGACAGATTCTCACTCTGTTGACTAGGCTGTGGTGGCACCGCAACCTTGAACTCCTGGGCTCAAGCAATCCTCCCCTCTCAGCTTCCTGAGTAGCTAGGACTATAGGCTTGTATCACCATGCCTGCCTAATTAAAAAAAAAAAAAAATTAGTAGACATGAGGTCTTGCTGTGTTGCCCAAGCTGGTCCCAAACTTCTGGCCTCAAGCAATCCTCCAGCCCCAGCCTCCCAAAGTGCTGCAATTACAGCTGTGAGCCCATATGCCTGGCTAATAAAATCTTAATAAATGTAGATATTATAAAATGGGGAGAAGTGCTAGAGCTAGGTCCCCTGGATATGAATCCTAACTATTCTACTTAAAGGTTTGACTTGAGAAGGGTTATTTAACCTTTGTGTAAGTGTTTCCTCATCTGTAAAATGGGATAATAACACTGACATTACAAGGAGGTTCTGAGTATGACTCAAATGAGTTAACATCAGGTGAGAGCTTAGGAGAGCGCTTGACACAGTAAGCATGCATAGTGCTTGTTAAATAAGTCTTGCTATAAAAGGGCAGTGTGACTCCATGCCCATCCTGATCAGTGCATTCTGCCTCCAACTTTTATCATAATTAGTCATTTGAATTCAAAACATTCCTGTCCCAGCCACTTACTAGTTGAGAAAAATATTTGAAAAACTATTTATACCACCATTCATTCCATTATACCATAATAAGCAGGTACTGTGCATTACTAGATAAAAGAATTGAAAAGAAATGCATCTCGTATTCCACCTTCAAGGATCCCGGGTGCTGTATGCAGACAATATTATATTTTAATAATTAATTGTTCATCAAAGAAAAAGATGAGGAACAGCGATGCTAAATTCAAAGTTATTCAAATTGCAAAAATGAATAATGTATGACTTTTATATTAAATACACACTGTATTAAGTAGTCTACATTTCACCCAACGCTTTCTTTCATTTTTAAGCATTTTGAATGACAATATGAATAACCAGTTAGGGGAGATTTATTTGGAAAAAGAAATACCTTATTTGAATGCAAAGGGTTTATATCTGAAGATGATTAAATTTTTCTTATCAATTAGGAAATTTTGTATAAGGGCTTTCAAGTCATGGTCAACCATTAAGCCCAGCGCGGCCCAGTTATCCTTGCAGTTTCCTTTCAACATTAAATTATATCTGGCTGATTCTGTTCAATTTCTTACTTCTGATAGCAGTGCAAGGAGGCAATTTTTAATTAAAGAAAATCTGAAAGATTCAAACATGGATAATTGGATTAAAAATGTGATCATTAAAACATTAGATGATAATCAGCTGATTGATTGCATTTCTTGGTATGTTAATAGCCTAATATTTTCAATGCTTTGGTTATATAGGAAAAAAAGAAAGCTCTTTATAAAATACGATGAACAGTCAATGTATAGAAGAGACCTGTGCAGTAATCAGGAATTGTGGAAGTGCACTGAACACCCACTCCCACACCCCAATAAACAATGTATTACATTGGAAGATTGGAAGGTTATTTGGACAGGATGTGGTAGTTTCTAGGGGAAGAAAACCTGAGGCATTCCCTAAACAAAGGACCAATTAATTTTAGGAAAGTGTATGAAAGCCCAAGCTTCTGTTTTTAGCCCAATGATTATTTGGTTTCTTCAGGGTTTCCCACAACTTTTTTTTTTAGAGGAAAAGCAATTAACTTTTCCTTAAATGCCTAAGATCACTGGGGCAGGGCTAGCCTCTGCCTGGTGTTATGCAAGGAGGGAAGGAAGGAGTGGATAGTGGAAAGAATTGGGCATTAAGTCATTAGAAATGGAAGATGATTTATGACAGCGCCACTTAAACTTCAATGTGCAGGCAAATCATCTGGGAAGCTTGTTAAAATGCAGATTCTGATCCAGTAGGTCTGGGATGAGAGCTGAGATTCTGCGTTTTTAATAAAATGGATGCTGCTGGTCTCAGGACCATATCTGACTAGCCACTTTCTACAGGGACTGTATCAAAGGGTTCCTACATCCTGTGCAGCCTCATTCACTTCCACTTTCTGATTTTTAGGTATAGCTACACTGGCCTCTTTGCTGTCCCATGAACACACTGCCCCCAGGGCCTTTGCACTGGCTCTTCACTCTGTCCAGAACATTTCTTCATTACTCCATTCACGGCTGCTTTGGGACCAAATGTTCTGCAGCTGTTAGCAAACTTAGTCATATTTGAATCACCGTTTCTAAATGAGGCCTATCCTGACCACTGTTTTGCAAACAGCAATTTCAAGGGCAGGATCACTGAGAAGGAAACATTTGATTGAAAGCCTGAAGGCAGTGAGGAACTGAGCTACATGGCTACATGGGGAGAAGAACACTCCAGGAAGGGAGAAAAGCCAGTGCAGAGGGACTCTGCCTGGTTTAAAGAGAAATGGTTGGAGTGAAGTAAGCAGGAGGGAAAACAGAAGGAAAAGATCAACTGTCCAAAACTTCCCAGGATTGAGGGGGGGAAAAAATCAGCTTTTGGGTAAGTACAATTGATAATCCCGCTCAGAATTATGAAGAGGTGACACAACTGAGTAAAACACTAGACATGGAGTCAGCAGCTCTGGGTTAAGTCTAGACCGGCCATGAATGTAGTGTGTAACCTGGGAGGAGTCTTAGGTGGGTGTGACAGTGGGCAACAGGAGGGCCTGCCAAACACAGGGGTGAGAAACGGCAAGTTGGGAGGAAAGAAAGAGGCTGAGGGTGAGAATCCAGAAGGCAGCAGGGAGGTGGGAAAGTATTAGATTAGAACGAAGATGGCCGGGCGCAGTGGCTCATGCCTGTATTCCCAGTACTTTGGGGGAGGCCAAGGTGGGTGGGTCACCTGAGGTCAGGAGTTTGAAACCACCTGGCCAACTTGGCGAAACCACATCTAAAGATACAAAAATTAGCCAGGTATGGTGGCGTGTGCCTGTAGTCCCAGCTTGTTGGGAGGCTGGGGCAGGAAAATCGCTTGAACTGGGAAGGTGGAGGTTGCAGTGAGCCAAGATCGCGCCACTGCACTCCAGCCTGGTGACAGAGTGAGACTCTTGCCTTGAGGGAAAAAAAAAAAAAAAAGAGGCCTCCCTAGGGGGACCCCAGAGGGAGTTAATTTTATGATCCAAATACAAACAAAAATACTTGCTCTCTATAGCAGGGTGTTGATTCTCAAAGCATGTCATCGTTCTGTCATTAATAAGTAGGATGTAATGGGAATGACAGCATGGGAATGGGGCTGTCCTGTTTGCAAAGTAGGGCCATCTGCAAGGCTTCACAGTAAATGATTTTAAGGAACAGGCACAAGACTGAAGTTATGATTGGGTGATGGGGAAATCGAGGTCTCAAAGACACTAGTTTTTTGTCTTATATATGAGAGGAAAACAAGGTTTACAAGGAAAGAGGCTGGACCACAACTGCACTGTGTGTGACATGGGAAGGGATCTAGCTCTCCTTATGCCCATCTTTCTACCACCCTCATTCTGGATCCCTGGGCTCTGGGGTCCTCATCTGCAGGATCAGGTGAGGAAATCTCACTGAAGACTAGGCAACTATTTTAGCTATTTATTTATTTATTTATTTATTTTGTGGAGACGGAGTCTCGCTCTGTCCCCCAGGCTGCAGTGCAGTGGCGTGACCTCAGCTCACTGCCACCTCCACCTTCTGAGTTCAAGTGATCGTCTGCCTCAGCCTCCCGAGTAGCTGGGACTACAGGCACGCCACCACGCCCAACTAATTTTTTGTATTTTTAGTAGAGACAGGGTTTCACCATGTTGCCCAGGCTGGTCTCAAACTCCTGAGTCACCTCAGGCAATCTGTCTGCCTCGGCCTCCCAAAGTGCTAGGATTATAGTCGTGGGCACCCACGCCCAGCCTCTTTTAGCTTTTTAAATGTAAAACTAATCCTGACACTGGCCAGCTTAAAATCTTCCAGTGGCTTCTTGGTTCATTTAGAATAAAATCCAGACTCCTTATGGTGGCCATGGGGCCCGACATGACCTGTCTACCACTGCAGCCTGTATTTTCCTCTCTCTCCCTTGCTGACCACCTACCTGCCTCCTCACCTTGCTGTTCCCTCTGCCTGGAATGCTTCCCCTCCCACCACCCTCCATAGAGATGATGCCTTTTCATCCTTCATGTCTGAGCTCAAATGTCACCGCCTGAGCCCCCCATCTCAGTATGTTTTCTCTGTTATTTATTTATTTTTGAGATAGAGTCTTGTTCTGTCACCCAGGCTGGAGTGCAGTGGCACGATCTCGGCTCACTGCAACCTCCACCTCCCGGGTTGAAGTGATTATCTTGCCTCAGCCTCCCGAGTAGCTTGAACTACAGGCGTGCACCACCATGCCTGGCTAATTTTTTTGTATTTTTAGTAGAGACGGGGTTTCACCATGTTAGCCAGGCTGGTCTTGAACTCCTGCCGCCTGGCTCAGCCTCCCAAAGTGTTAGGATTACAGGCGTGAGCCACCACGCCCAGCTTGTTATTAACTTTCTGCATCACACCTTCATTTCCTTTCCAGCATTCCTTTGTTTACTGTCTGCCACAACAGCTTGATTATTCCACAAGAGCGAAGACCTTGCCTGTACATATATCCAGCAGCTAAAACACTTCCCCAGAACACAGTAGGTGCCTAATAATTATGTGAAAAGAGAATGAAGAAACAAACAAGCACAGTAGCTATTGGTATATTTTAAATAACAAACAAGTCCCAGATACTGTTTTCCTCATCTCCAAGTCAACATCAATCGTGAGATGCATCATTATTCCAATACCACTAATAAAGGAAACATGTTGCTAATTAAACAATGACTTGATATGAACTCAAAGATGCATCCCAATTTTAGAGTTGCTAAAATATGAAGACATGAGAGTCGCAGAATTGATTAACTAAGATACTGACATTATTCAGTAGGACTCACAGCAAAGGGCCCCGTCAACTTTCTGAGTCTAGTAGAAGCCAGGTCTAGAGCTTGTTGTTTTATGTGACCACAGTAAAGGATGTGCATAGGGCCAGGCAGCAGCAGCATTGACTCTCATCTGTTTACAGTGACTGGGTTCTCTAGCCTCAGTTTACCCTTCACTGACCTGCACCCCAAGACTCCATTCCACACTGTGGGATTTGCTTCAGTTTGCCTCCTTTTCCCAGTTCACACTTACGGTTCAGAAACTGGGTGCCAGGCCCTGCTGTGGCCTTTCTCTAAGTGAAGCTTCATAACCCTATGAAGTAGGAATCAACATCCTAGTGAGGGCTGAGAACTTACCCAAGGTCATAGGTTGTTAAGACCTGGGTTTCAGTCTGCGTAATTGGCTAACATGGTCTCTTTGACAGGTTGTAGGCTCTGTTACAGCAAGACCATGCCTCCTGACCTTATCCCCAGCACCCAACGTAGCACTTTATAAAGTAGGTCTTTCATACATGGCTAAAAGAAATTGACCAAACTAACTCACGACATATCTCTAAGTCAAAAGTGGGCAAACTATGGTACATGGGCCAAATCTGGCCTAGTGCCTACTTTTGTAAATGAAGTTCTGTTGGTACACAGCTCATTTGTTTATGCATTGTCTACGGATGCTTTCAGGCTACCACTGCAGAGTTGAGTAGTTGCAACAGAGAATATATGGCTGACAGAGCTTAAAATATTTGCTATCAGTCACCTTACAGAGAAATTTTGCCAACCCCTGCACTCCTATATGAGGGCGGCGTATTTTTTTTTTTTTTTAAAAGCAACAGGCAATACATATGAGCATGAATAGGGCCAACTCCATGCAGTGATGGAGGTATGGAATTTACTTTTGCCTGTGAAACACTCTCCATCAGCAGGCAGAGGATTAAATGCATGCCTCATGGCCTTCCTTACAGGCACAGTCCAGAGAAAATCCCGGGGCCCATACTATGGCATGAATAACTAGTGCTGTGGGGTCTGAAGCAGGTGGCCTGGGAGGGAGACAGTCCACCTTATTAATCAGATCCCTGTCTTGAAGCACCTGGAGAAGAGCAATCCAAGGTCATGAATAGCCACCCCACAGGGTTCAAAGACATCTAAGACATCTAGCCTCCTCCAACTTTATTAGAGGTTTCAGCTGACCAAGGATGGCATTTTGATTTAAGGGTTGATGTTTAAATGAAATGTATGTTGACATTAATATTTCCAAAGAGAAAGCACATAAAGATAGCAGTCTTGTCAACAATTAAGGAAATGAACATGACATTTAAATTATATAGAGTCATACAGTGACAAAAACCCAATATTATCACTGAACAGTTTCATTGATTGCCTTTCTCCCCTACAGGGTTCTGGTGGCCATAACTGACACGACGTGTACATTCTTTTAGCTTCCTTTTGATGCTCAGTCAATGACCTAATTCACAAAGGAAAACCAAGATATACAAGAGTTAAGTGCTTTTGACAGTTATCAGAAAGTTAGTCGATGCTGGGACTTAGAAGCTGGCCCAGCAGAGCACAAAGAAATGTGATTCAGAGTCCAATACAACTGGGTTCAAATCACTGTTCCACTGCATGGCTGGGATACATTCGCTCATCTCTCTAAAACCTCACTTTACCTATTTATAAAATGGGATTAAGAATTCTTACCTCAACGTGTTGCTGATGGGATTCAATAAGATTGTATTTATAGAACATCCAGGTAGGGTTAGGTGCACAGACAGAGGTTAACAGTTGCAGAAGCAGAGAGGCTGCTGCTTCTTCCTTTCACCCACTTCCTGGTTCTTTGTCCACTACCCTTTCCCCTGATCTCAAAAGAAACTGGCTACCCAAATCATCTTCGTCATCATCATCATCATCATCATCATCTTCATCATTTCATTTTATTTTTGTATGGACGAATTAAGTTGAGCAACATGCATTCCATTTTACTACATGGGCAGTGATGGTGGCAGTACCCAGAACTCTGCAGTCATTTCCTGTCATCACGTGGTTTCCATATTCAAGTCCACAAGTAACAATAATGATGATGATGGGCAGTGGGGGTTGGTGGCAGTGGTGACAGCTATCACTGAGTGCTTACCACATGCCAGGCACAGTTATGTACAGTAAGTCACTGAATCCTCAGGATAAACCAGCAAGACTGGTATTAGTATTACCTCACGATGCAGTTGAGAAAACTGAGCCACAAAGAGGTGAAGTGGTTTGTTCAGGTTGTACGACTAGTCAAAGGCAGAACTGGATTTCAAACCCACTACGCAATAGTGTCTGTCTCTCCTATACCGAGGTGACATACATAGAGCAGGCGAGCAGGTTAAGAAAATCACACACGGTAGTCCCAAGCACTTTAGCAGGCACTTTTGCAGTAGGCAAATGGAGGTATTTTTTTAAGAGCTCTCTTTGCTCTTCACATCCCACTGAAACAAGCAGGAAAACGGCATTTCCCTGGGTTCCCATAATCCTGTTCAAACGATAAAATATTGACAAACAAGGCAGGCTGAATGAGAACTGGCCTCAAATTCAAACCTAATCTAAAAGGAATCACTTTTGAAGTCTTTTTACGTCTTAACATTATTGTTAACAATACTATTAGTGATAAAATAGAAGTCGCACAGCATCCCATTTCCTGGCTAAGAAAAGAAGTGGAAATAGCTCACATCTATGGTGGTGGTTCTGATGCACTGAAATCCAGGAAATGGTGGAAATGGCTTAAGTGTGCCTGTTTCTAGAAGATTTTGAGATCAAACGTGTTCTGATAAGCATCAGTCCTTCCTGGATCCTTAATAGATGTGAGCCAATTAGCCAAGATCAGGGTGCTGCATATTTATAGCACATTTCAGGAAAGTTCCATGTAATTAAATGCTGGAAACACAAACTTCAAACGGGAAACTTTGTTGCATGTTGAGATGTTCAAAATTATCAGTGAGCTATAGATAATACAGCATTGGTTTTCCTGTTCAAAAGGGAGAAAATAATTTGGAGGATTTCTTTAAGTTAAACATTAAAACAGAACCCTCATTAATTCAGTTGAAACATGTGATGATCTTGGCAAAATGAAAACTGAAACCTATCTCTGTAAAGCCTAGCAAATGGTAAGTAATGACCTGAGTGAGTATTTACATTGCCCCAACATAAACAAATTACTGGGTGCAGGCAACACTATTAGTAGAGCTACTACAATAGCTACCGTTTAGATGAGGTAGGATTGACAAACTTTTTCTTTAAAGGGCCAGAGATTAAACACATAAGGTGGTGCAGGCCAGTGCGTCTGTCACGGCTACTCAAGTTTGCCATTGTTGTGCAAAAGTAGCCATAGATGATATGTAAACAAGTGAGTGCAGCTGTGTTCCAATGAAACTTTATTTACAAAAGCAAGCAGTGGGCTGGATTTGGTCTGCAGATTATAGTTTGCTGACCACTGATTTAGAGGGCACTGAACACATACCAGGCACGCCTTCTTTTCTCTGTGTTTTCCCTGTCTTAATGCATTTAGCGATGATACTCGTGAGATAAGCACTTTCATTATCCTAATTTTACAAGGCAGAAAGTCAGGGACAGAGAGGTTCAGTAATTTGTACTGGGGTCACACAGCTCCCAAACTGGAGAGCCAGAATTCAAACCCAGGCCAGCCTGAACTTTGAAGTACTGCTCTAGAAACCTCATTCAGTTGTGTTCCTAAGAGTCCAACTTCAAGTGAAAAATAACAAAATTCTGTTTCTTTAAAAGTATTCCATAATGGAGACTTTTAATAAAGCTCATTCCAAAGGTTCAACGTGAGATTACTTTGCATGCAAGTAACATTAGTCTTTACGCTAAGAAAGTCAAGGGCAAAAAAATTAAAAAAAAAAAAAAAAGATTCTTCATGAGACTAAAATTTTTCCAAGGACAAGAGAAATATTGTTCATTTTACCCTCAGCACCTTAGGCAGTCAGTTGATGGAAGGATGTGTGGACTCTGATTCAGGGAGCTTGGCAGTTCACACACACAAAAACAGGCAAGAACCCCTCACAGCAACTCAGCTCTGCTCCATTTTCTTGCTGCTGGATTATAATGACATTTCTGCCTCAGGATTCATTTTTCCCAAAAGTCGCTTGTTCTAGAATTTGTCCTCTTCTTCCAAAGTCCACAAAAGATATTTTCAGAAACTTCAGCCATTTGGCCTCAGATGGCTTATTTCGAGCTTTTGGACCACAAGGATAGTCACAATGGTGTCAGGGTGACAGTGACAGATTATGGTCCTGTTCAATATGTCTTCACTTGCCCCTTCAACAAAACCCATATGATGAGCTTCAATCAAGATGGAAAAAGGTAGGTGGGGAGCCTGGCAGGGATCTGAGCGGGAGAGGACCTGGAGTCAGAAGAGCCAGTCTGAAGTCAGGAAGACCTTGGTTAGACTCTGGGCTGGGTCACTTCTCATGATGTGACGCTGGGGCAAGTCGCCCCGCCTCTGACTGCTTTGCTTGCCTTTCTATATGATGCGGGCCATGGTGGTTGTATCTCAGAGGGTTTCTGGAATATGCAGTGATCCCTGCTGGGCTAATCAGACAGAGCAAGCATGCCCCAGCACAGCAGCAGTGAGGCGCCCTTTGTGTTTAAACCTGTCACTTGACAACCCATCCCCTTTGTTTCTGATTCCTGTTTCTAATCTCTACAAGGAGATATTTGCTCTCAGAGTTACCTCTTAATGATACAATTCCAAGGCAGGCAGAGTTCTTTCATTGGACTGCAATCAATTTGTGGAGAGAACACACAGCCTGTCAGGGGTAGTTATGGTAAGAAAGTTTTTAAAAAGTGCTGTCACTCCCCTTTGGTTGTTGTGAGGCCACTTGGAACTTGATGTGTCCCAGAGGAAAGCAATGTCTGAATCTCTTCCTTTCTAATGTTAATCATTGTCTTCTTTGATTGTGAAATATAACACCCATGCAGAAAGGCGTGCAAAACATCAAGGTACTGTTGAAAAATGATCCTGAAGTGAGCTCTGGTGTGTGGGTGTGTGACCAACACTCAGAACACGAGAAGACCTTGCCTTCCCCTACCCGGCCAGCCAGCCCCTTGTCACTCTCTCATCCACCCCCAAGAAGTCACCACCATCCTCATTTTGAAATAATCACTTGGGTTTCCTTTTAAGTTTTACCACCCACATATAAACTCCTAAGCAATAAAGATTGGGTTTTCTCATGTTTTGAAGTTTATCTTTGGGAATGCACAATGTTTTCTTCAGAAGCTTGCTAAGACGTAAAAAGACTTCAAAGGTGATTCCTTTTAGATTAGGTTTGAATTTGAGGCCAGTTCTCATTCAGCCTGCCTTGCTTAACTTTACCAATCTCGGATGCACTCATATTGTTGAGTGGGCCATTCTTTCCCATCGTGGTGAAATGTTCTATTCTATGACTGCACCACTACGTCTTTATCCAGCCTGCTAATGATGGGCACCTGAGGCATTTCTAGGTTTGGGTAATTAGGAAAATCACCACCACAAACATTCTTGCCCACATGTCTTCTTTTTTTTTGAGACAGTTTTGCCCTGTCACCCAGGCTGGAGTGCAGTCTTGACTCACTGCAGCCTCAACCTCCTGGGTTCAAGTGATTCTCATGCCTCAGCCTCCCAAGTAGCTGGGATTATAGGCACGCACCACCAGACCCAGCTAATTTTTGTATTTTTTTTTTTTTTAGTAGAGACAGGGTTTTGCCACATTAGCCAGGCTGGTCTCGAACTCCTGACCTGAAGGGATCCACCAGCCTCGTCCCCCCACAATGTTGGGGTTACAGGCGTGAGCCACTGCGGCCAGCCACATGTCTTCTTTTTTGTTAAGACCAGGTCTCGCTCTGTCACCCAGACTGGAGTGCAGTGGCACAATCTTGGCTCACTAAACCTCTGCCTCCTGGGCTCAAGCGATCCTCCCACCTCAGCTCCCCAAAATAGCTGGGACTACAGGTGGGTGCCACCATGCCAGGCTAATTTTGTTTACTTTTTTGTAGAGATAAAACACCATGTTGCTGAGGCTGGTCTCAAACTCCTGGGCTCAAGTGATCTACCTGCCTCGGCTCCAAAGTTGCTCACAGCCATGAGCCACCGCGCCTGGCCTATACATCTCTTGGTACACATATATGAGTTTCTCTAGGGGACAGACATAGAAATGGAATCTCTTAGATTCATTTTACTAGATACTGCCAAACTATTTTCTAAAGAGTGATCATATCAGTTATCTCCTTACCAACAACATGAGAGTTCCTGCATTCATATCCTTGCCAACACTTGACACTGTCAAGATTTTTAATATTTGACTATTTGGTATGTGCTGCTAATTTTTTTAAGCTTTGTGGAAGCAATATATTTGGGAAATTAATGTGTAATATATATGAGCTATTCTTTAATTTTCAAACACTCAAATGCAGAAATCTAAGGGGACAGCATGGAAATTTTTATATTATACCTGGGCAATCATCCTCTAGATCAAGATAGAGAAAGATTTTTATTACCCAAGAAAATTTCCTCAGGTTCCTTTTCACTCAATATATTCCTCCACCCCACTCTTTTTTTTTTTTTTTTTTTTTTTGAGACCGAGTCTCATCTCACTCTGTCACCCAAGCTGGAGTGCAGTGGCTTAATCTCGGCTCACTGCAACCTCCACCTCCCGGGTTCAAGTGATTCTCCTGCCTCAGTCTCCTGAGTAGCTGGGACTACAGGCGCATAACACCATGCCTGGCTAATTTTTGTATTTTTAGTAGAGAAGGGGTTTCACCATGTTGGTCAGGCTGGTCTTGAAATCCTGACCTCAGGTGATCTGCCCACCTCGGCCTCCCAAAGTGCTGGGATTACAGGCATGAACCATTGCACCCGGCCCCTCCTCCCCACTGTTCTGACTTTCATCACTATGGATTAATTTTGTGGATGGACCTGTTCTCACACTTTACATAAATGGAATCATGCATTACCCACTGTTTTGCTTTTGTGTAAATCTATATAGTTCATTATTTGTAAGTGCAGCATAATATTCCATTGTATGAACAGTCTATAACTTCTATATCTGTGTTCCCACTGATGGACATTTAGGCTGTTTTCAGTTTGTGGCTATTATGAATAAGGCTCATATGCACAAGTCTTTTGTCAATATTTTTCTTGGGGATATACTTAAGTGTGGTATTTCTGGCTCAGAGGGCGGGGTGCATGTGTAACGTCAGCAGAAATAGGCACATGGTCTTCTTAAGGGGCTGAACCAAGTGCATCCCCGGCAGGGGAACAGTGCAGGCAGCACCATATCCTGGGGCCGGTTTCTTTTTAAACAGTGAATGTGTGGCTGGTGATGCAACAGCAATTGTGTAAGATGAAGTCTACCCACTGTTCTAGAAGGAATTCAGAGGACTGACCTGGAGATGACACTCCGTTACTCTTTATTGTAGAAACTTCAGTCCCAGCAGGTGGAATACGGAAAGATGAATGATGTGGAGTTTCTCAGATAGCTTTCTCCACTCTCTGGAAATGCTTGGCAGGGCAGTCAATGCATATTTGCAAATTCACTGTTATTTCTTCCTTTTTTGCTAGAGGCCTGGAGTGACTCTAGCTATTCTAGGGCTTTGTCCATAGATTTGGTGAGGAGATGATGGGTGTCCCAGGGCAGGGGCAAAAAGGTGGAGGGAGACCCCAAATGTGAGCCAAGTGAACAAACTAGTCACATGAGAAAGCTGGTCTGCTAGAAAAGTTTTGATCTTGTCATAGCCACAACTGCCAGTGCCGTGTTTCGACAAGAAAAGCTTGCAAGAGCCTCATTTTGTGACACTAATAGAAGCGAGTTCTCAGGTGATAACTTATTTGTCCTTTCACTGATAGCTTTCTTGGAAGAGCCAGGGAAGGGAAGACCGAGAGAGAGCAGCCGTCTAGCTCTGACCAGCAGAAGATTTCATTATGTCTGTGGCAATTTCTTTCTTTTTGGCTTTTTTCTGGGGGAAGGGGGGACAGAGTCTCCCTCTGTCTCCCAGGCTGGAGTGCAGTGGGGCGATCTCAGTTCCCTGGAAACTTCGCCTCTCAGGTTCAAGCGATTCTCCTGCCTCAGCCTCCCGAGTAGCTAAGATTACAGGTGCCCGCCACCAAGCCTGGTTAATTTTTGTAGTAGAGATGGGGTTTCAACATGTTGACCAGGCTGGTCTCGAACTCCTGACCTCAGGTGATCCACCCACCTCAGCCTCCCAAAGTGCTGGGATTACAAGTGTGAGCCACTGTACCCAGCTGTCTGTGGCAATTTCTGACTGTCCCCCTCACATTTCCTCTGAAAGAAAAAGAAACCTATTACACCTCACTAAGATGGTACATTCTCCAGGAGAGGAAAGTGACAGTGAGGAAGGGGTGGGAAAAGAGGACAAGCAGACAATGATAAAATACCAAGCAATCACCACAGGCAAGTTTCCTATCAGGAATACAAAAGTGGTCCGTTTTAGACGACTGACACAAGAGGATGGTGTTTTGAAGTCTTTTCACAGTATATGTGTATGTACACAAACAGCCTGCTGGATTTTCCTGGAGTGAGCACTATAAAAAGGAAGACAAATTATGTATTCCAACAACATGAAAAGAAAAAACACACACCTCTTAACTGACACAGGACATAACGCACACATACTCGATCTTAGCCGAAAGGACGAGAAGCGACGTATAATGCACATGTATTTCGTCTTTCTTTTTTTTTTTTTTTTTTTTTTGGAGCTTTGCCCTTGTCACTGAGGCTGGAGTACAATGGCGCAGCCTCAGCTAACTGTAAATTCTGCCTCCCGGATTCAAGTGATTCTCCTGCCTCAGCCTCCCAAGTAGCTGGGATTACAGATGCGTGCCACCATGTCTGGCTAATTGTTGTATTTTTAGTAGAGATGGAGATTCACCATGTTGGCCAGGCTGGTCTCCAACTCCTGACCTAAGGTGATCCACCTGCCTTGGCCTCCCAAAGTGCTGACATTATAGGCATGAGCCACTGCACCCGGCCCACACACATTTCTTAACATGGACCAGTTAGGTAAAATTGTTGATGCAAATAGGTTGGTGCAAAAGGAACTGCAGTTTTTGCACTGTTCATATTTGCAACAATGATGTGGGAATGCATTCTTCAATAAATATGGTTATGTTACACATCATTTTAATGCACATTTCTCACTTTGTGTTTTTGCTAATGACTTAGTACTTGCTGTTTATTTTATATTTATTTTAGACTATGGAAATGATGTTAGACAAAAAGCAAATTCAAGCAATTTTCTTATTTGAGTCCAAAATGGGTTGTAAAACGGCAGATATAACTCACAACATCAACAATGCATTTGGCCCAGGAACTGCTAATGAACATACAGTGCAGCAGTGGTCTAAGAAGTTCTGCAAAAGAGAAGAGAGCCTTGAAGATGAGAAGCATAAGTTGACAATGACCAATTGAGAGCAATCATTGAAGCTGATCCTCTTACAACTATATGAGAAGTTGCCAAAGAACTCAGCGATAACCATTCTACAGTAGTTCGACATTTGAAGCAAATTGGAACAGTAAAAAAGCTCGATAAGTGGATGCCTCATGAGTTGAGCAAAAATTTTTTTAAAATTGCTGTTTTGAGGTGTGGTCTTCTCTTATTCTATGCAACAACAATGAATCGTTTCTCGATCAGACTGTGACATGCGACGAAGAGTGGATTTTATATGACAACGAGTGATGACCAGCTCAGTGGTTGGACTGAGAAGAAGCTCCAAAGCACTTCCCAAAGCCAAACTTGCACCAAAAAAAGATCACGGTGGTCTCTGCTGCCGGTCTGATCCACTACAGCTTTCTGAATCCTGGCGAACCCATGACAACTGAGAAGTATGCTCAGGAAATCGATGACATCCACTGAAACCTGCAACACCTGCAGCCAGCACTGGTCGACAGAAAGGGCCCAATTCTTCTCCATGACCACGCCTGACCACATGCTGCACAACCTAAGGCTTCAAAAGTTGAACAAATTGGGCTGCAGAGTTTTGCCTCATCTGCCATATTCACCTGACCTCTTGCCTCTCACTTAGAAGGAAAGACTATATTTTTACACCGATTCACAAACAGGATTTTTTTTTTAAAAAATGGATTTTAAACACATCAGAACTAGACTAAGTTTTAGCAACCAGTATTTTCATCAGAAATGGCCACTTGCAACTGCTGGTTCTTGTATACAAAAAGTGCTGGTAATGACTGAACCAATACAGTGAATAGGATTTACAATTTTCCCCTAAGTCTTTCTTCTCCAGTGGATGTTGATAATAGGGCAAATAAAATACTTGATTAGATACCTTTTAGTGCTTCCATCTATCACTGCATGAGTAGATAGATGGGACCAGAATCAATGGCAAATCACCTCACTCCATTCTATTTATATTTCCTCATGGCTTTTGAGTTAGTAAAAGTCACAATTTGCCTAGACAAATGAACATGTAAGACACAGCACTTTATGTGGTCAAGAGGTTTCTAGGGTGTCTCTCCCTAGAAAAGCAATAGAGAAGCAATGTTACTGTATTAGTCTGTTTTCACGCTGCACATAAAGACATGCCCAAGACTGGGCAGTTTACAAAAGAAAGAGATTTAATGGACTCACAGTTCCACGTGACTGGGGAGGCCTCATAATCATGGTGGAAGGTGAAAGGCATGTCTCACATGGCGGCAGACAAGAGAAGACAGCTTGTGCAGGGAAACTCCCCTTTTTAAAACTATCAGATCTTGTGAGACTTATTCACTATCACAAGAACAGCAGAGGAAAGACCTGCCCCCATGATTCAATTACCTCCCACTGGGTCCCTCCCACAACACGTGGGAATTCAAGATGAGATTTAGGTGGGACACAGCCAAACCGTATCAGTCACCATTCTCCAAGCCTCAAAGCACTGGGAAATGCTTTGGAGCTTCTTCTCAGTCCAACCACTGAGCTGGTCATCCATTCTCCACATTCTCACCATTCTCCACATCCTCTCTTACCAACAGACACCTTCATCTATACTGGTCCTGCCTGCATCCCTTCTCTGTCTGGATAATCTCTATGCACTCTTTGGGTCTTAATGTTCACTTGGTTTGAGCCACCTCCAATCACCAAAGTTTGAGTTAAGTGTGCTGCTTCCCACACTTTAATGTCATTACATACTTAATTGTACATCTCTACCAAGCATATGCATACATGGTGAGGGCAGGTCCATGTCTCAATGCCTAGCTTCATGGTGTACTGAGATTAGGCACTCAGTAACTACGGACAGAATGAGCCAGGACTGTTTGTAAGAATCTCTGAGCACTACGGGAGTGTGATTAGGAAGGTGCCTCTGGAAGGGGACGTGAAGCTCTGTGCCACTCTTAAGCGTGCACCCCTGAGATCCCCCTTTCAGAGACAAGCTGCTGTGAGGAGCTTGTTGAACTGACAGCCTGCAGCAGCTGCACCTCCAGGATCTGCCCAGCGTCTACAATCAGGCTATTCTTGCTGGGACGCTCCAGCCAATGACAACACATGGTGGGGAACAAGAGCTGGGCCATTCCTGCCAACACAGGACTCCTTTCAGGGGCAGTCTTTGCTCTGGGGCTCTCTGACAGCTTGGCAAAGACTTCCTTACAGCTGCCTTCAGCCAATCCTCCTAGCTCACCTCTCTCCTTGCAGAGGTGTCAGACCTGCACTATGCGTGGCCCAAACGCTCTCCCCACCAACCCCTGGTCCTTCTCCATTTGATCCTTCCCAGGCAGACCCTCCCTGCCAAAAATCTTTCTTGCACTTCAAATTCCACCTTGGCGTCTGCTTAAGAGAGGACCCTAATGACCAACTGCCAAATACAGTTGGCTGATATGAGCAGGTTATTCCTTCACATTTCAGCTGAAGAAACATTTAAGATGCTTCTTGTTTAAAAAAAAATTAATGAGAAATTAACATTCTAATATATGATTCCCAGAGCTGAAGAAATAAAAGTCATTTCTGAACTGCAACAGAAATCCATATTGATTTTTCTCTTTACACATCTCTGTCATTGTTCCCAAGCCAGAGACTGTGAAGGACATGATTATTTATGTTCCTTCAAATTAATAGATCATTCAAATCCCTCACAGGACTTTCAACTGAAATGCTTCTAGTTCCAACAAAAGCTTTTTTATTTTTATTTCTTTTTTTTTTTTTTTTGAGACAGAATCTCACTCTGTCACCCAGGCTGGAGGCTGGCATGATCATGGCTCACTACAGCCTCGATCTCCTGGGCTCAGGTGATCCTCCCACCTCAGCCTCCCAAGTAGCTGGGACTGCAGGCATGTACCATCACGCCTAGTTAATTTTTGTATTTTTTTGTAGAGACAAGGTTTTGCCATGTTGCCCAGGCTGGTCTCAAACTCCTGGGCTCAAGTGATTCACCCACCTCAGCCTCCCAAAGTTCTGGGATTATAGGCATGAGCCACTGCCCCTGGCCTCCAACAAAAGTTTTTTTTAAAAAACTATTTCTAATGTCCTCCATTCCCTTTTGGAAGAACGACATACTCCTACTCCTTTTTCTTCTCAATCAAGGCAATACCCACATGGGCTTTAGTTCCTCCTTCCCTTCATCCCATTTCATATTTTGAAAATTTTCACTTATTTATTTGTATGCTTACTTGATTCAGTCATTTGACTAACATACTGAGTACCTACTATTTGCTGGACACAGCGTGCCACATCAACATGGTTTTCTGCCCTCAGGAAACTGATACCCAAGAAGCTGATATATGACCAAAAACACAAACACAGTTATTTCAGATACATTTAAGTGCTTTGAAGAAAGAAACCTGGGATGGTGTAACAGAGAGTGATGGGAGTAGGGTGGGATGAATAATTTGATAGGATACTTAAGAAACAACTTTCTAAGGAGGCAAGATAAGAGCTGAGACCTGAAGGCATAAGAAGGAGACACCCTTGGCACAAGCGAAGGAAGAACTCTCCCGACAGAGGAAACAGCAAATGCACAAGCTGGGAGGGGCTGCATACCAGGCAGACTGGCGGGAGAGGAAGGCAGCACTTCACTTCCCTTCTAGGTCCATGAGAGCTGGCCTGTGTGTGTCTTAATCAGTGTTCCAAACCTGGCTTTGCACAGCGTGGGCATGAAATATATTTCTGCTGAATGAATAAGTGAACTTCCTTTGTAGGTCAGTGTATTTTGCAGGTCTCATCTGACTTCCCACTTAGAGGGTAGGGTTGAAACCACACCCCGGGCATCTTGGCAACCCTCCCAGAGCCAGATATCGTTTTTCCATATGTAGCAGCCTCTGCTGTCGCCTGAAGGTTTGTGTCCCCTAAGCAAATTCCTATGTTGAAATGCTAATCCCCAAGTTTATGACATGAGGTGGAGTCTTTGGGAGGTAAGAGCCCTGAAGAATGGGGCTAGTACCCTTCCAGAAACTGAGAACTGGGAAGAAACAATGGAAATATATATCTTTTTTTTTTTGAGACAGAATCTCTCTCTGTTGTCCAGGCTGGAGTGCAATGGTGCAATTTTGGCTCACTGCAACCTCCGCCTCCCGGATTCAAGTGATTCTCCTGCCTCAGCCTCTCGAGTAGCTGGGATTATAGGCGCCTATCACTATGCTCAGCTAATTTTTGTATTTAGTAGAGACAGAGTCTCACCATGTTGGCCAGGCTGGTCTCAAACTCTCGACTTCAGGTGATCCACCCACTTCGGCCTCCCAAAGTGCTGGGATTACAGGCATAAGCCACCATGCCTGGCCCAGAAATATCTTAAAATGAAAGCCTCTATGTGGTGTTTTCAGTAACCCTATTTTTCTACACTGAGTAGGTTTACTATTGTTACCTGCTGCATGACTGACCAATTTTGAGAACGGAACAATTAATCCAAAATCCTACTTGCTCCAATTGACCCCTGACAACTGGTTTTAGTTTCACGGAAAGAGAGGGGGAAGATGTTTGTTAAGCTCTATGGAGTTGGCTAATGTCTAAAGACAATCCTCTCAAAAAGGTGTGAAGATGTTTTATCACAGCTGTGGAGATGAAGGGGAGATTTATTATGGTTACTAATGCTATTTCTGTCAACGTCTCTGGAATTCTAATTAGATTATTAAAACTTTGCAAATCATTACATTACATCTCGACTACACACCTCACTGCGACAAGGGTACTTTTGAAATTAGAGGATCTTGATGTCATAGGTAATGATGCAGTGCAGATAATACAGTTGCAGGGAAATTCTTCCAATAAAAACCAGTTGGAAAAGACAGAACCCATTTATCTTACTTTCTCTCCCGGTTTTATGCCTGAGGATAAGAGATCTGCAGCACAGAACAGCAGCCTGGCCTTTTCCATTCTAGTAGCTGCATGACGCTTGTTCACATGCTGCAAAGTTTAATAACTTGTCTGGCTACTTAAAATGCTGCCCTAGATCTGTGATGCAAACCAAACATTTATAGGTGAAAAGACAACTGAAAGAATATTTTTAGGAGAGATATGAAACAAATGGCAAGTTCAACACATAAGAATAGTACATCTTAAGGTGTTCTGATTTATAACATATGCATTCAAACTAGTACCTGAAAAGAAACAAACTGCTTACTGTTAACACAGACCCATTTGCAGGTAATAAATGGGCATGCTCTTTACCCATCATATAATGGCTCTAATGCCCTTCAACATCAGGGGATGAGGAATAGGTGTCACCCTCTGTCCTCTGCAAGATAACCTGATTCTTTTAGGTAGAGATCTGAGCCCTTCACATCCCAGCAAAAGGAAGTGTATGTGGCATACTTACCATGATGTACGACACCCTTCAACCCGTGGATAATAGGATCCAGTGCAGAATTGTCCCTCGGACTGACCTAAATGTAAAGGAAACATGATTGGTTAAATCTATTCTGGCATCAGGCACAACAGTCTCAGTTTAATCTTCTAAAGAGAAGGGGGAGAATAGAATGTTATCTAGCAAGCTGCTTAGGTCTCACATACACCATGGCTCTCACCAAATGCAGGAGATTTATGACATCATAAAATCAAGTGAGGAAGTTTAAATCAAAAGAAAGAAACTTCTCAGAATACATTGTAACAGGAGAGAAATACTATAGTCCTAGCAAAATCTTAAAAAGCAACTGCAAGATTTTCTTCTTGCCTTGTTTTATTAAAAGTAGGCCCAATCGGCTAAAAAGTCATTGAAAGTCATGAGAGAGCAATCCATCATTGACGGAAAATTTCAACATCTTCTGGTGACTGTGTTTTTCCCTTCTTTTTAGAAAATGAATCTGTTTTCTGCCAGCCTATTCTCCTTCGTAAGGATCCCAGTCCCCTGTGAAAAAGCACATATTCTAAAAGTTATGGAAAGCAGAAGAGGAGGGGAGAGAAGCTTGAAGAGACAGTGTCTCCCACCTTCATTTCCTCCTGGGGTTTTTAATCCCCCTCAAAAGTCAAGCCTCTTCAGTCTTCTTCCCACCTCTTCTTTCCCTTAACTTTCTGATACTACTCAGCAGAACTCCTCATTCTTGCCCATTCTAGAAGATTAAAATTCTAGCAGCATATTACAATTTTGGCTTTCAAGTATTTTCTTTTAGACATACAGAGATATTTACAAATGACATGAAATGACGTCTTGAATTTGTTTCAAAATAATCCAAGAGTGAACAGCAGGGGGAGTGAGCGGGGTATACATGCCACAGGATTAGCTTGAATCAATCATTTATGACCTTGGGTGGTGGGTATAGGATGGGTCATTATACAATTTTCTTTACTTTTATGTATATTTAAGTTTTTCCAAAATAAAGAGTTTTTCAAAAATCTATTATCTACGGCCAGCATAGCTCCTGCTTCCCCCATCCCCCATTGATAGTATTTATATCTAATCCACTTCTCACATAATGAAGTTGAGATATTGATGAACCTTTCACTGTGTAGCACAATCCAATTTGATGTTTTCAGGTCAATTCAGAGGAATCAAGAGCCACCCCTAGAATTAATTTTAAGGTGACTGAAAATTTTCCACATTCCTTTTTACTCTTACAAATTTTCCCTGTTGGGTTGCTGTTCCTAGTGTGTCCTCTCTGACAATAACACACACTGCACACACTTCCATCTCTCCTAAGCCTCAGCATCTCCAGAAGAGAGCAGTGGTTCTCAAATGGGGGAGATATTGCCCTACAAGAGGGACATGTGACCATGTCTGGAGACGTTTTTCGTTGTCACATAGCAGTGGGAGGGGGATGAGAAGGGGAGGGGCTACT